>NC_000008.11:8276089-8580570 GCF_000001405.40 Homo sapiens | reverse complement strand
GTATTTGGAAATTTGGCTGTTTATTTGTTTGAAGTGACAATTCAATGCATTGTTATCTACCACTATGCACCCAAATTAAGTTCAGATATATTAAGGATCTAAATGTTATAATTTATAAATATATATAAAAATCTTCCCCCAAAAGACATAAGACCCCAAAAATGTTATTTAAAATGTCGTACACAGGCTAGGCACGGTGGCTCACGCCTGTAATCTTGGCACTTTGGGAGGCAGAGGCGGGCGGATCACGAGGTCAGGAGATCGAGACCATCCTGGCCAACGTGGTGAAATGCCATCTCTACTAAAATATAAAAAATTAGCCGGGCATGGTGGCGCGTCCCTGTAGTCCCAGCTACTCTGGAGGCTGAGGCAGGGGAATCGCTTCAACCTGGAAGGCGGGGGTTGCAGTGAGCCAAGATCGCGCCACTGCACTCCAGCCTGGTGACAGAGCAAGACTCCGTCTAAAAAAAAAAAAAAAAAAGAAAGAAAGAAAGAAAATGTTGTACGCAGCAGAAGACTTTAGTGTTTTTTAAGAATAAAACGACTCTGCCTTTGTGGTACTCGCCAAGATGGATAATGGATCTTTTGCATGTGAGAGGGTTGGGCTGTAAAGGAATGACTTTTTTAAGAGAAAAAAACAGGTAGCATTCCACAAAGTATTATAAAAATAGAACATACTATTTTTCCTGTAAACTTTCCAGATTCCAAGTCTTTTCTAACTGCACTACCAAGAATATCTACACATATACATGTAAATATGAACATATGATATGTGTGTATATATCCATACATATATAAAATATATAAATATATAATATATATGAAAGAAAAGTATCAGATGTTTCCAGGGTCCCTGTTTGATATCACACTTACATATAATACCCACTTTCTCTAAACCCCGTCCACATATTCCTTACAGGAAAGCTGTCACCCGGCTAAACGCAGCTGATGACACTCAGAAGTCTTGGTGATAGAGAAAACAGCTCCATACAAAAGATAGTGAGACAGTTTTTCTAAGAGTAAAAGGGCTCCAGGCATGTGGTAGAGCCTCTGGAAAATACCGTTGAATGAATAAGTGATTTAATGAACAAACAAATGAAGCACCAAAGGTTGAAGGGCTTCTAAGTTTTTCACCCTGATGTGGGTGGGTTAAGGACCTATCAGAGGCCTTGAGAAAAAACTGCCCTTACAGCCTTAACCCTGCAGGCCTTGAACAAGATGGACATTTTGGCTCCATTGATCATCCAGTTTACTTGTTTTTCTGTCCATCTCTCCCCTGTAACAATATGGGCTGTTCTAGCTGTAATTCACCTCTGGAGCCATCAGAATCCTCCTGGTAAAAATGGCCCTAATATCAAACACAGAGGCCACTGCTAGTAAACTTTATAAATCGAACAAGAAATCATATGATATAATCAGATAAGTAGCCTTATTTTGTCTCACAGTGTGTCATCATAACCCTGCCCCTGGGTTGACTACTCTCTGACAACATGGTTTGGTAACTCTTTGGTAAAAGTTCTTCAAACATTTCAAGACACATGGTGTCATTCCAATAATATAAACGTCCAGGCTGGGTACGGCGACTAACGTCTGTAATCCCAGCACTTCCGGAGGCCTAGGCGGGCTGATCACTTGAGGCCAGAAGTTTGAGACCAGCCTGACCAACACGGTGAAACCCCGTCTCTACTAAAAATACAAAAAAAATTAGCCGGGCGTGGCAGGTACACGTCTATAATCTCAGCTACTCAGGAGGCTGAGACAGGAAAATTGCTTGAACCTGGGAGGCAGAGGTGGCAATGAGCTGAGATAATGCCACTGCACTCCAGCCTGGGAGACAGAGTAAAACTTGGTCTCAAAAACAAAACAAAGCAAAACACAACACAACACAACAAAAAAAGTCCAGCCCCAGGTAATACACTTTAAACTTGAGTTAACGTTAACTCTTGCCTCCCCCTGCTGGACCCCACTGAGAGCTGCCTGGTTGCTGGGGTGTGGTATGGCGGGGGGTGGAGGTCCTCTTACCCTCATAGTTTGCCAACTGGGACCCAGGCAGGCAGGGGAGAGGGCAGGGAGTAAGGGGATGTTGGAAAGTTCTTGCTCAACTGCTACTGGTCTGAGGTGACTCACTCTCTTGGGATCTCTAGATTTTTAAAACCAACTTTTTCTCTCATCAGCCATTTTGTGGGATATTTGGAGACTCTCCTAGCGGTGCTCCTCAGACCGCAGATCTTGAGATGTGGTCAATTCCCTTTCATCAATGGCCGCTCCAGGTTCAGACCTTGTTTTTTCGTTGGTTTAGGCCATGAAGAATTTCTCCATTGGTCTCTCCTCCTTCATGTTGGCCTCTACCTGGATTGTAAATGGATCCAGGATAGCTCATTCTCACCCAGGATCCTTTTTGGTTCTATAGGAAACATTTATGCATTCTCTGCCCAGGCTGACTCTGCATATTCTAGGAAATCTCAAGCAGCGACTCTTTTCAAAAAAGTTTTTCTTTTTTTTCTTTTTTTTTTTTTTTTGAGATGGAGTCTCACTCTGTTGCCCAGGCTGGAGTGTGTTGGTGCAATCATAGCTTACTATGGACTCCAACTCCTGGGCTCAAGCGATCCTCCTGCTTTAGTCTCCCAAGTAGATGGGACTACAAGCATTTGCCATAATACCTGGCTTTTAAAAAGTATTTAAATAATTTTATTTCCAAATTAATATAGTAACCTGAGTTCAGTTACCAACACATTGAAGATTTGAAAATAATTATTTCCTTTTAGACACACTCTTACTCCCAGCTTTTCTTTCTTTAAACGGAGCAAATAACTTTTGTATAGGTGGTACAAACGTAAACTTTAGTCAAGTTCAAGTCCCATATCAACAGAATGCACATTAGAGAGATTTTATTATACTGTTGTTTATTTGGTATATTGTCTTTAAAAAAAATCAAAGAATACATGCAAAAGCTCAAAAGACTGATTCTTCATTGTTTCCAGCTGAATGTGATAGAGATGAAAAGTGGGTCATTGTTACTTGACTACATCATAAATTTTACATGAATGCTTCAGTTGACAGCTATTATTTATCATAACTATGCTCTTACTCTGCTACCTATTACAACCCTTTAAAAACCCACAACACCACCTCTGTGTATTTCCCACTGGGGTAAAAGGCATTTAAAATATAAAGTATCTTTTTTATGCTAAAAAGGTCACAGTTACTAATCTTCTACTATATAGCTAGTATTACTCATGCTGTTTTTATTTATAGGGTGCTTAACAGTCAGATAGTAGTTAACCTTTCCAATCATCCCGGGCAGGAGCATGTTAGGAAATCATTTCAAATTAGTGCAGAGATCCCAATCAGTAAACTCAGGAATTAGCAGAGGATCCTGGAATGAAATGATGACATCCAATTGACTGAGTACAGTATGTAGAATGTCTTTCAGATAAAGTTAATTTAAGAAATATATTTTTAAATTTTTATTTATTGATACATCATATTTGTACATATTTACAGGGTACATGTGATATTTTGTTACATGCATAGAATGTGTAATGATCACATCAAGGTATTTAGAATATCCATCACCTGGAATATTTATCATTTCTTTGTGTTGGGAACATTTTAAGTCCTCTCTTTCAATTATTTTGAAATATACAATATATTCATGTTAACTATAGTCACCGTAGTCTGCTGTCAAACATTAAAACCTATTCCTTCTATCTAACTATATGTTTGTACTGATTAACCAGCTTATTTTTATCCAACCCCCTTCTCCCCACCACATACCCTTTCTGCCCTCTGGTATCTATGATTCCATTCTCTACCTCCGTGAGATCAATATTTTTTAGCTCCTACATGTGAGTGAGAACATGCAATATTTGTCTTTCTGTGCTTGTCTAATTTCATTTGACATAATGTCCTCCAGTTTCATCCATGTTGCTGCAAATGACATGATTTTATCAAGCCAGTGACTCTTCTTTACAGAGTGTCAATGAGCTCAGCAACACATCTCTCCTAACTTCCAGATTTCCTGGACAGAGTCAGATGTCCATCCATTCTGCAGCCTCAGCCACAAAGAACACATTTGAAGCCCTCCAAACAATTCAATTAAAGCTACTCTCACTCGTCACCTTTAGATAGAACTCATAGCAATCAATTACCCCTTCCAAACCAACTCCCCTCACACATTCTTTCTGATTTCCCTCTCTCTTGACCTTTTTATACTTCTGGTATGTGGGAATAGCCCTTGGGTGCAAAGCCTAAGACTTGTCTAACCACTTTTCAGATATTTCTTTTGAAAAATTGATGCTTGTCTCACAACGAATTTCAATATTGGATACCTTAGTGCCTCAGTTGAGTAGTTTAGTATATTTTTATACTAGTTGATAAAATCTTACTTTTTGTCCCAGGTTGATGGCTCTGATTCTATGGCTAAATGGAGACCCTACTAGTAAAATAGGCTTATTAATCTTAATATGAGTATGTTAAAAGCCACAGGACAAGGATTTTAAAAAGGATCATCTGTTTAACTTGTTTTCTGTGGTAGCCAAGCCTCCAAGATGGTCCCTGCCCCCTGGGATTCATATCTTTGTGTAGTGTGACGAAATCCATACTGGCTCAGGGTTGCTGGTCTGTTTGATCAGTAGAATACAGAGAAGTAATGAGATGTTACTTCCAAGATTAGATTATAAAATATTTTGATTTCATCACACTTGCTCCTTGTCTCATGTAGATATTTGCCCTCAGGGAAGCCATGTTACGATCAGTTTCATTCTGGGGAGAAGCCATGTTGTGTGATCAGTTTCATTCTGGGGGTGGGGGAAGCCATGTTGTAATCAGTTTCACTCTGGAGGAAGCCATGTTGTGACCAGTTTCATGGAGCGTCCCACATAGGAAGGAACAGAAGCCTCCTGCCAGCAGCTACATGACTGAACTTGGAAATGGGGCCTCCAGCCCCAGAAGCTAAGTTTTCAGAGACTACAGCCGCTGATGACAGTTCAGCTGCAACTTAGTGAGACATCCTGAGCCGGAACCATGCAGCCACCCCATTCCTAGATTCTTGAACCTTAGTAACTATGTGAAACAAAGTGTTTGTTATTTCAAGTTCCTAGGTTTGGAGCTTTTTAATGCAGCAATAGAAAAGTGATATGACGTATAAATAGTTGGACTAAAGTTCTTCACATTTGCAAAGTGTTTTGCAAAGTATTGCATTTACTAACATAACTGAGTCCCTCTATATTCTAAAGTCCATTATAAAAATAAAATATAAATTTATTGGACTCATCTTCATTCCTTTCAAAATATTTATTGCAGGATTTCTTTGCAAATATAAGCAGAAAAATTAGGTATATTTTTCTAACTAAATGATTTCGCATTGAAACTGTTCTATTTTTGTCTTGCTTAATTTTTATTATGTTCTTCTGAGAAGAACAACCATTTAGCACCGGAGAACTGAGGCAGAGACTACAAGAGGCTTTCAACAGATGATTGTGCAGCTAACAAGGGAAGGGAGAAAGAGGGTTAACCTGGGTCTTACTGACAGACTGTGCCCCTATGCTGAGTTACGTTTCCAAACACAGGGATGTGAGAGTTTGTTAATGTAACTGATTCTTCATAGTATTAAGCATGTTTCATCTTTTATCATTACTAAAGCATCTGAAAATAAAAGTCCTAAAAACAGTAGTGTGAGGGGGTGGGGGCGAATTCAGAATTTGCTAATACATCAGTAGCAAACTGACAAATTCTATTTGGTGCCATGTGAGAAGCCTAACACGACTCATTAGAGCATAAAACATGTTCCAGAAGCCATTCCTAAGGTAGCCAGGATGAAATACACACAATCTCTCTGTCCGCGTCCTACTCTTTCCCTTGCAGCGGGAATATGAATTCTGAAACTGCATTTGTAATGCGGAAGAGTCACCTTGCTAAAGACTTTGGTATCTTCCTTCCCCTTCCTACCTGATCTTTCCACCTCCTGGGAGGTTTGGGGTTCAAGGCTGCCTCCATCTCTATTACGGGGGTGAGATGCCATTTAGTAAACATTCCTAAGTCTGTGTCATGGTTCTGTTTACATCCGATGCCCATTTCACACTCAGGCCTGAGCAGTTTCTGAAACGGTTCGTTCTGGCACAGTCTAGCCTGCTTCAGACTTCCTTTGCAGCTAATGGAAAGACCAGGGCTGACACTGCTGCCCCTCACAGGTTATGTCTGTTAGCCGCATCTTCATTCTTATCTGGGAGAAAATTTATATGGTCTGTGCAGGAACACAGGTTGACTCAGGTAAACTAAGGTAAACTCAGGTACACCCAGCTACATTCAGGCATTCTCAGCTATACTCAGGTTCAGGAGTTTCTGGTTCAATGATACCTTTCCGTAGTTCTCAAATTGCGATTTTCAATTAAAAAAGATAATTTGAAACTATATCTGAAGTATAGAATGAAAATTTAAAAATGAGATGATCTTTAAGGATAAGCTTGCTGTTAAGTAAATAAGAAAAGAGATTAAAATGAATAATAAAAAATATTAAAAATGAGATGACTAAATGTATTAAGTAGCTATATTAAATATAGATTAACAAGTATATTTTGTAGTCTTTGGTATGAATCGAGTATAAACAAATGGATTTGGATTTCTGAACCCACGGTCCGGTTTTTTCTTTTAAGAAGAAAAGCTGTCATGGCCACGGAGGTGTCCCTTGGTCGGGCTTGCACCTGCACATCTCCCTTCGGTGACAAGTACAAGGCTGTAGCAGGGGAGTCTGATCACGTCTCTACTTCCCGGAGCTCATGGCACCTGTGGGACAGGACATTTACCTTCAAGGCCTGAGTTGCTCCCCATCAAGGCCTTCATAGGGCGGAGATACCTTTGGCGGAAGAAGAGAAAATGTTCCTTATGTGGTATTTTGCCTGTGACAAATAAATACTCACACATCAATTAATTGGTTAAGAAGTGAACTACACTAGATTTGTTAAAGTCTCCTAAAATTGAAATAGAGAAAAGAGCTTATTTCCAGATGTCCGAAGCAGGACTACCTAACCATATAGAAGTAGATACTAAATTACATAAAATAATCCTAATTTTAAATATCCCTCATATCTCACTGTATTAGTCCATTCTTGCATTGCTATAAAGAAATACCTGAGATGGGGTAATTTATAAATAATAGAGGTTTAATTGGTTCACAGTTCTGCAGGCTGTGCAGGAAACATGTTGTTGGCATCTGCTGGGTTTCTGGGGGGGTCTCAGGAAACTTACAATCATGGCAGAAGGTGAAGGAGGAGCAGGCACATCTTACATGGCCAGAGTAGGAGCAAGAGTGATCGAGGGAGGAGGTACTATGCACTTTTAAACAGCCAGATCTCACAAGAGCTCACTCACTATCAGCAGGACAGTATCAAGAAGAATGGTGCTAAACCATTCATGAGCAAGCTGGCTACATGATCCAGTCATCTCTCACCAGGCCCCACCTCCAACACTGGGTATTACAATTTGACGTGAGGTTTGGTAGGGACAGAAAATCCAAGCTATATGAACTGCTCATTCCTATGACACAATTCTACTAGCTATATATCTGCACAGTGGCGTTGAGATAATATGCATTCCTTGAGGCTGAGTGTACTCTTCTTTTCTTTTTTTTTTTTTTTGAACATGGTCAAGCTCTGTTGCCCAGGCTGGAGTGCAGTGGTGCAATCTCGACTCACTGCAACCTGTGCCTCCCGGGTTCAAGTGGTTCTTCTGCCTCACCCTCCTGAGTAGCTGGGAGTACAAACGTGCACCATCACTCCTGGCTAATATTTTTATTTACAGTACAAAAAGGGTTTCACCATATTGACCAGAAGACTGGTCTTGAGCTCCTGACCTCAGTGATCTGCCCACCTCAGCCTCCCAAAGTGTTGGGATTATAGGCATGAGCCATTGTGCCCAGCCCTGGTTGTACTTCTCATGTATACTTAGCATGCCTAGTAATTGTGGAACGCCAGTAAATATTTGTTATACAACTGATCAATGGAATTAATGAACTTTGCATACTTATAAATAAAAATATCTGATTCATCTACATAATTTACCCAAATGAAGGGCTGCAGCTGTCCTTCATGTTTAGCAATGTTATACATTCTCTTTTGTTTTCTCCTAGTCTAGTGATAGATGCAATTTTCTTGCTTTACTTACTTCCCACATAACCTCTGGGTGACCTTAAATGAGGCCTTACCTATCTGGCACTTTATCTTGTCAAAATTCCTTGCATGGTTGTCACTCCTATCTATCTTGATTCACGGTTGGATCAATCGACCGAGTAGGTATTTAATCCCTGAAATCAATCTCTCCGGATTCTCAATCATTTGTCTTTGCTGGGTTTGACTTCCTTCCAGTTCTACGTATGAGCCTTTGTAAGGTTATCTCAATCTCAGCAGCCCAGGGGAGAATTTCCTAGAGGTGGCTGAGAGGCACATGCGTCTTTGGCCCTGATGAGGACCTCTGTGTATTTATGTGTGTGGACACGTAGTCCCTTGGAGCCAAGCAAAGGAGATTTGTAAACGAATGTAGTTTCTGCTGCTGACTGCCTGTCTGCCCACAGTCTTTTCATTTACAAATAGTGCCCACTCTTTCAGTCTTGTTGAGGGCTAGCTATGGGAAGACATGCCAAGCTCATGAATTCCCATTTAGCTGCCACACATGTAACATGAAACCAGGTGCAGCCTATCAGTAAGAGGAAAGTACCTAAATGGCAGAAATGTCAAAGGGAAAGCAGGTCGGTAATGGCATCCTATCCCCAGTGTGATATGTAGACCATCAGCTCCAAAGTCCTGCAGGCTGCCTGAGTGCACAGTAAATGGGGTCAGGCTCTCCTTTGTGTTGAAATTTCTACCCAGCCAAAAGTTAGATCTTCTTGGAAGCAAATTTACTCTTTCAGCCGTTTAATGGAATCTACCTGCCCCTGCAACTGTCAGTGGTATCATCATCACTTCCAGAGGTAACAAAAGTGGGGATTGCTGCCGGCAGCCACTCGTGAGCAATTCTGCTCAGTTGTCTGTGTAATGTTTAAATTGAGGACTACTACCTTGGTGCCCGGCTGTATGCTTTCTATGCAATTTCTTGAAATTCCTCTCCCGATGCTCTGACATATACCATTAGAATTTTTCAGATGAAGAAATTGAGGCCATAAGAAGATACTCTCAAGATTATACAGCTATGAAGGAGGAGAAGGATTTCAAGCCTGTCCTGCCCAACAGCAGGGCCTGAGAATTAGGAAGGTGGCTGCAGAAGATGGGTTTACCCCAGTGCCAATCTGTGTGGCCTCACTGACAGTGATTGATCTGACCTCATCTCCCTAACTTCAGAAAAAGTTCTTCCATCTTACTTCAATCTATTTCAATGGGAAAATATTGGTATCCTCATGTCATTTTGTTTTTGCCTCCTTGTAAATACTTATTGAACATGTGAAAGTGTATATCCAAAGAGTTAGAAACGTGACTGTCATCTAAATATAGAATGAACAGGCATCAAAAATGTATTCAACTCATTGAGGGAACCAGTATGTTGGTAATGCTGGTTCCAAAAGCATTTTGAGGAACTGAATATTCAGAGGCATTTTAGGGGGAAAAATGCCAGAATAAGATTCCTGGATTAGACGCAAAACTGTTAACATCCTACAGGCAATACAATCTGAAATTGAGGTTATCATCTCTACCAAATAGAAATCTACAAACTAACATGTAACCTCACAGTAGTGTCTAGCTCTGAACCAAGTTAATGACAGAGTCAAACACAAGTACCTTTCCTTAGATTGATGGGTTCTCAAACTTTTCTGCATGTTAAAATCACTTGGAGAAATTTTTTTTTGATCGTGACACCCGAGATCCCACATGTATTAGTTTTTTATTGCTGCTGTTACAAACTACCACAAACATCGTGGCTTAATGCAATCCAGCTTTATTCTCTTACAGTTCTGGAGGTCAGAGTTGAAAATTGGTCCAAAGAGCTGCTTCCTTCTAGAGGCTCTAGAGGAGAATCCATTCCTTGCCTTTTTTACCTTCTAAAGGCTGCATGCATTTCTTGGCTTGTGGCCCCTTCCTCACCGTGTGAGGCAACAGCACAGGGTCTTCTCTGACCTCTGCCTCCATCTTTAAGCCTTATCTCTCTGACTCTGACCCTCCAGCCTTCTTTTGGTAATCACCATTGTGATGACCTTGGGCGTATTCAGATAATCCAGGATATTTTCCCCATCTACAGAGCCTTAACTTAATCATATCTGCAAAGTCTCTTACATGTAAGGGAACATATTCATAGGGTCTAAGGATTAGGTGGTGGGCATCTTTGGGAGGTTATTGTTTAGCCTATCACATCACCCCCCACCATTAAATCAGGATGTCTAGGGGTGGGAGCCAGGCAGCCATAGTTTTCGAACATCCCAGGTGTTTCCAATTATGAAGCAAAGTTTGAAAACTGCTTTCCTAAATAATGAAATAACCTTTAAATGATGCCTTAATATACCATTGAGAGGACAACTCTACGTTTTCAGGGGTTACACACCACCCCAAAATAGGCCGCTCTGACATATTGACTATTTTGAGTTTAGGGCACCTGAAAAACAACAGGTGTGAGAGGGTCACTCTGACTTTCTGTTTCTTACAAGTAGGAGATGAAATTCGCTTGTGAAAGATCCCTTCCCTATAGCAGAAGGAAAGCATCACTCTTATCATCAAGGATAGGAAGTTGAGGCCAAGGGAAATTTGTACAAACAAACCTTGTTAGACTAAACTTACCTTCCGAGCCACTTTTTCACTCAATTAACCACTCAGCCCAAGCTTCTTGGCCTTGTGACATTTTCACAATTCATGACTCTTTAATTCTGTATGTAAGTGTTCAATCTAACTGTGCCTTTGGGTCTGCATTTCCTTATGTAGTCTCTCCTGCCATGTAAAACTTGTATTAAGTAAATTTGTTCTTCTGCTGTTGATCTGTCTTATGTCTGTCTTAAGTCAATTTAATTCTTAGCCCCAGAAAAAAAAAAATAGGGTACAGGTAAAATTTTGCTTCCTCTGTAATTGTAAATTTTGGATAATTTTTCTTAACAAACTGAAGAAATTACTGAATATTTATCAAACGACCAGAGCTATGTTCCATTTAACATCTGCAATCACTTCTTTGTTGTATCTGATCCTGACCTGGTTGCTCTTTTCCCTAACTGTGTAAACTTGGTGAGTCAATGCTGCCTTTTGCCCTTATGTAAAATGGAGCAAATGGAACTCATTTCTGTCAGAATGGTGGTGACAGTGGAGGAAGGTGTAAACCAAGTGGTTGAAATGCCATCTGTCACTGTGATGCTGCACATGTCCGTGGTCAGCTGCTGGAGGATGCATCAGCCTCAGGTTTGCATAGCCAAGAATCATGATCTGCGGACCGCAAAAGACTGAGGCTTGTCAATGCTGCTCAAGTAACGAAAATGAAAATAACATGCACATGCACATACCCACCCATCTATCCTTCAGTGATGCCTGACGGCTGAAAGCAAGCAGAGGAGAGCTGTGAAAACAGTTAGTGGCGCCATACCTGGGAATCTTGGTGAATCTCCAAAAAACATAAAATCTCTTGCAGTAAACCTATCATCAGTCTGAGTTTACTGCATTTCACCCAGCGCTGATCCTACAGCCTCAGGGTAAACTTTTCAGAAGAGACTGGTACTGATTTTCAACCCGAACACCTGAATTTATTAGAGTCATTCTTGTCTTTTAATTGAAACAACAGGACATTCCCCAGGTTTGCAGTGATCTGCAGGATATTCTTGAAAACTCTGAAAGGCCTGAAGAATGTGTCTCAGGCTGAAGGGAGGGAAAAGTTTCACTCTTAAGGTCCCATTTAGAGACCACATTCCCATCTCTGGACTCCTCTGTTCTGTTCATGTGGACAAATATTGCTCTTTTTTAGATATAAGATTCAACTTAGTTGACAAGCTTCATCAGTTCCTTGTTACAAGACTAATAACCACAACTTTAATGAGCTATGAATCAGGTTTTCTAAAGCCATTATTTTCAAATCTCCTTCAACCAGCAGAGCCAATTTTTCAAATAAAATCATACAAAAGCCAATATATACATGACAAAGGAAAAACTGTGACCTTCGCAGTTGGCACTATTATGCTTCTTAAAATAGGACATACAGTTGATCCTAATTATTTACTAATTTCAGATTTCTGACTTCACTTACCTGCTAAAATTAATTTGTAACCTCCAAATCAGTACTTGTGGTGCTTTTGTAACCACTAGCATACATCCACAGAGCAGTGAAAAAATTGTCACCTGAGGCTCCTGTTCCCAGCTGAGGCTGAACAAGGTGGCTCTCTGCCTTCTTGTTTTAGCTCTTATACAGTAAACAAGAGTCCTTTTGGAAATCTATTTAGTGGCACTTGTTTTACATTTTTATGGTTTTTGTTAGTGATTTTGCGTTTAAAATGGCCTCAAATAGTGCTGAAGAGCGGTCTAGTGGTCCTAAGTACAAGAAGGCTGTGATGTGCCTTACGGAGAAGTACGTGTGTTCAAGAAGCTTCATTAGGGCATGAGTTATAGCACTAGTGGTCGGGAGTTCAATGTTAATGAGTAAACAGTATATATTAAATATGGTGTCTTGGCTGGGCGTGGTGGCTCACCCCTGTAATCTTAGCACTTTGGGAGGCTGAGGCAGGTGGGTCACGAGGTCAGGAGTTCAAAACCAGCCTGGCCAACATGGTGAAACCCCGTCTCTACTAAAAATACAAAAAAATTAGTCAGGCGTGGTGGTGGGCACCTGTAATCCCACCTACTTGGGAGGCTGAGGCAGGAGAATCACTTGAACCCAGGAGGTGAAGGTTGCAGTGAGTTGAGATTGTGCTACTGCACTCCACTCTGGGTGACAGAGTGAGACTCCATCTCAAAATAAATACGTAAAAAACACACTGTCTTTAAAAAGAAAAACACATAAAACAAGGTTATCCATTAATCAGTTAATAAAAATGTCATGACCAGAGATTTGCAGGAACCTAATCCTCTGTTTCCCCGAGACGCAATGGTTCAGCACTCTCTGATTCAGTGTTTGCTATGATTTTATAAAATAGAACTACTATGAATAATAAGAATCGACTGTGTCTTTGTTTGGAAAAATATCTGGATGGCAGCTTAAGTTAGATGGTGAAACTCCAGGGGCGTAGGCAGAAATGTTTGTTCCTACAGGGATGAAGTAGAGAAAGAAAAGAAGAAAAGACAGGAAGAGAAAGGGAGGAGAGAGGAGCTACAGGTAGGAAGGGACATATTAGGTTGGTGTGAAAGTAAGTGCGGTTTTTACCATCACTTTTAATATTTGCCCCCATCTCACTGAAGGACCAAAAGAGCAGCCCCCAGCAACAGACACTGAAAAGGTGCTGGGGAACAGGAATGTCTAATCCAGACTTTTAGGATTTCTTGCCATGTTGGGTGTACTATGAAACCGTGATTTCCAGCTTTCTTAAAGTTTACTATACTTACATGTGCGTCTCATGCTAGCTGTTTAGTTTCTTTTTTTCTCACGGAAATCAGGAAAGTTTCCCATCTTCAGCAAAGCTATGTGCACTTTTAAGGAGGCAGCATCTCAGCAGAGAGAACCATGACAATGTAAGCCCTCCAGGGATCTGAAAGCATCTTGGAGAAGACTTTGCTTTGCTGAAGGCCTGGGCTTGAAAACCCCTTATCCTAGCAATTTTACCTGGCTTTCAAAGGGCTGGGTGGGCCCAGGAATCTGTTCTGTTTGCAGCAGGGCAAAACAGATAGAGAGCCTTGTGAAATGCCCTTGCCATGGTTCCCACCTTGACTTTGCAGAACAGAGTGCCAACCATGGACCGGGCATATAACAGCTGTGTCCCATAACAGAGTAGCAAGCACAGTTCCTCCTTGGATCTGTGCATAGCACATTCCCTGACAACACCCCTGAGAAAGAGTCACCAGGATTCAGCTTCTCCAGTCTCTTCTCACTTGGCCTTTCAGGAGGGTTGCAGGGTTGTGCCCAGAGCACAGTCGCAGAACCCACGACTGGACTGGGGCCTGAAAAACGCAATGTTCCCTGTAGCCAATTGCAGCGCTGCTTAGTAAGAAACCCTTTGCTTGTCTTTCTCCTTCCCTGTGGGATTCTGCTAGGAATCAGGCTTCCCCGACCTGACTTCTTTCTTGGAGGATGGAGTTTTAAATTTTATTTATTTATTTATTTATTTGAGGTAAGGTCTCACTTTGTTGCCGGGGATGCAGTGCAGTGGTGCAATCATAGCTCACTGCAGCCTCAGACTCCTGGGCTCAAGAGATCCTTCCACCTCAGCGTCCAGGCAGGTGCCACCATGCACGGTTAATTTTTTAAAAGTTTTTTTGTAGAGATGAGGTCTTGCTATGTTGCCCAGGCTAGTCTTGAACTCCCGATCTCAAGTGATCCTCCCACCTTGGCCTTCCAAAGCACTGGGATTACAGGCATGAGTCACCGGGCCCAACCACGATGGAGTTTTTCATGAAATGAAACCGTCCTCTGAACGTTCCAGCAAAGCTCCAGCAGATCGTGATTTCCCCTGACTACACACATGTGCCAGAAATGCTTTCATATCTAAGCCATTGAGCCAAGTTCATCAACTCGCCCCAGTGAACAGAGGATTCCTTGGGACCCTCCATAGCAGGAACTGGAGGAGACAAGCAAAAGAGGCTGCCACTACTGCTCCTGCCGCACTTGTACATTTAAGGGCCAAGGAATTCCAGAGCGCAACTTCATCTTCCTGGCTTGCCTGGTCTCTGCTTCTGCTCTGGGCTCCGGGATCCAAGAACCCAGGACTTCCTCATTCTGTGTCCTGACCCCAGCACGTGCACCAGCCATAATTATATCCCCACATCACAGACATGTTTACATCCCCTTTATCTCATTTTTTTCTTTACCAATTGTGTCAGGCTGACCCCTGTTTTCTCCTTTTGGGCTTATGGAGCAACAAATCAGCAGTTGTAAATATCTGTGACAAGGATAATTTATTTGCTACACATAAATGTGTTGGATGTAGGTGGTAACAGGAAAGAAACAAAAAAATTATTACTCAAAATGTAGTGATAAGATGCCAGGGTCTGAGTAAGTCTTCTGATGCACTTTTAGGATGGTAGAATATTTGTACCTTTTGAGAATATGAACTGAACAGCCGGTATAGTCACACATTTGGTCAGTTCTGTAAAATAGATATTAGACGACTTCTTTGACTGGGTAGGCTGTTTAATTCAGGCAGAATATTCTGACCAGTAGCCCTGGATAAACACAGACTGGCAATGGCCCAGGTTGTTTTCTTTTTCTTTTTTTCTTTTTTTTTTTTTTTGAGACGGAGTCTCACTCTGTCACCCAGGCTGCAGTGCAGTGGTGTGATCTCGGCTCACTGCAATCTCTGCCTCCTGTGTTCAAGCGATTCTAGTGCCTCAGCCTCCCAAGTGGCTGGGACTACAGGCATGTGCCACTACGTCTGGCTATTTTGTTGTTGTCGTTGTTAGTAGAGATGGGGTTTCACCATGTTGATCAGGCTGTTCTTGAACCCTTGACCTCAAATGATCTGCCTGCCTCCGCCTCCCGAAGTGCTGGGATTACAGGCATGAGCCTTCACACCCAGCCCCAGGTTTTTAATACCTATATGTAGTCTAGTTAAAAGGTTTTACAACAAAATGTGAATATCTCTCCTGTCTTTTTCTTCCTTTCCCAGGTGTGTGAGTGTGTGAGATGGGGCTGAGGGCTTGGAAGGTGAGCTCTAGGACAGGACCCACAGGCCTGGCGGCCTGGAGACAGGTGCACTCAGCTTCTCATCAGTAGGGAAATAGAGTTGGTTGAAGTCAGGCTTTGGGGAGCCAGGGCCAGGGACTCTCAGCTCACCTTCTGCTGCGAAGGTGAGTCAGCTTTCATGGCCCTCAGTTCGTATCTGGTTGGGCAGGTACCAAACAAAGCAGATGACATCACCCATGCATGGAATTCCACACTGTTCTCTGCTAAACACACTGTTTTCGATAGAACCTCTCATCTACAGAGACTCCTTATGCACGTACAGTTGCCAAGTGCTGTGTGGCCCAGAGTTACCTGTCGGCTCCTGGATCAGGCTCCTGGGTTGCCTGTCTGTGTAGACAGGGCCAGGCTCGTGGAACGAAGGGCAGTGGTCTTTGGTAGCTTGGTCTGAGCAAAGTCACATCTTCTGGCATTTGGTCAGGACAGCAGAGCTCCTTCTTAACAGAGAAGAGTAAATCCTCCTCCCTGGCTCCGTGGCCCTTCAGAGGTGGAAACATTGGTTCACTAACCCACCTTTCCACTTCTGATCATTTCTTTTTTATCACTTTTACCGGAACAAATGCAATTTCTAGCCTTCTCACTGCCCAGTTCCAGCAAAGCCCACGCAGCACTGTCAGATTCTTCTTCCTTAAATACAGCTTTGATCGTCATTCCTCCCCTGCTCAAAAAGCTGCAAATAGTTCCCACTACCTACAGAGGAAGGAAGACCGCACTTACTCAACCTGTCCCCGAGTCCACACAATAGGGCCTCAAGCTGCTTTTTCACCCTCTTCCCCTCCGTCCCTCCTAAATAAACCTTCCTCTTCCCTCAATTCTCTTTCCAGGTTGCTCAGAGTGTGTCTAGAACACCTTTTCCCCGGTGTCTCTGTTTAGGAATGATTCCTCCAATACCCCCACACCCCTCTCCCCGTGAAATCCTCCCCATTCTTCAAGTGTCAGCTCTTTCTCCAACTAATTCTTAATTCATTCAGCCCACAGGGATGTCTTTCACTGCTCTGAATTTACTGTCTGTTTCAGGCATTCATTTAGTGCTCCTGGTTCTCTCCAAACTTTTTTAAAAAAATACTTTCCTTTTAAGTTCAGGGGTACATGTGCAGGTTTGTTACAGAGGTAAACTCATGTCATGAGGGTTTGTTATACAGATTATTTTATCACCCAGGTACTAAGCCTAGTACCCAATAGTTATTTGTCCTGATCCTCTCCCTCCTCCCACCCTCCACTCTCCAATAGGCCCCAGTGTGTGTTGTTCCCCTCCCTGTGTCCATGTGTTCTCATTATTTAGCTCCCACTTATAAGTGAGAACATGTGATATTTGTTTTTCTGTTCCTGCATTAGTTTGCTAAAGATAATGGCCTCCAGCTCCATCCATGTCCCTGCAAAGGACATGAGCTTATTCTTTTTTATGGCTGCAGTTTCTCTCTAAATTTATTACAACAATAAGAAATTGGTGAGTGAGCATTGGCAACTGGTGGCCCATGGCAAGGAATATTCATGGGCTGGCCCCCTTCTCCCTTTCATAGGTCAGGCCTGGTCAGGAGTGAAGAGCAGAGGGGGAATAGGAAAGTTCTTACGTGAAGAAGCATCTGGCATTTACCCTAAGAGAAAGGATGTTTCCTAAACGGCAAGGCTGTTTTGTTTAGCAAAATAGAATTCTTCACTGTTTGGGGCCAAATACACTTTGTTTTCTAAAGCAGAGTCTAAATTACAGCTGTTCTACATAAAGCTGACGCCATTGCCTTCATCTCAGCCCCGCTGGGAGCGTGCTTCTGCCCTGTGTTCTGAGCAGCAGTAATGGATTTACGGAGATATTCACATACTCCTCCCCAGCCCCTCCCAACCCCTGGCAGGGTCCCATTTTTACAGCATGGCTGGACAACATCTCCACACTCTACCATGCATCCTGAGCCAAATGGACAGCTCTTTCCTGACTCAAGTGTATGACCTTGGCTTCATCAATACATTAGTCTCAATAAATGAGCCAGACAGCCTCAGACCACTGTGGCATTGATACAGGATAAAACTTTTATACCTTGTGAAGGGAGAGTCTGGTCTTCCTACAACCAAGGCATGAGAAAGCCTCTTGAACTGAATTCCAAGAAGCTGCCAGCTATGATAAAAGGGTCCCTCGACTGCAAGTTTAAATGCCTGCTTTCTGATCCTTTATTACTCCTGATATGATCGGGAAAAGAACTTTGTTCTCGGCAGAGGTTTTCTTATCAGCAAATGAAGGTTTTTTGTTTATTTGTTTCCTGACGATTTCTTGTTTCTTTTCACACTCTAAAATGCTAGGTGTCTGAAGAATCTTTGCACCGAAGACTGAAGTACATGACCAATTTTTTTTTTTTTTTTTTTTTTTGAGACAGAGTCTGGCTCTGTCACCTAGGCTGGAGTGCAGTGGCAGGATCTCATCTCGCTGCAACCTCCGCCTCCCGGGTTCAGGCGATTCTTGTGCCTCAGCCTCCTGAGTAGCTGGGATTACAGGGCACCTGCCACCATGCCTGGCTAATTTTTGTATATTTTGTAGAGATGGGGTTTTGCCGTGTTGGCCAGGCTGGTCTTGAACACCTGGACTCAAATGATCAGCCCACCTCGGCCTCCAAAAGTGCTGGGATTATAGGCATGAGCCGTCACGCCGGGCCTAAAGTACATGACCTCTTAAGAGCTCTCCCAACATTGTGACCTCTGAGATTTGCTGTAGTCCTCACTGCAGAAAGAATACGCATTTGTGAAAATCTGTCTCATTGCTTTGGAACTGTGCTCACAGTTCTTCTGTGCTTGTTTGCATGTCTGTTTGTTTAATCTGAAATGGCATGTCAGTGTTTTTCAAAATTCCTCACTCTTTTGGCATCAGTTAAGATTCTTGATTGCAAGCTACAGAAATCAAGTCTGGTTAACTTAATATGAAAAGGACTCTCATGGCAGTTTCTTTGAGATCTCACACTATCAGCTCTGTGAAGTGAGAACCTGGAATAACACACAAGGCATGTTATAAAGGAGCTCACTCCATTTGCGACATTTGTCCATCGCCAGCTGGTAGGTTTCCACTCCCCTTCCCTGCTTGCCCCACACCTGGGCAACCAAGTTAAGAAGACCGTGGATGTTCTGTGCCCCTGTCAATGTCCAGGAACCTCAGATAGTACCCCGTCTAGCCCATGTGCCAGCCCCAGCCCAACTTCATCCCCTAGCCATAATAAAAGCCCAAAGCCGCCCCTAAACCACCTTAGTTGCCTTCCAACATAAGCTGTTCCCTCCTAGAACTCACCAGCTTGTGAGTCCTAAATATAATTTATTCAACTTCGTTGGTGAGAGTGTTGTGTTATCTCTCATGACACATAGAAAACCCCTGGGTTAAGCCACAGAATTCCAGCTGAACGTGGGCTGCTGCCCCTGCCTGACTCTTGATGCTGCCACAACTTCTGGGAATAATTTGCAAACTGACCCTGGGTCTTTGTGACATACCCCGAAGATTCCAAGTTCTGGATGGGAGAATTGCCATGCTTGAGCCTAGGCACGTGCCATCATCCCTGGTTGCCAGGGCAGGAGGACGATCTCCTCTTCTGCTTCCCTAGTTATGAGCACAGCAGCTTTAGAAGTATCTGGGGGAAAAACAGTGAGACAAAATAACCTTCAAACACAATACTCAAAGATGGAAATTCTGTCATTGAAAGACTTACTAATTCTTTGTGAATAAAAAATATGCACCTCTTGTAGTCTTCAGATACTTAGAAAGCTTTTTAAAAAATTGAGATAAAATTCACATAACATAAAATCTACCATTTTAACCATTTTAAAGTGTACAAATCAGTTATCTTTATTCACAATGGGGTGCAGCCACTACTAATATCCAATTCCAGGACATTTTCATCACTTCAAAAAGGTATATTTTACCCCTAAGCAGTCAGTCCCCATTCCTCCTCCTCCCTTCCCCTGGCAATCACTAATCTGCTTTCTCTCATTGTGGATTTTCCTGTTCTGGACATTTCATATACATGGACTCAGATACTTTGAGGTCTTTTCTGACTGGTTTCTTTCACTTAGCACAATATATTCAAGGTTCATTCATATTGTAGTGTGTATATCAGCACTTCATTTTTATTGCTAAAAATATTCCATTTTACGTTTACACCACATTTTGTTTATCTTTTCTGATTTTATTTTTATTTTCTTTTTTATTTTTTGAGACAGGGTCTCACTCTGTCATCCAGGCTGGAGTGCAGTGGCACAATCTTGGTTCATTGCAACTTCTGCCTCCTGGGTTCAAGTCATTCTCCTGCCTCAGCCTCCCGAGTAGCTGGGACTACAGGCACACACTACCATGCCTGGCCAATTTTTGTACAGAAGGCTAATTTAATACAGAAGGAGTTTCGCAATGTTGGCCTGGCTGGTCTCAAACTCGTGATCTCAAGTAATCTGCCTGCCTTGGCCTCCCAAAGTGCTGGGATTACAGGCGTGAGCCACTGCGCCCAGGGCCTTATTTATCTTTTGAACATTTGGGTTGTGTCAAATTTTTTTTTTTTTTTTTGAAACAGAGTCTCGCTCTGTCCCCCAGGTTGGAGTGCAGTGGCATGAACTCGGCTCACTGCAAGCTCTACCTCCCAGGTTCACGCCATTCTCCTGCCTCAGCCTCCCGAGTAGCTGGGACTACAGGCACCCGCCACCACGCCCAGCTAATTTTTTTGTATTTTTAGTAGAGACAGGGTTTCACCGTGTTAGCCAGGATGGTTTCAATCTCCTGACCTCATGATGCGCCCACCTCGGCTTCCCAAAGTGCTGGGATTACAGGTGTGAGCCACCTCGCCCGGCTGGTTGTTTCAACTTTTTGGCTGTTTTGCATAATGCTCTTATAAACATTTATGTACAAGTTTCTGTGTGAATATCTGTTATCAATTCTCTTGTGTATATTCCTAGGTGGAGTGGAATTGCTTGGTCTTAACTGTAACTTCATGTTTAACTTTTTGAGGAACTACCGGAACTACTGTTTGACATTTCTGCCAACAATGTATGAGGGAGTCACTTTCTCCACATCCTCACTAACACTTGTTATTCTCATTATTATTATTTTTATAGCTCTCTTAGTGGATATGAAGTGGTATCTCATTATGGTTTTGATGTGTACTTCCCTAATGACTAGTGGTGCTGAGCATTTATTTCATGTATTTATTGACCATTTGTGTATCTTCCTTGGAGAAATTACTATTCAAATTCTTTGCCCATTTTAAAATTTTATTATCTGTCTTTTTGTTGTTGAGTTGTAATAGTTCTTTATGCAGTCTGAGTATCCCTTATCTGAAATGCTTGGCACCAGGAGTGTTTCAGATTTCAAATTTTTATCAGATTTTTGGAATAATTGCATATACATAATGAGATGTCTTGGGGATGGGACACAAGTCTAAACACAAAATTTATTTATGTTTCATATACACCTTATATACATAGCCTGAAGGTAATTTATACAATATTTTAAAATAATTTTGTGCATGAAACAAAGTTTGTCTACACTGACCCATTCGAATGCAAAGGTGTCACTATCTCATATCAGTACTCAAAGCTTTGAATTTTGGAGAATTTCGGATTTTGAAATTTTAGATTAGTAATGTTCCAAATGAATCTTCTGGATACAAGTGTCTTAGCAGATATATGCTTTGCAAGTATTTTCTTCCATTTTCTGGGTTATCTTTTTATATTCTTTTTTTTTTTTTTTTTTTTGAGACAAAGTCTCACTCTGTCACCCAGGCTGGAGTGCAGTGATGCAATCTTGGCTCACTGCAACCTCTGCCTCCTGGGTTCAAGCAATTCTCCTGCCTCAGCCTCCTGAGTAGCTGGGACTACAGGCACGTGCCACCACGCCCAGCTAATTTTTATATTTTTAGTAGAGACAGGGTTTCACCATGTTGGCCAGGCTGGTTTCAAACTCCTGACCTCAGGTGATCTGCCCACCTCAGGTGTCCTTTGAAGCAGAGTTTTTAATTGTGATAAAAGGTCTCATTTATCTATTGTTTCTTTTGCATTTGTGGTTTTTGGTGTCACATCTAAGAAATCATTGCCTAATCCAAGGCCATGAAGACTTACCCCTATGTTTTCTTCTAGGAGAGTTATAGTCTTTGCTCCTCCATTTATGTGTTTGATTCATTTTGAGTTCATTTTTGTAGATGGTGTGAGTTAGGGATCCAACTTGATTCTATTGCTTGTGGTTATCTAATTGTCTCAGCACCATTTGTTGAAATGACTATCCTTTCCCCATTGAATGGTCTTGGTGGCACTCTTGTCAAAAATCAATTGAACACAGATGTATGATTTTATTTCTGGGCTCTCAGTTCCATTCCATTGATCTGTATGTCTATCCTTATGTCAATACCACACTGTTTTGATTATTATAGCTTCTTGATTGTTTTCATATTTGGGGGAGAAACTAAAAAAGGAACTTTTTACACTAGGGAGATTGAACTGCAAGAATTGTAAGAATACAGATGCTAAGAATACACACACAATGCTACCTATCTGATTGAGGGTAAAAATAAGGAGGTGAAAACCCTGTTTGCGTCTGAAGAAACACATAATCTGCTCTATTTAGAATAATTTTATGTTGCTGAAGAGAATACTTTGTGTTAAAATACTTTATTACAAAGAAATTTCCATTAAAAATAAAATCTTGTACTTTTTTTGAAAATTTCGTTCAAAATCTCATGACTCAAGCACAATTATTCTAATTTCTCCATGGCTTCCTTCTAGTCTTTAGTTACATTTTACATATTTTTATGCATTTTAATCATATTATATGTAGACTTTTCCTTCTTTTTAAACTTAGCATTGCTATAAACAATTTTATGCTCATATGGTTTTCATATATTAATAGGTACTTAAAATCATATTAATTTACATATCACAAGTTACTTAGCCAATTTATTATTTTATATTGTTTTTCTCACAAACTTTTTTTGCTTTTAAAAATAATAAAAGCCTTGTGCTTATGGTTTGTTTTTCTATTTTTGAAGTACTTCCTTAGGATAAATTACTATCATTATAATTAGTCAAATGGGAAGAATATTTTCACTTATTGTAGATTCTTCTCTAAAACTATGCTATCAATTTAAACTGTTGACAGCAATGTCTGATGGGTCAGTTCCTGGGTAGTCTTGCTGATATTTGGATTTAGTAGGTTTTCTTTCTGTTAACCCATCTGATAATATAAAGTGATTATTTTAATTTTTATCTTATAATTTCTAGCCAGCTTAAATACTTTTTATGCTTATCATCTTTATTTTCTTTTACATGCTTTATTGAGAATAGAGTATTTTAAAATGTTTTCTAACTATTAAAGTAATATTTGTTGAATATAGAAAAGCATGAAAAAAAAAGCCATCTATAATCCCACCATTGAGAAAGAACTAAGCTGAGTATCTTCAGAAATTGGAAGAATGTTGTATTCATAATTTGATTTTTTTTCCAATAACATCATTTGCCCATAGCTGACATATGGTATATAAATTTTACAGTATATTTTATTTACTTCTAAAATGAGTATGACAAAGTGAAAGTAGAGTGCTCACATCTGAGTTTCCAGAAAGTTCTGTGCTGGAGTTCCTGGTATGACCGACAGTGTCTGGGTCGAATTGTAAAGATCTCTGCCTTGGGACAGCTGACTCTCAAGGAAGTGGCAAAGCACAGCCTGCTAAGAACCTTGCTAATAACACACTGACGTGCTTCTCATATCTGTATTCCAAGGCCCTTCAGGAAAGGCTAGAGAGCACTACCTGTAGTTTGGCAGAGGGTCCAGTTTTTCTGCTGATCTTTTACATTTCTTAACATCAGTTTATCCTCTTTGATCTGCCCCAATTGATTCAGACTTTTAAAAGTAGATTAATCAGTGACTAGGCAGGGTGCAGTGGCTCACACCTGCAATCCCAGCACTTTGAGAGGCTGAGGCGGGCAGATTTCTTGAGCCCCGGAGTTCGAGACCAGCCTGGGCAACATAGTGAAACTCCATCTCTACAAAAAGTACAAAAAATTAGCTGGGCATAATGGGGCACACCTGTACTCCCAGCTACTTGGGAAGCTGAGGTGGGAGGATTCATCTGTGCCCAGAAGGTAGAGGCTGCAGTAAGCAATGATCGCACCACTTCACTCCAGCCTGGGCAACAAAAGAGACCCTATCTCTAAATAAGTAAATAAATAAATAAATAAATAAATAAATAAATACTTAATATTTGGAGTTTGCCATAAAGCATTTTTGGTTTGATGACTAAATATTTCCATAACTGTCACAATGAACTCAACAGCTGACTCATACTTTAAAGATTAATAAAAAGAGAAACTTTTGACCTCTATTTGATGCTTGGGGTTTCATTAAACTTATGCATCTATCCCAGCCATCATTTTTCTTTATTTTGTAATTGTTGAATCTAATTATATTCATGCATAGACCATTTTATAATTTACAAGGGTTAGAGTATCCTCGACATTTGAGGAAGCTTTTGCCTTGGGAATGAGTTGTGAGCATCTGCTCTGAGTATTTGGGAAAATGTTCAACTTGCAGTGGCCACAGTATAAATCCAAAGTCTAAGGGCAAATTCTGTGGAAGTAGCCAGTTCTTCGTTCCAAGAAATATTTTCTAGTCTTTTGGGGAGCCCTCACTATTTATAGACACTGTTGTATTTTAGAGTTTTCTTTCACAACAATACTCATGCTTCCCTTCTATTTATCCACAACAGTTTGGCTCCTTTGAAGACTTGGGATTTTCCTGAAGACAGAATTCACTTTGGAGTCAGGTCACCATGATAGCCTTTTACCATCTTAGAGCTAATATTTTGTGGGCAATAACCTTGCGAACTGCACAGAGATTTCAAGTTGATTATTTGACTGCCCAATTGTTTCAAGCTATGAAATTGTCAGATACTTACAAGCACCATGTGCTGAAAACTACCATCTTCTGCAGTGCTCACAAGGGTCTGTTTTAATTGGTGGCTTTACTCAGCCATGTTTCTGTTTTTCAAACCCCGGAGTCAGTTGGACTGCCTCCATATCACCACTTACCACTTCCAAGAGGAGATGAGTTCCCAGCCCATCGCTGCATACCCACCAGCTTGGACGTAGCTCCAGTTGCTGCCAAACAACAGCCTCGATAACTTTTGAGGTTTCTTCTGTTCCTGGGAGGCTATGATTCAGTCTTGTCTTCTAGCAATATTATGGAAACTGCATGCCAGTAACCTTTTAGATATCATCTTGATCTTCATGATACTGACTCATAAACTTAATAACTCTTCTAATTTGCAAAAGCAAAAATGTACACTGGAAAGATCATTATGCCCCCGCTAGGTTTGAAGCCTGGCTTCCAAGGCTTAGCTTCCTCATCAGAAAACAGAGACCTCACCTATCTCTTCCCCTAGCTGTTGGTATTGTTGGTTTCCTCTTTTCCTCCTTTAGCTGCAGGAGGCATTGTTTTAGAAAGAAAATCTGCTCACAGAAAGAACCATTCACTTTCTTTTCACCTGTGTGGGGCTAATCCTGCTGTGCTCCTCTGAGTGGTGGCAACCCTTGGGTTCGTCTCTTACCTGGAGTTGCAAGAGGAGCACAGACACCATTTCACTTAAGGGCACATTTTGGATGTGTGGCAGGGAGCCAGCCCATTTGTCATACAATGAGAGGAATGAGCCAAATTATTCTCAGTTGGGTTCATAACAAATTCAGTTGGGGTGGGAGTCTGGAAATAAAGGAGACAGGAAATGGTAATGAAATGGAAAATATATTTGCATAAATGTGTATAATTTCCCAAATCTTCCTGTAGGTTTAGAAAACCCATGGACTCTGTTGAGACAATCACTGGTGCTTTTTAGGGCCCCTGTCCCTTTCCTCTGCTCCTGAACAAGCCCGTGAAAAGCGGTCTCATCTCCAGAGGCCCTTGGATAGAACTGGAAAGAGATACTGATGCTCACAGGGATGTGCAGGGAGGAGCTGGGCCAAGCTGGGAACCTCTGGTTTGCATATGTTTAGGCAAGGCCTCCGAGGAGCACTGGGCATTCTGTGAGAAGAGATACAACTGCCAATGTCTTTGCTTGGAGTAGGTCTTCCTTCCTAAGTTTTAGCAAGTGACGTGAAGACCATCTGGCCTTTGGCTTTATACGGGCAGCCCAGGCCTTAGCAATCTCTCATGTTTCACAAGCACAAGCTGCTTGGGCTGGCCAAGGAGTCCCAGCGTCACAGGCCCTTGACCTTCCCAGTCACCATGTTGCTTTGCTCTGTGTGCTCTCCTCCAGGGGCCTGCAGGCTATGGTTTACGGGCCAAATATCACCACCTGACTTGTCTAAAATTAAAGTCTTCTTAAAACACTGCAATGCCCAATCATATATGGTGCTTTCATCTTATGGCAGCAGAGTTAAGTATTGGAGGGCCACAAAGCCTGGAATATTTACTATCTGGTCCTTGCAGAAAAAGGCTGCCAAGCTGTGCTTTGCTCACACCACCCTGATTGCCTTTCACTGCAGTTATCAAGCTTTCCCAAGGCTCTACTCTTTTCTTGGTTTCCCTGCTTCTCCACAAGGCTAACTCTTCTCTCTCTGTTAAAGTTCACTGCAGGCATCAGTTGCTCCAGGAAGGTTTCCTTGAACCCCAGATTGAACTCAGTGCTCTTGAGGGATATAAAATGTGTGATTAACTTAGTACCCTCAAGGCCTTCACATTTCCTGATACAAAACAGGTACTCAATTACGTTGGCTGGTTTGGTGCAACGAGATATGCACTGCTACATCGTGCTGCTGTCAAAAACGTAATTGCCAGTGGTGTAGGAATGGTCTGCTGAGAACTTTCATGGCAAATTCACTAGAGCTTCACTGCATGTGACCTCCTGCCAAGCAAAATTAACTTTGCCAGGCCTGACTTAGACCCCATCCAAGGGAGTTTAGTCAGCGGGATTGAGTGGGCCACATTCTGACTCTTGTTTTAATTATCACAGCCTCTCCACAGAAGCCTCTTGGGCTCCATAATAAAAAGGCCCCAGGGCCACTGGCAGAAATGTGCTGTGTTCTCTCTTCTTGAATGCCAAAGGCAAGTTCTCTCTTGGGCTTCCCCTAAACAGTTATGATTTTGAGCTCCTATTAGATACCACCTGCCCTAATCTCTTCCTTCATATCCCGCAAAAGAGCATTCTATTATGGGTTGCATTGCCAGTAATACAGCTAATGTGAAAAATTGATTTCATAGACATTCCCCAAGGAAATGGGTAGGTATGGATTTCTTAGTGTAGAATGACTGAGCATTTATATATAAATATGCATGAGCACAATTTACTGGAGTGCAAAGTGATTAGAAAAAATGCCCTTGGCTAAATTGTTTCTCATATTCCAATGTGCAATTGCAGAAGGTTTGTTCATCTCTGCTTTAAAACCTAGTTAAGTGATGGTCTAAAAGTGAACAATAAGAGAGATAAGAATTCATGGGCAAGTATAGAAAATGATCTTATAAGAAGTCAGATACAGTGATTTACTCTGTAATTGATTTGTGATCCAATCCTGATTATACCTTGGGATTCTTGCATTATGACTAATTCAAATTTGGCTTCTAAAGGAACTGCAACATTTGATATGAAATAAGATCTTGTTCTAGCAAGGAAATGAGTGCTCTCACTACTGTTTTAAATGATTCCAGCAGGCAGGGTTTGAATTCACTGGTGCTGCTGGCTGCTAACTTTGCAGACATTAAGATCGAGAACACGGCCCCTCCCACCCTCTTCTTCCCTTCTCTTGGCCTTCTTTTTACCATTTAAGATACAATGACCCTGAGAACGTGAAGAAACTTTATAGTTTGTCTAATCTAATGCTTTCACTTACAGATGAAGGAATCAAGACTCAGAGATTAAGTGATTTGCCAGAGGTCCCTAGTAAATTTCAGGGTTGAACTCATGCCTTGGCTCTTTAAATAATAACCTCTTTATGCTGTTATGAACCTGACAAAAGGTGTGTAAGGTGGCTTAGGAATATAAAAACTATCATTGGTCAGAACTACTGATTTAAAGCAATGGGAAATATATGATGATCAGAAGATACATTAATTCATTGACAGTACTTCCTGCATACTTCATAAAAGAAAGTTGAAAAAAATGTGAATTTCAGTTATCTGTGAAGAGTAGAGTATGGTGGTTAAACTCAAAATTTGTTCTTTAACATTCATGACACTGAGTAAGCAGAAACTGTATCCAAAATGAAAGACATTCCACAAGACAGCACGGTCACTGATAAAACCAAATTACTGGAACATTTTTCTATGATTTTTAAGTTCAAGGATTTCTGAACCATTTAAAGGGTGAAGGAAGCCCGGTATAATTTTGTCTTACTGTATTTCTTAATACAGCTGTGGTGTCAGAGGAATCCGCTGACTCTCATTGTTGCTCATGCATTTTTAAAAAATTAGTGGACTGTTTTAATTTTAAATATTGTTAGCAATAAAATTCTCATTAGCATTCTAAAGAAATAAGCACCTACCAATAGGTATTTCCTTTATCATCTGGCATTTCTGCAAAATCACATGCAATTTTATGAAAACTGTAAGACAGTCTGACTGATTTTTAACATGCCATATTTGAACTTGACTACTAGTTGTCATTGGTAGATAATCCACTGAATGCAAGAGTAGGCAGAAGGCAATAAGGCACACTAGCAGGGATACATGTGATTTGGGGGAGAATTAATTTTTATCCATTGTTATCTAACCCCCTGGGCCCCAACAAGACTCTGTTCTACTGGCACTGTCTCTTTTTTCTTCTTGTAATGCTGTAGAACATTCTGAGTATAATTTATAACAAAGAGCAATGCAGATAATGGCTCATGCAAGCGCCATAATGTTTAAATCATGGCAGTGACACTTGACAGACGGAAAGGTCAGGAGTTTGTCTTGACAATTACAACAGCTATCTATGTGCTTTTGCCCCAGAATAAAACTCCCTTAATTAATATTCCTTTGGGTTTCAACAGATATAACATTTCAGAGCATACCTGAGCCTCTGGCAACTCTTTTCTTCCTCATCTTAGTCCTCATCCGTCTTAATTATTAGAGAGTTTTAATACCTTATTTCAAAGTCACATCACAGTTATTTATATTGGGCATTGACTGACTGAAAGTGACATGTCCTATGCAGAGTCCTACACAAAGCATTTGTACTGATTTCTAATTTTGGTTCCCTTACTAATTACCTGTCTGATTTGTCAGTGATTTGAACCCTCTGACCTTTCCATTGAAAAGTAAGAGGGTTGGATTAGATGATCTCTAAATTCCCAGCTAGTGTTTACATTCCTAAGGAGTATACACTGATGTGTTGTGCATTTCTGTTATGATTCTAAAATATTGTTAAACTATTTTAGGAGAATGTTTTTGTGCCTGTGTGAGGGATATGTGGAGAAAATAAAGTAATTGCATAAAGATGAAAAAATGAATACAAAAATCCATGGAAGAGATCTGAACTTGGGAGTGAATAAGATGGAATTTTCTGTATCAGTTAGTATTTGGAAGAGGTATTTGGATAGGCCACGAAGGCTTGGACTTGTTGATAGCACACAACAGAGGCAGCTGCCTTCTCAGTCAAAGGGCTGTCCTGTAACTCCTTTCCTCTTTCCGTTTTTAAGTAGGTGAGAGGGTGTGAGAGGAAGTAAAAGGATGGTAATAAATTAGGAGTGGGAGAGGCTGCAGTGAAGCACGATGACAATGAAACTGTTGCCCCAGCCCCTCCACCCCTGCAGTTCTGTGCAACAGAGAAAAGCAAAATACCATAATGGGAGGGCCCTGACCCTCAGAGTTATTTTAGGAGTTTGGCACATGATCCATAGGAAGGGTGGTCTGGTTTCCACAGAACCCACTCAACAGACAGTCTTGTGTAAATAGTTCCTATCATTCCTGCCTTGATGACAGAGTTTGACTGGGTGCATTTTTCAATAAAGGTAGGTAAGGAAGCAAGAGCTTTAAGATTCTTTGTCTGTCACCACATAGAAATCTCAATGAATTCCTCTTACATTCCCACCTCAAACACTTGAGCCAGCTGAACACATCCATCCTATCTCCCACACAACCCACCCAATCAACACAAAACAGAGCACCCAGGACCTTGTACAAAGAAAAGATTGTCCCATAACACCACCCTGTCTCCACTTTGAATTCAAAACACTTTCACAGCAAGACGTCAGCTCTCTCTCCTCTCTAAGCCCTGTAGACTTCAAATGGGATTCCTAGTAATGTATTCATTTTAATAACATTTCATTAAATAAACACTTTTTTACCCATTGAAATAGGTAAAAATGCCTTTTTAAAAAATTGTTTTCAAAAACATTTTTAACTACAACCAGTTACAGAATGCAGGAAGGTGTCTACCTGTGATCCATCTCTGGAAAGAAGAGAACCAGGAAAATTTGGCTTAATTTGTGGCAGAAGGATTTTGAGTGAATATGGAAAAGAATTTTCTGTATAAAGGAAAACTGAAATAGCTCACTGAAGAATGTCAGTCGTTTTCTTCACCCAGAGATGTTTAAGCAAAGAATAACTCATCCACCCCCTTCTCTGCCTGGAAAGAAGAGTCATCCTGTGGGCAACTATGAATCAGCAGCCATGTTGTTGTCCCCACATCCTCCCTGAAGTGGGAGCTGTGTTTGACCCATGCAGGACCACACACCCACACATTCACATACAACTGGAGCCTACTGAGGCCACTGGCAGAGTCTTCACCTCTCTGAAAAAGTAGGAAATAAGAGTGGGTTGAGGCAGATCATTTTTTCTCTGGATAAAAGTCTCATATTATTCCAGAGTCTTGCTTAGTTTAGAGTAGACAGCACTGAACCCACTGAGCAAGACCACACTTATTTGCATTAATTCGTCAGGCCAAGAAAAGCTATGCAACATGCAAGGTATAATAGAGGTGACAAAAAGTGTGATATGCTTCCTCTCTACCTTCAAGGATCACACATATTGTAAAAGCTACGACTAGTAGTGTAAAGCATAATATGAAATGGAGTAAAGGACTAGAACTAAGGAAAGTGTTTTACAGATGAGGGCAGAAGAAAGAGTAAAAAGTATGCCTCCCTAGGGCAGCTTCAGGAGTGGTATGAACAATGCTTCTTCCAAATTTTTTCCCTCTTGCCTTTGGCTCTGGGTTAAAGAAAACACTTAATTTTCCATCCAGAAAAAAAGATGGCTAACTTGTTCGCATGTTTGGATCCCTCCCTGCCCTCCTTCCTCTCTCTGTTGTAATTACAGCTGTTTCTTGTGAACTTCCTGGGCTCCTTAAATGCCGTGGACTGCTGAGAATTTAGACAGAGGCCATCTTCAAAAGAACTATGGTCGCTACAGAACCTGCAACCAATCAGAATGACTTTTCATCTGGATGCAGTCTAACCGGACCGGAAGTCAGCCATGAGCAAACCTGGAAGTGGCTAGACCTAGATGCTGGGTCTTTGTGTTCAGTATCTCTGTGATGAGGATTTGACAAGTCCTGCCTTTCTTTGACACCTAGGTCTGAATTGCATTTGTTATTGAACTGAAAGGTGATTTGCTCCCACACTGAGGAGAGGCACACAAATCAGACAATTGAATGTGAGCTTCCATTATCGGGATCCCCTCCTCCACCCCACTCCCTCACTGTGGGCTTCAGGAAAGTTGACTCAGGGGTCTCTTCAACAAGCTCTTGCGTTTTACTTCCCACAAACAAAAGGAAACTTGACTGCCGCAAAGCTCATCTCAATAAACTCCTCCCAAGAGACCATGTAACCAAAGGACTGCAGGAGGCCTTAGGCAGGCCATTTGGTATATTCAGGTTCCTCCTTGTGAAGAGCGCCCCAGCTCCTTCAAACAACCCCATCTCAGTGCAAGTCCTGTGAATGAACTGCACAGGGGCTCACTCATTCATTTATTCAATGCTGGGTGTTTCAAAGCATTTCCACAGTCCCAGAGAGGCTGCCTGAGCAGGGAGTGCGATCTGGCTGGTCTTGCTCTGCAGTGATTCTCTTTCTGCATGTACTCTGCTGTCTGCTGGAAGTAGAGCCCCAGAAGGTCGTTTGTCTCTTTTGCCACCTGTGGGGAACCTTTGAGGCAGCCCGTGTGATTTGGGTGCCTTGAGTCAATGAACAGCACACTGTTAGTCAGTTGCAATCTCGGTCTCTGTTTCTTTCTCTCTTTCTGTAGAATAATTTTAAAGGGCAGGCTGAGCAGTATCCACTGCACACCCTTTCTCTTTATCAGTCCACTTACAGAAAGAGGAAATGCAGTTTATGCCTTCCACAGCACAGACATGAACAGCCTGCGATTGATTTCATTTATGATCTGGGTTAAGTGGAATGTCTTACTGTATTGTTTATTTAATAACCTTGCTGTACTTTGCAAACTCAGTCAACTACAGCTAATTCCTGCCTAAGAGAACAGCTTCCCTACAGTATCCGTTGATATGAATACACAATATATGTACTTTCACTTTATTCACTTGACTATAATACATGCATACATTCATTTGTGCCAATCTAATCTCCGTGTGGCTTTGAAAATTTGACCTTGATGTTCTCTCTCTCTGTGAAATTATAGTCATATTTATTCTATTTGTGATTGGAGCTAAGGACTGTTACTTTTTTATTATGAGGCTGGAAGAAAGAAATGTTTGATAATAGGTAACAAAATCATACCCTTAAAGTTCACTGTGATAACTAATTTCAATAGAACATTCCAAAATGTTTAAGCAGTTTTTATTTTTAAGGCTTACAATAACATCCAGTTAAACTTCAAAAACATTTAGCTAACATGTAAAGACAGCTTTTTTTTAAAAAAGTACCTACATAAAATTTCCATTACATTATACATGCTGTCTTTACATAAAGATAAAAGGGTACATTTCTTGAATATTACATACCTAGGGACAAAATATCTTTTTGTTATTAAAAAAGCTTATTATAATTTTTGAAATAAACGCATTGATGACTATTTTTAAAGTGTGTCAAATGGTTACTTTTTAAAATAGTCTAGACATTCTGTTTGTATACTCCAGGCTGTTTAATTTCTTGTACTTCACTAGAACTTCCACAGGGGGCCACAAAATTTTGTAAAAATATCTGTGACAAATATGAATATGTTATGTCTAATCTTCAAATGGGAAGGTAAATTAGTCATGTTTCCAAAGATACTTACAGTGGCAGAGCTAGAAAGAATGAGATTTTTTTACTCTATTACACCATTTAATTGCCTGGATGGGTTGATTGATTTCCAGACAAATTTGTTTCTGTTTTTATGATGATTCACTATTGTTTTTTAGGTTAAAATATTTAAAAAAAATAATTTCTGTGTTGTGTTATCCAGTCAATTCCATTTCCACACACTATCATTTTGCCACCTAAATATTTCTTAACAATATTAGATGCTCAGCACTGTGTGAGGAGGAAGCTTGTATTTTTTTCCTTGTGTGTTTAGGGTAGTCTGACTTGCCTTCAAAAATCCATTCTCTCCATATTTTTCTAAATATGCTACTTAGTGAGGCTAAAGCAGAGTATATAGGGAAAGGTAATATTTTACAATCAGATTTTTTTTTTTTTTTTTTGAGACAGAATCTTGCTCTGTCACCCAGGCTTGAGTGCAGTGGCATGATCTCAGCTCACTGCAACCTCTGCCTCCCGGGTTCAAGCAGTTCTCCTGCTTCAGCCTCCCAAGTAGCTGAGACTACAGGTGCACAACACCATGCCCAGCTAATTTTTGTATTTTTAGTAAATACGAAGTTTCACCATGTTGGCCAGATTGATCTTGAACCCCTGTCCCCAGGTGATCCACCCGCGTTGGGTTCCCAAAGTGCTGGGATTACAGGCATGAGCCACTAGGCATGGCCTACAATCAGAACTTTTGATCTTTATGTAGTTTGTGATAAACATTACCAGGCTCCAAGCAAGGCGTGGTCATTGGGCTAAAATGTCCAGCAGCAACCTTTAACTGTGGGCACATATATAAAGATATGGGTCAAGATCATATGAAGAAACAGTGACCATTGGAAATCTCTCTCACCTCCCACCTCCTTTTATGGTTCAGTTCATCCATGCAGACTGCGTGAGATGATGAAGAAAGCCACTGAGTGGGAAAACTTGGCATTCCTATGCATCTTATGATTTTCTTAAAATTTGTATGAATTGTCATTGCAGCAATAGAATATGACTGCACACAACACTTCACAAAATAACAGAGAGAAGAGTTTGATGCTAATTAGTAGTTCTGATTTTTATTTTTCACTTTTATTTATTTTTTTGAGAAAGGGTCTCATTCTGTCACCCAGGCTGGAGTGCAGGGGTGTGGTCTTGGCTTATTGCAACCTCTGCCTTCCGGACTCCAGCAATACTCTCACCTCAGCCTCCTGAGTAGATGGGACCACAGGCACACGCCACCATGCCTCGCTAATTTTTGTATTTTTTGTAGAGACAGGGTTTGCCATGTTGCCCAGGCTAATCTCGAACTACTAGACTCAAGGTTTTCACCCGCCTCAGCCTCCCAAAATGCTGGGATTACAGGTGTGAGCCACTACGCCTGGCCTGGTTCTAATTTTTAAAGAACTAACCCACAGTGACCCATGGCTTATATTACCAATATATAGAATTTCTCTAATAAAGAGACTTGAAGTTGTTCATGCATGAAATAAAAAACATTTCACTAAAAAAAAAAAAAATGAGGCTAAATAGAGCAGACCGGGGTGAGGCAATTAGCACCTGAACTACCAACCAAGCAGTAGAAAATTAAGGGATCGATGGTAGAGATGTTGTAAAAGAATCTTCTGGACTTGGTAACTGAGAGGCCTTGGCAGGGAAGGAGAAGTAAGGGAGAAGGAAGAATAGAACATGAGCCTCAGAGTTTTAAGTGTGCATGACTGTCATTGCCAAAAGAATAACCAAGAATCCATGCAGTTTTTGTAAGGAAAATCTATGAGTGTGGTGTAGACATACTGAATTTAACATAAAGGGATGAAAGGAAAACCCTAATAAGCAGGTGGAATTGCACGCTGCATCGGACATCCTACATTTACCAGATATGAATGGGCATGCCATTTCTTTATAAAAATTGGCCTCTGAAGGATCAGGGCCTGAAATGTGCCTACATCAAGCCCTCAGGGGAAAGCAGACACCACCACGGCAGCCTCCCACCACCCACTTCTGTTCTGAACACTGAAGACCTATTATACTTATTCTGTTCAGTTCTGCCTCCATTTAAGACAGCATGGTGCAGTACTCAATGACATTCCTGGCAATTTGAGAATTCCTAATGGCATCCATGAGGTCATTAGAAGTCATCCCACTGCCCTCTGTAACCTCCAGTTCCTTCTAACTTCCAGGAATTCTTTGAAGCTTCCTGTGCTTGATTTATTTTTAGATTCCCATACTGATATCCATTGATGCTTGAACTTGACCACAGTCAATTTTTAAAAGGCCCTGCATTGTAGACATTGACCTGGTTATAGTGGGGAGCTGTAAGGCTGCCTGCTTCAGGCTACCTCCTCTGAATTCAGCATTGAGAAGGAATGCCTGGGATGGGAACTTGGGGGCAAGAGGCTGTGCTTGCAACCCTTGGTGCGAATGACAAATGGCATTGGTTGTGCTTAGAGTGATCTCCAATTCCTCTGAAATATGCAAGAATGTCTTCCTCTGACCAGCCAGTGCCTGTGAGATAAAAGAGCTATCAACTGTCGTGAAAGAGAGTGAGAAAGCACATTCCAGCTGGCACAGCCACAGCAAAAAAACCAAAGCCAGAAGTCTATGACCTGCAGAATCTGAGGTGGAAAAGGCCTTTTAGAATAGCTCTGGGAACCCTTGAAAGCCTGCAAAGAGGCTTCTTATTTTTCTTTTTATTTTTTTTAAGTCAAATTGCAAAGATTTCAAGCAATGAGTGTTCCTTTGTGATTGCTCAATAATCAATGAAAATATTAGATCTGCTGTCTTCAAGGCTGGAGTGTATTTGCCTCGTTATCCTTTCTTTTGTGTGTTTAGACTGAACATTTTCTCTCCTTTGCTGTCATCAGCACATGGGAATTTAAACCTTCTCCCTGCATTTTATTTAACAAATTTTATTGTATATCATGAGTGACAGAGAAAAGAGGTACAGAGTCTCAAAGGGCAGTTTTAAGGACTATTATTATGCCTGTCAATTGAGAAGGGATTTTTTTTCTCCATATGTTGAGTTGGGTACTAAATTTCCACTGGAATCAGAAGGAACAGGGAATTTTTTTATGTCAGCAATAACTGGAGCTCTTCATCTTCCCCTTCCCTTTTTCTTTGTTCTTGAATGATTCATTCCTAAAGCCATTATGCAGGTGTTTATTTCAGAAGGGGAAAGGGAGCCTCAGCAGCCCAGAGTGGGGAGTCAAAACTTAAATAGAGAGATGGGAAACCTGGTATGGTGGTAGAAACCAAGTGGAATGAAATCAGGTGGGGAGGTAAGTGGCCCAGTATCAGAAGTCAGAGAATAATGAGGGTGAGATGGGTGTCTCCAAAGGCAAAGGGAATTTGGAGTAAGGTTTCCGAACCCAAGCATGGAGAGGAAGCTCTCTGCATGGGATGGGATTGGGCAGCAGTGATGGGAAACTGTGTATATACAGAGAGATTGACCATGCACGCAATATTAAGAATAAGGGGAGCCAGGTTTCTTAAGTGTCAGAAAAGGGAATTACAAATACAGAAAGGAGGAATAAAATGAACCCTGTGTGGTGTTAGATTGGAATTAGATGTATCAGGATAAAGTCATAGTTTTCAGTATATGAAATAACCACAGAGGCAATTGTATGTGTATATGTGTATGCTCTAGCTCTGTCCACCGAAAGGACCTGGGATCACGACACCCCAGAAACAATCAGCACCCCTAGTACCCAGACGCTGGCTACTAGATACCGTGTTCCACTAAAACAAGCTGAATCTAGAGCTAGGGCAGGGAAAGTACAAATTGAGCCTCAAGTAGCTTATTGTGCCTTAAAGCAAGGAAATGCTCAATGATGTGGGCATTAAGAGAACACAGAAGCCAGCTTGAATAGGCTCCCACTGGCCACATACAGACAATTTCAACATCAAAATAAATAATAATGTAAGAGTTTATAACCAAATGAATAAAGGAGGAAACAATGATTTCATGTTGATATAAGTCAATGAATGCTTTGAGAGTTTGAGGAAGAACAGAATATTTACATAGTTTCAAAGTACTTCCTCACAAACGCTTATTAATTACAAAGGGGAAGAGAATAACTGTATCATAGAGAAGACTGGACAGATACGTTCTTAATCAAATGATCAGAGTGAAGATAGTGGGACTAATTGTAATTATGCATCACCCAGTAGGATGAAATGAGGATACTGCATCACTTTGATGATATTCCTGCCAAAGATATGTAACTTGAATGTAATCATGAGGAAAATTAAATCAAAATTGAAGGAGATTCTACAAAGTACCTAGCCTGTAATCTTTAAAATGTTGAGGTCATGAAAATGAAGAAAAGTCAGACTGAGGAATTGTTATGGATCAAACAAAACTAAAGAAACATGACAGCTAAATGCATCGTGTGATTCTGAACTGGATTCTTTTACTATAAAGGCCATTACTGGGACAACTGGAGACACTTGGGTAGAGTCAGAAGATTAGATGGTAGTTGTGTATCAAGGTTAACTTCCTGAATTTGATGATTGGATTTTATTTACATAGAAGAATGTCTTTGCAGAAATAGACACTAAACCATTTGGTGATGACTTAGCACTAAGCAGCAATTTTTTCGCAATGGTTCAGGAAAAAAGTTCTTTGTACTGTACTTCTAACTTCTATAAAGGTGTATGAGTCTTTCAAACAAGAAGAAGAAGAGAGTGGAGAGGTCACTCAGCCAAGGAAAGTTGTCTTATGTTTATTTGCATGGCCCACAATCTCTCTCTCTCTCTCTCTCTCTCTCTCTCTCTCTCTCTCTCTGTCTCTCTCTCTCTCTCTCTCTCACACACACACACACACACACACACACCCCAATGTGTTCCAATAACAGGAATTACTTTGATTGCTGTACCCACTGAGAACACTTAAAAAGAACTTAATTGCCAAATTTAGCCTTGGGTCTTAAGGGAGTTGATATTTCTATGCACTTGTTTTATGAGCTGTCTTTAGAGAAATGTAAACATCTTTACCTTTGCTGTTTCTCTCCTTGACTTCAACGAACTGAAATAAAGAACTGAGTAAATTTAGTATGGTGAAAATTAGCAACAAATGTCCAACAGTAAGGGATTACTTAAATAAATGGCTACATCCATGCAATGAAATACTATACAGCCATCAAAAATCATGTGTAGGACAAAATTTATTTTCATGAGAAACTGTACATCATACTATAAATTCAGTGTAGCCATTTAAGAACAATATTTCAGCAATATTTCAATACTCCAATATTTCAGCAATGTTTCAATACTTCCTATACCAGAAGAGTGCATATTAAAATATTTTTAGTAACTATCTGGGGTGGTGAATTCTGGGTGAGTTTTATTTCCTAATTTTGCATATCTGAGTTTTCTGAAATGAACATGCATTAAAGTGAAGGTTATAATAAAGCTTTTGCAGGGTAATTTTGATCAATAATCACTTGGATAAAGTGTAAATATTCAGCAAAGACATTTGTTAAGTATTAAATGCCTATAGTGGATCCAAGTACACAAAAAATGGAAATCATGCTCTTACTGATCTGAAGATACAACACATGTTACTTGCTCAAAAATACTCAAGGATCCCACTGCCTATAGATTGTCTTAAAATTCACAGTATTCTAATTTCTTTCTTTTTTTTTTTTTTTTTTTTTTTTTTTTTTGATACAGAGTCTTGCTCTGTCGCACAGGCTGGAGTGCAGTGGTGTGATCTCAGTTCACTGCAACCTCCACCTCTCAAGTTCAAACGATTCTCATGCCTCAGCCTCCCGAGTAGCTGGGATTACAGATGCACACCACCATGACGGGCTAATTTTTGTATTTTAAGTAGAGAGGGGGTTTTCACCATGTTGGCCAGGCTGGTCTCAGGCTCCTGACCTCAGGTGATCCACCCACCTCAGCCTCCCAAAGTGCTGGGATTACAGGCATGAGCCACTGCATCTGGCCCATGGTATTCTAATTTCTAAACAAGCACTGGCTCATAGATAAATAATATGAGCCCCACAGGTAATGTTAAATTTCCTAGTAGCCACATTCAAAAAGTAAAAAAAGAATAGGTGAAATTAATTTTAGTAGTGTGTTTTATTTAACCTGATATATCTAAAGTATCATTTCAATATTTAATCAATATAAAAATCATTCATAAAATGTATCTTTTTTCACATTAAGTTTTCAAATTGCAGTGTGTATTTTATACTTACAGCACATTTCAGTTGCTCAATGACCACACTTTGGGTGGCTACTGCACTGGGCAATGCGGCTCAACAGCAGGCTATGTCCCTAGTTTAAGTCACAATCAGTTTTTCCTCAAATATACCATTTTATGTACATAATTTTTTTTTGAGATGGAGTCTCTCCCTATCACCCAGACTTGGTTGCAGTGGTGCCATGTCTGCTCAGTGCAACTTCTGCCTCCTGGGCTCAAGTGATCCTCCCATCTTAGCTTCCTAAGTAGCTGGCTGTATTAGTCTGTTCTCGTGCTGCTAATAAAGACATATCTGCGACAGGGGAATTTATAAAGGAAAGAGGTTTAATGGACTCACAGTTCCACATGGCTGGGGAAGCCTCACAATTATGGCAGAAGGCAAAGGAGAAGTAAAGGCATGTCTTACATGGCAGCAGGCAAGAGAGCTTGTGCAGGGAAACTCCTCTTTATAAAACCATCAGATCTCGTGAGACTTACTCATTACTGTGAGAACAGTATAACTGCCCCCATATTCCATTATCTCCACTTTCACATTCAATTATTTCCCTACCGTTGACAATTATCTCAAAATCTCATCTTGATTATTACAATTCAAGGTGAGATTTGGGTGGGGACACAGCCAAACTGTATCACTGGGATTACAGGCACTCACCACCATGCCTGGCTAATTTTTGTATTTTTGGTAGAAATCGAGTTTCGCCATGTTGCCCAGGCTGGTCTCAAACTCATGAGTTCAAGTGATCCTCCCACCTTGGCCTCCCAAAGTGCTGGAATTACTGGTATGAGCCACCACACCTGGCAATATTTTTGGCCTTTACTCATGCTGCTTTCCTCAAAGTGGAATGCTTTCCTTCACTTATTTACCTGTAGATATATCACTCCTACTTCGAAGAAAAGTTCTCTTGTTGACTCCTCCAGGAGACATTCTCGATCCTCCAGTCAAATGCATCCCTCTCTCCTGTGAGCCATCACTTTTGCCTTTGTTTGGTGTGTATTTAAGTCTGCCTGGTGTTAGAATTGGTGGTTTACTTATCTTTCTCTTCACGCAGACCAGAGAAGCTGGTGGCAAGCAGCCTCTTATTCATAGGTACTTATCATATCTTCAGTAAATACTTCGCTCAATGAAAGTTCAGTAGGCAGAATATACACTAAGTCCCCCCACCGCCACCAACAACAAAAAGCAAACTAGGCAAAAAGAGAAGATGTTTACAGTTGTGGAACTGAGAACAAATAACCGCAGGGCTGAGGGCCTGAAGGTAGGGGAGCACTGATTGGCATCAGGACTCACTGAGGACCTAAGCCCTGGACTCAGCCAACCCCTCAATCCCTCTTTTGTGAGCTCCCTTGGAGTCCTGAACCAGTGTTTTTTTCTTAATATACCAACCTTTTTCCTTAGGGCAGAGGTTTAACACGTTTCAACACTGTGTTTTTCTCTGTTGTCTAACAGAATGATTGAGCCAAGTCTAATCTTAACAAAATTAGCCTGCCACATGGAGCAAAGTTGACTTGTAAACAACCACTCCTATAAAGTGTAATTTGTGAAACAGGTGATTTCCCTGTCCCTGTGACTCTAATTTTTTTTTTTTTTTTGAAATGGAGTCTCACTCTGTCACCCAGGCTGGAGTGCAGTGGCACGATCTTGGCTCACTGCAACCTCCACCTCCCAGATTCAAGCGATTCTCCTGCCTCAGCCTCCCAAGTAATGGGGATTACAGGTTCTCACCAACATGCCTGGCTAACTTTGGTATTTTTGATAGAGACGGGGTTTCACCATGTTTGCCAGGCTGGTCTCGAACTCCTGACCTCAAGTGATCCGCCCACCTTGGCTTCCCAAAGTGCTAAGATTACAGGTGTGAGCCATCGCGCCTGGCCCTTGTGACTCTAATTTTAAGGGCTCCAGGAAGAACCATCCCAGCGTGCTCACTGATGCCTGAAATATCTTTAATGATGCCAAATCCATTGATTGTTAAAATGCAGCTATCAGTTGGAGGAATAAATTCATAGACTTAACTTCATATGAAAATAGCTTAAAGTGAGAATGCATGCCATTCTGTAGAAAAGAACACAGGATTTGAAGTCGGAAGAGTTGTTTTTACAATATCACAAAATTGTTTTCCTAATAGGCAGTTCACCGTATCATTCTTTAGAATGTCAACACCTTGAAAATACCCATCCCAAACCCCCAACTATAGGGGAATGGATAGTATATCATGAGGTCAAACTTTCATCGTAAAAAGACTGCAACAGAAAGGGGCTGATCAAGGAGCTGCCTGGAGCAGGAGTGAGGGATACCCGGAGCAGCCATCCAAAAGAGAGGTTCTGCCCAGATCAAGAGAGTTGCAGAAGAATGGACCTAGCAAGAAATAAAGAGCCAAAGTCAAGAATTTCCAGGAACAGTGAGTGTGAAACTTCACACTTATGATGGTCAAGTGGGAACTATCCTTTCCCCATTCATGTGCCTCCCTTTCTTTCAGTCCTGAAGAGTCATAGATGATAGCTAGCTAATCTGTAACCAGGAGAGAGAGGAAGACATTGTCTCTCTGAAATAAAGATTGAAGGGGCAGGGCACAGTGACTGACACCTGTAATCCCAGCACATTGGGAAGCCAAGGTGGGAGGACCACTTGAGGCCAGGAGTTCAAGATCAGCCTGGGCAACATGGTGAGACCCTGTCTCTAAAAATTTTTTTTTTTAAGTCATGACAAAATTGACATATTAAATAACATATTGGACTAGACACTCTAATTTTTTAATCTTACTCTAATTTATTATGGGATATCCTTTTAGTCAGGAGTAATTAGAAAAGTCATGGTACAGCCCATGTGTGTATTCAGGGTCAGGGGAAGGACCCAGCAATCAGTAAAGAGTCCATGTTAAGAACTCAGAAAAAATATCATAAAGCTGTTTTTGTAATCACACTTGTTGAATCCTACATGTTCAATTATTGATTGACCATCAGAAACATCAGATTGGCCAGATGTGGTGGCTCACACCTGTAATCTCAGGACTTTGGGAGGCCGAGGCTGGTGGATCACTTGAGGTCAGGAGTTCGAGACCAGCCTGGCCAACATGGTGAAACCTGGGCTCTACTAAAAATACAAAAATTAGCTCGGTGTGGTGGCATGCGCCTGTAGTCCCAGCTACTCGGCAGCCTGAGGCACAAGAACGGCTTGGACCTGGGAGGAGGAGGTTGCGGTGAGCTGAGATCGCACTGCTGCACTCCAGGCTGGGTGACAAGGAAGAGCAACACTCCATCTCAAAAAAACAAACAAACAAAAAGAACAGAAAAGAGAAGCACCAAAAGCCCTGGCACAAAGGAGGTACCAATAAATATCTGAGTAACTTAATGAATGAATCAATTCTCTTTGACTCACTGCAACTCATCAAAAAATTGGTTATTGAAGAGGAAAATAGACCAGGAGGAAAAAAAAAATCCAAGGATGAGCTATGAATGCATGAGAAAACTGGTTTATGATTCAGCGAAGATTGTGCTGATTTTAAGCTCTTTCTGGAAATTTTATATCCATGAGTCCTCTAGTGGGTGAGTAATTGCAGAGAAATGTAGTTCTTAAAGGGGAAATAAAGCCTTTGGAATTCCTGATGTTAAGCATCCTATTTTTATAGGGCCAGGATGAGGATTATGCAAGACAGTGTGGTGGAAGGTGTAAACTTCAAGGAAGCCTCACTCTCAGAGCCAGACCAGCACTTGCATGACCCCGGGAGAGACTGAGCATCAGGGCCCTAACAAGGAGACTGACTCTGGGAGACCTCAGGGCTGTGGCTGGGTGAAGGGTCATTTGCCCAGGCAATCAGAGCAGATGGAACCCCTAAACATTAAAGGCTTAGAGAGACTGTAGAGGGTTCAACCAGAGGAGCCAAATCTGTTGTACTTATGAGTCAGTGAGTATTTGGGGAAATGCAAGGCATAGGCAGAAGGAGGAGGATGGATGCTGAATCAGAAAGAAGAGGCAGAAAGTGTAAAACCAGAGGGCGTGGGAAGCATGGCCTGGGGATGTTTTGGGAACAGGATTGAGACTGGGCACACCTTTCTTATGGGAGATGGCTTCAGTTGTGTGGTTGCTTAGGCCCGAAGCAATGAAACAGAAATAAACCAAGTAAAGAAAATAGGCTCTTTTTTTTTTTTTTTTTTTTTTTTTTTTTTTTTTTTTTTGAGATGGAGTCTTGCTTCATTGCCCAGGCTAGAGTGCAGTGACAAGATCTTGGCTCACTGCAACCTCCACCTCTGGGGTTCAAGTGATTCTCCTGTCTCAGCCTCTTGAGTAGCTGGAATTACAAGCATGTATCATCATGCCTGGCTAATTTTTGTATTTTTATTAGAGACAGGGTTTCACCATGTTGGCCAGGCTGGTCTTGAACTCCCGACCTCAGGTCATCCGCCCGCCTCGGCCTCCCCAAGTGCTGGGATTACAGGCGTGAGCCACTGCACCCAGCTTGCAAATAGGCTCTTAAAGCCTCAATTTCCTCATCTGTGAGATACAAGTAATATCTTTGTCATATGGCTGTTAGGATTAAATAGAGTGATTGTCTCCAGTGTTTCCATTTATAAAGTTCCCATCATCCTAGTCGTATGGAGTGAGAGAATATAGGTTATGCAGATGTGGGAGCCATTTATGTCCTTTTTAGAAGTTTCATGTAATATAGGGCAGGAGGTCTTAGGTCACAGACATAGGAATCAGCTATGTGTGTGTGTGTGTGTGTGTGTGTGTGTGTGTGTGTGTGTGTGTGTGTGTTCATACATTTGTGTCTAATCCTTAGCCAAATTAACCTCACCTTCTAATGCTGCTGGTTAAGGTTGTGAGGTTCCCCTTGCCTTTGGAATGTTCCCTGGTTCCTCTCTCCCTCTCCTCTAAAACTGTGAGCTGCTACAGCATAGGAAGTAGGGCTCCTCCCCCAGCACCCACTACCATGCACAAACAAAGAAAATGCTTCCTAAACACTCAGAGAATAAACAAAGAGGTGAAATCCAGTGTCTACAAGGAGATCCACTCAAAGGTCTAATGGTCAAACATAGGATTTTCCCTGAAATGTACATTTTGGTGTCTTCTGAGGTTATTGTGCCTTTTTCCTTGCTCATCTTTTCCATTTGAAAAATTGTCATCGTGTTTCCCTAAATAGACTTAGGACATCAAAGTTGGGGCGACAAATTAGAAATGTTGCAGGGCCAGGGATGTAGTGGCTCATACCTGTGATCCCAGTGGTTTGGGAGGCCAAGGTGGGAGGATCGCTTGAAGCCAGGAGTTCCAGACTAGCCTGGGCAACAAAGCAAGACCCTGTCTCTACAAATACAATACAGTACAGTACAGTACAATACAATACAATACAATACAATACAATACAATACAATACAATACAATACAATACAATACAGTACATAAAATAAAATAAAATAAAATAAAATCCAGGCATGGTGATACATACATGTAATCCCAGCTGCTCAGGAGGCTGAGGCAGGAGGATGACCTGAGCCCAGGAGTTCGAGGCTGCAGTGAGCTATGATCGAGCCACTGCACTCCAGTGTGGGTGACAAAGTGAGACCCTGTTTCAAAAAAAGAAAAAAATGAATTGTTGCTGGGTCTTAAGTTAGAAGTTAATGTTTGAGACCTGTTATAGACCTGGGAGAATGAGGTGCAGTGGGGAGAATCAAGCTTTAGAGTCTGAATCCCAGATCTGCCATTTACTGGCTATGAGACACTCAACAAATCACTTAATCCAGCTGTTCCTCAATTGCCTCATCTCTAAAATGGGAATAAGATTTGTCTCATCAAGTGGTTGAGGTTAAATGGGGGCCCAAGGTAAGCTTTCAGGATCACTCTGTTTAAAATAGGAAAGCTCGTCCCCACCCCAGTCTCTTTTTCCATTTTACTTTTCTACACTGCACTTATCCCTTTGTGATATACTATGTTATTTATTTATTTTGTTCATTGTCTGTCTCTCTCTACTCATGTGTTAAGTTCCATGAGGCTAGAAATGGACCTAATTTGAGAAGAGGAAGTATTTTGGGACCAAGCCTGATGGGAATTCTGCTGCCTAGATCCTGAGTCCTGGTATCTCTACCCCGCACGTGAAGGACTGGGTCATGTCAGATTCCAGGGGTCACCCAGTCCTTCTAGAATGTGGTTCTCAAAGAGTAGTTCATAGATACCCCCAATATGGTCTGGTTCTGTGTCCCCACCCAAATGTCACCTTGAATTGTAAGAACCCCCGCACGTTGTGGGAGGGACCCAGTGGAAGGGAATGGAATCATAGGGGCAGGCTTTTCCCATGCTGTTCTCGTGATAGTGAATAAGTCTCAAGAGATCTGGTGGTTTTAGAAAGGTGAGCTCCCCGGCACATGCCCTTATCTGCCACCATGTAAGATGTGCCTTTGCTCCTCCTCCACTTTCCACCATGATTGTGAAGCCTCCCCAGCCATGTGAAACTGTGAGTCCATTAAACCTCTTTCCTTTACAAATTACCCAGTATGGGGTATGTCTTTGTTAGCAGCATGAGAACAGACTAATACACCCCCCTACCACCACCAGGGATCTTTGCAATCATTTCAGTGGCTCCACGAAGTCAAAACTATCTCTCTAACAATATGAAGGTCCTGTTTGCTTTTTCACTGTATTAACATCTGTATGGATGGGACAAATGCAATGGCGGGTAGAACTCTTGGAGCCTTGGCATGAATCATGACAGTGGGAGCTAACTGTACTAAGAGTTATTTTCTTTACAACTATACATGCACAGTGAAAATGAAAGGAAATGGGGCCAGGGGCAGTAGCTCATGTCTGTAATCCCAGCACTTTGGGAGGCCTAGGTGGGCAGATCACTTGAGGTCAGAAGTTCGAGACAAGCCTGGCCAACATGGTGAAACCCCGCCTCTACTAAAAATACAAAAATTAGCTGAGCTTGGTGGCAGGTTCCTGTAATCTCAGCTACACAGGAGGCTGAGGCAGCAGAATTGCTTGGACCCAGGAGGCAGAGGTTGCAGTGAGCCAAGATCAAGCCACTGCACTCCAGCCTGGGTGACAGAGCAAGACCCTGTTTCAAAAAACAAAAACAGAACCCGAAATAAAATAAAATGAAACGAAATCCCAGTTTTACTTAAGAATGTCTTTGATAAAGCCATAAAAATGATTAACTTTAAAGATCTTCACTCTGTGGCGTATGTATTTTTAATATGTCACATATTTTTAATATGTGACACAATAGGAAGCACACATAAGGCACGTCCACTGCACACCTCAGTGTAACAATTGACTTGAGGGAAAGCTTGTATAATTGAGTTGTGAGCTGAACAGGCTGCTTTTTTTGGAACATCACTTTTCAGTCAAAAAAAAAAAAAGACTGATAGATGAACTATAGTTATTCAGACTTGGGTATCTGGCAGACACATTCTCAAAAATGAAAGACGTGAACTTGTCACTCCAAGGAAAACTGACAGTATTTGTTGCCAGTGCTAACATTTGACCTTTCAAGAGAAACGTTGATTTTTGGAAAACTTGTATCTGCCATCTTGAGCTTAAGCTAAATACCATGTCTAAATACTTCCAATATTTGAAGACTTTTCTGCAGTGATCGGGGGCAATATTAGCAGTTGTGACTTTTTGTCAGGCATGATGTCTCATCCCTGCAATCCCGGCTCATTGGGAGGCCAAGGTGGGTGGATTGCTTGAGCTCTGCAATCAGAGACCAGCCTGGGTAACATGGTGAAACCCCATCTCCACAAAAAATACAAAAATTAGGCAGATGTGGTGGCACTCACCTGTAGTCCCAGCTACTTTGGAAGCTGAGGTGGGAGGACTGTTTGAGCCCAAGAGGTCGAGGCTGCAGTGAGCTGTGATCACACCACTGCATTCCAGCCTGGACAACAGAGCAAGACCCCCATCTCAAAAAACAAAACAAAACAAAAAACCCATTTTGACTTTCAGGTAATAGAAAATAAAATGTGCTACCGTCAGGAATGCTATCATTGATATTTTCAGATGACCAATACATAAGGTTACAGAATCATGCATGGGTAAAAGATCCACTCAAAGCACAAGAGAGACCTTTAAAAATACATTTTTAAAGATCTTTAAAAGCAATTTTAATGTAACAAAGCATGGAATCTTCATTCATATGATTTCAGATTCTGCATCCGATATTTCTTCAAAAACAAGTACCTCTAATTATCTGAAAAGGTTATTTAAATACTCTTTCCTGGCCGGGTGCTGTTGCTCACGCCTGTAGTTCCAGCACTTTGGGAGGCCGAGGTGGGTAGATCACTTGAGGTCAGGAGTTCGAAACCAGCCTGGCCAACATGGTGAAACCCCGTCTCTACTAAAAATATTTAAGAAATTAGCTAGGCATGGTGGCGTGGGCCTGTAGTCCCAGCTATTCGGGAGGCTGAGGCAGGAGAATTGCTTGAATCGAGGAGGCAGAGGTTGCAGTGAGTGGAGATCATGCCACTGTACTCCAGCCTGGGTGATAGCGAGACTCCATCTCAAAGTAAATAAATAAATAAATAAATAAACAAATAAATAAATACTGCTTCCTTTTCTTAACTACATATTTGTGGGAAGCCACATTTTCTTCATGTGTTTCAACCTAAACGACATCACAGCAGATGGAAAGCAGTAACAGCTAAGAAAATCCAGCTGCCTTCCCTTAAACTAAACATTAAAAAGACTTGCAAAAGTGTGCAGTGCCACTCTTCTCTTTTCTTTAGAAAACAGTTATTTTTATAAAATATTTATGTTATCATGAAATGGATTTCTTATTTTCACTGGATAAATAAATATTTTTAGAATTCTGTTGTAATTTCTAATATGGCAAACATTGATAAATATAAACCACATGAACAAAAGCTTTTTGGGTCCTCAGTCATTTTTAAGAGTGTAAATGGGTCCTGATACCGAAACGTTTGCAAGTTGCTGTTCCAGAGTATTTTGGAATTCTAGAGCATATGGAACATGCTGAGTAACAAAGAACATGATCTTTGGGACAAATTGCTATTTTTCCATTCTGGATTTGCCATTTGCTAGCTGTTGACTTTTGGCTAGTTATTGAACCTCTCTGAGCCTCAGTTTTATCGTGCATTGAAGTGAGGATAATGGAGGATTTCTCTCCATTTTTTTTGAGATAACGGTTTTTAAGAAACTTGAAATGTGGTAGACAACTTGCAGAGGTTGACTTCCTTTCTTCTTTTTCTTCATTAGGCCTAAATACACAGTATCAAGGCCACTCAGTGAGACCTTTCGCACACCCAAGCAGATCTGGGTCTTTAAGAGTAGTTGCCTCCTCTCAGAGTGGACCAAAGACAACCAAATTAAAATACAAAAACAGGCCAGATGTGAGGTGGCTCACTCATGTAATTCCAGTACTTTGGGAGGCCAACACAGGTGAACTGAATAAGGTAAGGAGTTCAAGACCAACCTGGGCAACACAGTGAAACCTTGTTTCTACAAAAAAATTAAAAAATTGCCAGTCGTGAAGCGCACCTGTAGTCCTCCTGGCCAAGGTAGGAGGATCACTTGAGCCCAGGGGTTTGAGGCTGCAGTGAGCTATGATTGCAGCACCTCATCTCATCCTAGACGACAGAGTGAGACCCTGTCTCTAAAAAACAAAACAAAACAAAAACAAAAACATTCACAGAGGAGCCCACACCGTGGAAGTTCCTGCTCAGCAAGCACCCACTGATGGTTTACTGAGATCACCTTCGCAACTTGTTCCCCACCTGGTCCTTCCAGCCTCAGCCTGTTTTTTGATCGGGATGATCTACTGTCTTTGAGATTCTGTCCCTACTTGACCTGGTCCTCCACCTACCTGAGTTCGTCTTCTGCACATGACCTTTGATCTGATTGCTCCAAGCTGCAACAGCTTTGTCCACGGGTCCCACATTATGCTAGACTCGCCAGTGATGTAGAATGGAACACTTCATCCCTGCTAGAATCAAGGCCGAATCCACTCCATAGAGGACTCTCTCCTGAAAGTCTCCCAGGGTGAGAGCTCAACCTTCTCTCTGGCCTTTGTTTCAACATTGTTCTTTAGTGCTGAGGAAGTAAGACATGTGTCATATATTTGCTGCTACACATTTACAGGGGCAGAAGCAAAGTCTTCCTGGAAAAGCTGATGAATAAGAGGAGTCGAGTTCTTCCGCCTCCATTCACGAAACTCTCCAAGATCCCACCAGGACGGCATCGTGTGCATAATTGTGAGGATATCTTGCAGAAAGCTGGATGGAGTTTTGAGTACATTCTGGATCCTCTTTGACCCCTGGGGACCAGGACCATTTCTATTTTCATAGTCCAAATGAATGCTTAGATGCATTCACTTTTAAAACCTGAGTCAGGATTCCCTGGAAATTCTTTTCCATAGCTGCAATGCTAATCTGGATTCCAGACATTTTTACATCTGATCAAAGGAAGCAAATAGCTGCCCTGGGAATATTTTAGCATGTCTGCCTATTCACTGTGGAAGTCAATGAGCATTTGTTTGGCAGAATGCAGAGGGCACAAACATAGGGATCGAAGGACTGATGAAGAAGAATGAATTATTGAAAGGGGAAGGAGGGAAAGGGCCAAAGGGATGTCCGCTAATCAAGAGTGAGAAATAAAGCCAAGAATTACGTCTGATTTTTAAAATTTTACTCTGTTGGTGAATTTTTGCCTATCTCCTATCTTCTGGCAGCTCTTGCTAATGAAAGTACACATGACCTTGGTAGTTTGTCTTTTGGCATCCTGCCAAAGTTGGACAATGGCCAGTGCAAAGCTGTCAGAGAGGGTGTTTCTGTGAGATGAGAAGCAAACTTTCTAGCCGCAAACACTTACTGCCATCCTGCCTGCCATCCACCTCTATGATCATTTGACTTTGTATGCCTTGGTCATCTCATGTTTGAAACTGGAATCACATTTAGCCTGTCCTCTGCTGTCAACGCTGATAAGTATGCTCATCCAAAATCAGCCATTGGCCAGGCATGGTGGCTCACGCCTGTAATCCCAGCACTTTGGGAGGCCAAGGTGGGCGGATCACTTCAGGTCAGGAGTTCCAGACCAGCCTGGCTAACACGGCAAAACTCTTTCTCCACTAAAAATACAAAATTAGCTGGGCGTGATGGTGCACGCCTGTAATCCCAGCTACTAGGGAGGCTGAGGTAGGAGAATTGCGTGAACCCAGAGGGCGGAGGTTGCAGTGAGCCAAGATCACGCCACTGCACTCTAGCCTGGGCGACAGAGTGAGACTCCTCTGAAAAAAAAAAAAAAGTCAGCTGTTGCCATTTTCCTATTGAGAGCATCCAGCAAGATGGTTTAGAAAATTTTGTTCTACAGTCTCAGCACAAGAAACCTGGCAGACCCAGACACCATGCCAAGACCCCTCCCTGCCTGCTGAGCTTCCATTTTAGCCTCTTGCACTGGCTGGTAGCCGCCAAATCATAAAGAATTGCCCCTCTGCTGACTGCCTCCCAAGAGTACCCCCCTAAATGGAGGCCATCTTAATCCAAGTCCTTGCTGTGTTGGAAATCTGAGCGGCATCATAGATTCTTAGAGTACCGTTGTCTCACAGCACCTAGCATGGTGCCTACAACATTGCAAGCCAACTTGTTCACTCTCTCTGTCTCTCTCCACACACACACACTCCTTCAACTCTGTCTCCCTTAAGACTTTTGCAAGACCTTACTGTCTCCCTCCCTATTTTGTTTCATGTTTCCATGTCATGTCCTGACTGCGCAATAAAAATGTAGGTTTATATCCAATCGCATTTTTCTCTCTGTGTGTTGTTTTCTTTCCAGAGCCAACTATCTCTTGAGCACTGGTTTGGGGTTTGTGTGCAGTCTTATCCACAGAAAACAAATTCTCCTGCTTTCAGACAAACCTAATTCTCAGAAAACTGGAGCTCCACAGAAAAGAGTTTTTAAATTTTTCATGAACTTCTAGAGTTTTGCCGATTGTTTCTTAAACTTTACTGAAGAAAACACTTAATTTCTCATTTAAGAAAGACACCACCCCTCCATTACAGGTGGCTCACACCTGTAATCCCAATGCACTGGGAGCCTGAGGTGAGACGATCGCTGGAGCCCAGGAGTTTGAGGGTACAGTGAACTGTGATTGCACCACTGCATTCCAGCCTGGTCAGCAGAGTGAGACCTTGTCTTTATTTATTTATTTATTTATTTATTTTTTGAGCCGGAGTCTTGCTATCATCCAGGGAGGAGTGCAGTGGCATGATCTCTACTCACTGCAACCTCTGCCTACCAGGTTCAAGTGATTCTCCTGCCTCAGCCTCCAGAGTAGCTGGGACTACAGGCATGCACCACTACACCTGGCTAATTGTTGTATTTTAGTGGAGACGGGGTTTCACCATGTTGGCCAGTCTGGTCTCGAACTCCTGACCTCAAGTGATCCACCCACCCTCCTCAGCCTCCCAAAGTGGTGGGATTATAGGTGTGAGCCACTGCGCCCGGCCAGACCTTGTCTTTAAAGAAAGAAAAAAAAAGAGAGACCTCCTCATTTTAATACCTGTTCACTGATTAAATGCCTCAACGCTTCTATGGTAAAGACCTACTTTGAATTTTCTGAAATTTAGCTCTTTGATCGGGGTTTACTTAAATTGGGCTGAAAATCTTGGACCAGGAGGAACCTTTTGGGAAGAAGTAAAAGAAGCCTTTGAACATCCAACACTAACAATAGAGACAACAAAGAATCAATCTTTTGTATACCGTATGCACCCAGCATTTTCCTACGCTTTTGGTTTAAGAAATTGGCTTGTCTTCATCGTTCAGTATGTAAGGCTAGTGGTCAGGTGCCCTAGAGAATCTGTGGATAAGCCACAGGAATACTCAAAACTCATTCTTGCTGCTGCTCCCTTGTTGGTTCCAGATGCTACTAACATGTCAGCTTGTCCTTAAAAACAAGAAAGCAGAGCCGGGTGTGGTGGCTCACACCTGTAATCCCAGCACTTTGGGAGGCCGAGGTGGGCAGATCAGCTGAGGTCAGAAGTTTGAGACCAGCCTGGGCAACATGGTGAAACCCTGTCTCCATTAAAAATAGAAAAATAAGCTGGGCATGGTGGGGCATGCCTGTAATCCCAGCTACTTGGGAGACTGAGGCAGGAAAATCTCTTGAACCCATGAGGCAGAGGTCACCGTGAGCCAAGATCATGCCACTGCAGTTCAGCTTGGGTGACAAACAGAGACGCTGTCTCAAAAAAAAAAAAAAGAGAGAGAGAAAGGGGGTAAGCGCCTTATCCCTCCCTACTAGTTGAGAAGGATCAAAATAGAAAAAGAAAACCAGGGTGATGGTTTCAAATAATTTGAATTAAAATTCTTGTTCTGATAGTTACTAAGCTGTGTGACTTTGAGAAACTTGTTTAACTTCTCTGTGCCTCAGTTTCTTCACATGTACAGTGTGATTAAGGATATCTTCCTCATCAAAGTAGTATGTAATAAGCACTCAGTAAATCATACTTGTTATTTTCAATACTATTACCAATATTAATAACTACTAATAGAAACTGTATCATTGTATGACAGTAACAATCCCAAACTTGCCCCAGGTTAGGAATAAATCCACACCAAAATCAAGATCCTCTGCTAATGCTGTAGCTTTACTCTCTCTATATAGTACAAAGTCTAGAAAAAATGTAGCTAGTCTTGCCTTTACCATTGCAGGCTCTGGTGAGCTCACACTCATATCCCAGCTGTGGTTGTTTTCAAGCATGCCAGATGGTAGGGCTTGTAATTAATGTGCCCATCAACAATCAGAATTAAATTCCTGACAGATACAGTTCAGGGCATGGCCAATGAACTATTTGCATTTTATTCCTGACTAAGGTTTGTGTCCCAAAACTTTACCAGTTTTCCTAAACTGCTGAGTTGAGCCAAACACAAAGAAACCTCAAGGTCCTTTTTTTCTCTTCTCCTCTATGGTCCAGAATAGAGCCAGCCCACACTTTAGTTCTCGTTTCCTGGACTTCACTACTCATCCTCTTCGTCATCCAGAACAAAGGGACGTCTATTCCTTCCACAGGGAAGAGCAAAAAAAAAAAAAAAAAAAAAAAGAAAGAAAGAAAGAAAGAAAAAGAAACAAGACTTTTATCATCTCTCTGGTCTTTTAGTCCTCTGGGGTTAGAGGTGGGGGTGGGGACCAGCCATGGAAGCCCCTGAGAGGTCAGGCCTTCCCTAGGGAGGTGTAGGGTTTCAGGAGAAGTAGAGGCACAGCCAATAAAGATCTTTGAGATCAGCTGCCCACCAGGGGCCTTGAATAGCGTAGCGGCAGCTTTTGCTTCCTTGTCGCCTGCCCTGGCCTCGCCTAGAATGGACAGACTCCCAGTTCACCTGCTCCATTAGTTCACAATTGACATATGCACAGAAAAATAATATTATCTCTCTACATCTGCTTTCCTAATTCCTCTACATCAGAACATAAGGTAATCCTGGGAAAGAAAGCACATAACCAGCTACCATTTGCTCTTGCAATGAACTTTAGAATTCTACTGTGAGGCCAACATCGGAGGCTCTGCCTATCAGTTCATTTGCTCCCTGAAACTGAGGGAGGAAATTGATCATGGAAAATGGAAAACATTTTTCTTTCAAAATGAAAATAGGCCTCCTGGGGCCCTGACTGTCGTCTCTAAATACTGCACACCACTAAAATGAACCAGACTCCTTAAGAAATGGCTGACTCCAAGTCTGGGATATAGGGTGAGCCTGGAATATCTTTTCATACCAGAAAGCAAGTAAACCGTCAAAAGCTAAGAGGGCCAAAAAGAAACAGAAGCCAACTTGAAGAGAATCTCAATGGTTAAAGCTGGAATAATTTAAGAATCGAAAGAATAAGAGAATAGGGCCGGGTACGGTGGCTGACACCTGTAATCCCAGCACTTTGGGAGGCCAAAGCAGGTGCATCACCTGAGGTCAGGAGTTCGAGACCAGCCTGGCCAACATGGCGAAACGCCGTCTCTACTAAAAATAAAAAAAATTAGCTGGGTGTGGTGGCGCATGCCGGTAATCCCAGCTACTGGGGAGGCTGAGGCAGGAGAATCACTTGAACTCAAGAGGTGAAGGTTGCAGTGAGCCAAGATCATGCCATTGTACTTCAGCTTGGGTGACAGAGTGAGGCTCCATCTCTAAATAAATAAATAAATAAATGATAACTGCAATAGACCAAAAGAACAAATATATTTAGATCCTTTAGTTTATAATGATATCAAAGACAAACAAATCTTCCTTCTTTCAGAGATTGCTATGGAACTAACTCATTATTTTGCAAAGTGGCAAGTAAAGAGAAAGAACCTGGCACCTCCTTTGGTACCACACAGCAACCAGCTAGTTAATTAGGCAATTTCCTCCTTATTGATCATTACAGATAACACATGAGGGACTGCTGTAATTAGAATATCATGATTCTGCACTTCTCAGTGAATGAGTGGATCTAAGCAATGATCGCTGATGGCTCCTAACATCACACATAAAGAGACAGTTGAATAGTTTGCACCTTCTGATGGAACGTACACAGTAGTACCTATGAAGTATCTTGCTAAAGACTTAAGCCTGACCAGGCGCAGTGGCTAACACCTGTAATCCCAGCAATTTGGGATGCTTAGGCGGGTGGATCACCTGAGGTCAGGAGTTCGAGACCAGCCTGGCCAACATGGCGAAACCCCATCTCTACTAAAAACACAAAAATTAGCCGGGCATGGTGATGTGTGCCTGTAATCCCAGATACTCAGGAGGCTGAGGCAGGAGAATTGCTTGAATCCAGGAGGCGGAGGTTGCAGTGAGCCGAGATCGAGCCACTGTACTCCAGCCTGGGTGACAGAGCGAGACTCTATCTCAAACAAAAAAAAAAAACAAAAAAAAAAACAAAAAAAACTTAAGCCTCACAGGGCATGGAGGCAGACAGGGCCACCAGATCTGAGCGCCAATTCAAAGGAAGTGAGGAAAAGGGAACATGCTAAGTGACCCAGGGACTCGGTCACCAAATCCTGACCAAGGGAGAGGTTCTTTATCCAGTAAATTGCAAGGAGAAAAAAAAAAAGGAAGAGGAGGAGCAGGAGGAAGAGGACAAAGAGAAAGAAGGGGAACCTGTAAATTGAAAGGGACTTAGACATTGTGTCAATCAATTATAGTAGATGGTCCATATTAGAATCCTGATTTCAATAAGTTGTTTAAAAAAAGAAGCAGATATTATGAAGCAGTCAGGCAAAATTTTTATTATCCTGAGTAATGGATCATATTAAGGAATTATTGTTAATTTGGGAATAGGTCATAGTATTGGTGTTTCGGTTACTTGTTTTTAAAGAATTCTTATCTATTAGCAATGCATACTGAATAAGACTAAAATGATAAGATATTGAGATTTTCTTCAGAGTAAACTTGGGAGTGGGGAAGATATGGTTGATGTGAGTAAAAATGTTAACAGTTACCCTAATTTTGCATGTTTTAAATTTTCCATACAAAAAAGTTAAGGAGTAAGTAAGCAAAAATAGCTGTAAAGACTTACTTTCCTACTATAGGAATGCTAAACGTTCATTGTAAAACTTCTTCAAATATTTTTGTGTAAAAATTGTAAAAGTGTCCTGAAATCTTAGGGAGATGGACAGTGCAACCTCATATTTTCCTGTTGAAAAAGCACAGAGGCAGTTCCGGTGACAAGTACCTTCTTTTCTAAGCTTGGCTTCCAGATCTCATACAAGTGGGAGAGTGAAAGATGCTTGTAACATGCAATGAAGATGATTCAGTGACCAGTTATTCCAGAATAGGCTTAAAAAGTATACAGTTAACCTTGTTCAAATGCGAGTTTAATCCAGTTGTAGTTTTCTACAATAGGATGTGTTTATTTAGTCAGGAGGGAAGGGTTGACATTTTACTCACTTTGGAGAAAAAAGAGAACACTATTATATTTGCCTATCAACTTGAATAAAATCCAGGACAATGTAGTTACACTATAGTTATAAGTACAGGAACGAGCAGTTGGCATATTAAAAGTCCAACCTCCAAAGTCTCCTGGAATGTTTCGAAAAGTTCAGCACAAGTAAAGTTTCAACCTCGGTAGTCTGTCTGGTTAAGCTCTTAGAATCAGAAAATATTTAACGAGTTACTGAAGAGCCTCAAATTTCTTCCCAACCTGTAATACAAACAAAAGTGAGAACTAGGTCAAAGAAAACAGAGATTTGGAATATTATCAGCTTACGCCACTCTGGGGAAATTAACCTATTTAACTTCATGTTCTTTAAAGGAGTAGAAACAGAGACTTATTTTGATCAGGGGATAGAATGACATTTGAGGGAGAGCTGAGACACTGAGAAGAACATAGAGGAAGTGGAAGCATATTGACTTCTTGTGATATGACCCCCACTCCATTTTAAAATTCAATTGCTTTGCCTGTAAAACGAGCTCCGCTATTCTGTACAGTTTATGCTAATGCAAAATGGAAAACAGATTTTCTTTCTCTTCATTTTTCCTAGTATCCTCTTCATGTCCAGTGGCTTATTACTTTTTTAAAAATCATTAGGAAACACAATCTACTTTACTGAGGATTTTCCAAACATTCTTTCTGCCTACTTTGGGGATGTATATATATATCTATATCTATCTATCTATCTATGTATCTATCTGTCTATCTATCTATCTATCTATCTATCTATCTATCTATCTATCTATCTATCTACCTATCTATCTATTTCATTTTGAACTGGCTAGACACAAGGCTCTATTTCCTTACTTTAGTAAGGGTTATCAGAAAAGTCATCTCAACTTGAAAATAGACGAAAGAAAATAGTGAGTAGATGTTCGGTTTTTCATTTTTTTGTTGTTATTGTTGCTGTAGAATGCACTTCAGGCTTGACTTTCTATTTATTGCCCTATTTTACACCTTTGTAGAGAAAGATCAACTTGTAATTTTGTGTTCAGTAGAGATGCAAATAATTTCTCTCTGGTAAAACAGATAATCCCAAGGGTTACAGTTTAAACATAATTGGACATTAAGCAGCTTTATATCTAACCCAGGAATTTATTAAATTGCTCATGTATATGTAGTCTTCCAGATGCCCTTTGGACCAATTTCAATATCTTACCAGTTTCCTCATTAGTAAATGAGCTGAATGCAATCGTTGGCACGTGTTCCTTTTATAGTCATACATGTGCTATGTTTTTTAACCCTTTAAAAATTATACTTCGATTGGATTTTTGTGTTCCCCAAACAAGAGTTTGGCAAGTGTTTTGCCTTTTTCCTCCCCCTACTCCAATTTTAATAATGATATTTCACCGATGATTTAAAGATATTTAAAGATGTTCTAAAAATATGCCACAAGTTGACTTTTTGTTTCTTACATGTATGTCCCATTCGGTCTAGCATTTATGGGAGAGTAATAATTTCTCAGTGGTCTACTAGTAATTTTACTTTTCACACCTAGTTATGCTATACTATAAATACACATATAGGAGGGTAACAATATTTGCCATTGTTTTCACTGCAATATGGTATAGTGATTGAGAGCATGAGTTCAGAGTCACATCCAGCGATACCATGTACTAGCCATAGAGCCTTGGACTAAAAGTGCTTAATCTCTCAGGGCCGCATGGACCTCATTGATAAAATGGCACCGCTAGTAGGATGGTTACAAATACGGTTATTGCAAGTAATAGGGAGATCATCATGTAAAATGCCTAGAACCATGCTTACCATATAAAAAGCACTCAATCATGTTGGCTGTTATTATTATCACACCCACTGAATGGCATAGTCTCGAAACTAGTGTCTAGTTACTAGAAATTATTTTACTTACAATGGGTCGCGTGGGAGAACTCAGTCACCACCCAGAAAGATGCCTATTGTTACTATCGCCTGGAGAAAGAGCCTCTGTTGGCCAGAAACAGGCCTCCTGTCTGCTTCATGAGTTGGCTTTGAATCATTGCCAGGACTTTTAGGAAAACGGAAAATGGATTTGTAGCATGTATGAAATGAAGTCCTTATCTGAGTTCCCAAGGCTGGTTTGTCAAATGGAAATGAGCTGTTTCATGGCTTTATTCCCCTTGGTTTAGCCTCCGAGAATCTGCTCTGGCGCATTGCTGTTTCCACATGTTAAAACTTGGTGAGGAGTCTCTGCTGGTGTCTGTTTTCTTTGTAACTTGGGATGACATAACTTGTTTTTGTCGGCACCTTGAAGCACTGCATTGTCATTCCATCTTAGCAGTGAAGAACAGTGAGTTTGGCAAAATATTTTGAAAACTAAACTTTGAAAATCATTTTTTTGTCAGGTAAACAGTTGGGTTCTTTTTTTTTGTCTTTTATTATTATTTTTTTTCCTATTTGGTAACCAGATAAACTCGAAGACGACAACACAGAATAAGAAAACCTCTACCTTTTATAAGGATTTGGGGATTCAGGCGTGAGAGTAGAAGGAAGACTTACCAGTCGGGTGCAGTGGCTCACGCCTGTAATCCCAGCACTTTGGGAGGCCAAGGCAGGCAGATCACTTGAGGCCAGGAGTTCGAGACCAGCCTGGCCAACATGGTGAAACCCCATGTCTACTAAAAATACAAAAATCAGCCAGGCATGGTGGGGCGTGCCTGTAGTCCCAGCTACTGGGGAGGCTTAGGCAGGAGAATCGCTTGAGCCCAAAAGGCAGAGGTTGCAGTGAGCCAAGCTTGCTCCACTTCACTCCAGCCTGGGTGACAGAGAGAGACACTGTCTCAAAAAAAAAAAAAGAAAGATTTATCAAAAAAGTTTTGCTCTGAGTCACAGTGTGACCATGGAAGAGAAACGTAACCGTGCTGTATCTAAATGTTGACTCCTCTTTAAATGCAACATTCATCACTTTTACCATCAATTTCTTCTCCCGGATCCCATCACTGTTGTTAAATGGAGGAAAGAGATGGCTTGTCAGAAAATGCCTTGAGCTCCCCTAAGGAACATGTGTGGATTGTAAATACTGGATATTAGGTTGTGAAAACATAAGAATAAGGCCAATTCTTTCTTTCATAGCTGCAGCATGACACTGAGGGAGAAAAAAGTTTACCAGGTGAATTGAGAGCCCTCTATAAAGTGCTATTTATTCCGTGATTACAACATAACTAGCAATGGCGAATGCTCCTGTATGCCCAGAAACACCAAGCCAGAAGAGTTGCACTTATTCTATTGCAGACTTTGGCTTAGTGGCTACGGCATTTACAGACTCTGCTTTCCTAGTCAGTTCGCACAACAGCATCAGCAGCTTTTTTTGTCACAGAATGAGCAACATGCCTCATGTTTAGACTACTAGAAAGACTTTGTAATTTTTTCAACCTATCTTGACTTTAAGGTAGCATCTAAAGGAAACTTGTTTGTAGCACACCTGAAATAATTCAATTCAATACCATTTATTCTGCACCCATATAATAGTAGACACTTAGAATTATGTATGAGTCTTGTGTATAATTTTTGATGCTAAAAGTCTCACCTTGGGAGCTAAACTCACAATTTTATTAATATCCCTGTTGAAATATACAACAACGTCCCATGCAACCATTCCAGTATTACTGCACTTGAGTAAAAAGGAGAGATAGCCTTTACTGAAGTTTGCGTTATGAAGGATATACTTGTATGATTAAGATATGAGGCAATTCTTCTGAATATTGTCTAGAACAAGCTTGTTCAACCCACAGCCCATGGGCCACATGTGCCCCAGGATGGTTTTGAGTGCATTCCAACACAAATTGGTAAACTTTCTTAAGACATTGTGAGTTTTTTTGCAATTTTTTTTTTTTAGCTTATCAGCTATCGTTAGTGTCAGTGTATTTTATGCGTGGCCCAGGACAGTTCCTCTTCTTCCAGTGTGGCCCAGGGAAGCCAAAAGATTGGACACCCCTGGTCTAGAATGAAAGTCGAGGAAATCAGTCCTGGAGTGGTGGATCAACTTTCCGATTGTGAAATCACGCCTCTTATGTTTAAATGTATATTTTGAAATATAAACGACTTTTGTCCTCTCAGCATTTCCTCTTTCCCTTGGCCTGTCTCTGTCCAGCTTGGCCGTTGCACACGCATTGCCTCAAGGAGCTGTGACACAGCCAAGTCCTCCAGAGATACCAAAAGGTGATGAATTTGGATGAATATGCATTGCGGGAGGTCTCAGCCTGGAAAGTTGATAGGAAATCCCTGGGCTCCAAGGAAGAGGAATGCTTGCACAGACGTGATGAAAATTTAGGTACTGGCACTTCTGTACCTCTTGTACTCTGCCCTTGTCAAATTGAGCAGGTAGGGGGTAAGGGGTAGGGATGAAAACTCCAGATAGGTTTGGTGTAGAGACACTGGGAAGTAGAGAAAACCTGTGTCCTTTCCTGGGTAGAAGCCTAGAGAGTTGGCAAGACCAAGAGAATGTGGTGTCCCTAAACAGATGGGGCCAGAGAGTGTTACTCAGCTCCCAGGGTGAAGGTAGGACCTGAAGGACCTGGGGGTGGTGACTCAGTATTGACTTGTCTGTACCTAGGACTGAAGACCTGCTGTGGCATGACCCATTGCCTCCCATGCCTTAGCACTGCACAATTACCATAAACCCACCCAGTTCCAGGAAGTGGAAGGAATCCTGAACTGACTGTGATTATTTTTTCTTCCTGACATCTTAGCAGAATTAAATCATAAAAAAGAGGTCTAGAAAATAAGTGCATTTCTTGAACACTGAGTTTGTAGATTGAGCTTTGTAACCAGCTCATTCCTATTTTCAACCTTTCCTTTTTGTACATTCCCTCCCCTCAATGATGCCTCCTTCTCTCCCTCAGGTATTCAACACCCTTGTATTCTTTCCTGCCCCTATTAAAATTTGATGTCAAAGCCGGGCACAGTAGCTCATCCCTGTAATCCCAGCACATTGGGAGGTCAACGTGGAAGGATCACTTGAATCCAGCAGTTCGAGACCAGCCTGGGCAACATAAAGAGCCCTCATCTCCTTAAAAAATTTTTAAAACTTAGCTGGGTATGGTGGCAGACACCTTTAATCTCAGCTAGTAGGGAAGCTGAAGCAGGAGGATCGTTTAAGCCTGGGAGTTTGAGGCTGCAGTGAGCCCTGATCATGCCACTGCACTCCAGCCTAAGCAACAGAGTGAGACCTGTCTCAGAAAAAAAACAAATAAATAAAAAAATAAAAATAAAAAAAAACTGATCAGACAAGGAATTCATAGATCCTGATACCAAGATATAAATAGATGATTAAAAGTATTACCTTATCCAGGCCAGGTGCTGTGGCATATGCCTGTATACCAACCACTTTGGGAGGCCAAGACGGGTGGATTACCTGAGGTCAGGAGTTTGAGACCAGCCCTGCCAACATGGTGAAACCTCATCTCTACAAAAAATACAAAACATTAGCCAGGTATGGTGGCGGGCGCCTGTAATCACAGCTACTCTGGAGGCTGAGGCAGAAGAATCGCTTGAACCTGGGAGGCAGAGGTTGCAGTGAGCCGAGGTCGTACCACTGCACTCCAGCCTGGGCAAAAAGAGCGAAACTCTGTCTCAAAAAATAAAAAGTATTACCTTATCCAGAGATATCTGCACTTTGGGGAGTATTAGAAATTTAGGCCATAAGAGAAAATCCATGATAGCAGAATCCCGTATTTCTATTAAACAGTGGGACAATGGTTTCCTAGGAGGATTTACCTCTTCCCAGGCCCACAGTCACCCTGAAGCTTGCTTCCCACAGAATGGGGAAACTTCACGTTCAATGATTATCAGTAAAACTGCTTCTTAGAGAGCAAGAGTAGTGTTTCTCAACCTTTTGGTTTCCATTTTTGCTCCCCTAACGAGCCTCTTTAGATGTTTCTTTCCTAATTGGCCTCTCCCATGAAATTTTAATACCTCAGAAACATTATTAAGAGCTACTCTTAGTGTACTATATGCATAGCTATGCTTTATATATAAAAAGGGTAAAAGTGGGTTTTTTTGTTGTGGGTTTTTTTTTTTTTGTGCCTTCCCTCCCAAAAACCTATTTTTGTTCCCTTGGGGGACATATTTGCCTCATTGAAAATGCATGTTATGAGTCAGCACAAAACTGGGTCCCCAGAGCCATAAGAAATGAAGAGGGCCTATTGCCCGCTCCCACCCAAGCCCTGTTCCCAGCTTTCTTTCCCTCCTGTTCTGTTGGCCAGGCTAGAGTCCCATGACCCGAACACAGCTCACTGCAGCAACGACCTCCTGGGCTCAAGCAGTTCTCCTGCCTCAGCCTCCTGAGTAGCTGGGACCACAGGCCTGTGCCACCACTCCCAGCCTCATTTTATTTTTTTTTTAAAAGTAGACATGGGGTCTCACTGTGTTGGCCAGCCTGTTCTCAAACTCCTGAGCTCAAGTGATCCCTCTGCTTTGGGCTCCCAAAGTACTGGGATTACAGGCATGAGCTACTGCGCCCTGCCTTTTTCCCATCTTTGAAATAACTCAGGCTACTTGTAAGAAAGATAGAGAACATTCTCAATCTATAGGTTCTCACTGCCTCAGGTGGTCCAATAAATACATTTCTTGGAAGTTTAGGAAGACATGATTTTTATTCTTTGAACTTGTTAGAATTTAGTCCGTGTTCAAGACTTGGCCAGTGGAATTTGAGGTACTTGACTCACATCAAAGTGTTTCTATTAACAGTGAGCCAACCCAAATCCTATTAAAATGGCATCCCGTGGACTCCTTGACCCTCCCAACAATTGCCTTTTGTTAGAGCAGCATGACAGGGTACATTGTGTGATGGGTGTTTATAATGAACTGGCATATCCACAGGCTGTAATTATAAGAAGCATAATGGTATCTCATGTTTATATTGCTTGCTTTCATCTTCGTGAATCCCAAGGCATTTGACACATTATATTATTAATAATAAAATAGACACATACATTAATTAAAGCATCCCTCTTTTTAAATGTATACACTTATACAATAGACTACATAAGTTTATTATTATGTAGAAATGTGCACAATCGAGTTAGCACTTGCAGAAAATGAGCTTCCTCATAGTCAGTGTGATATTGCACTAGAGCAATCTAACTGCTCTGACAGGGTGCACCCTTATCCACTTCCACCTGGTGGCGGGCCAAGCCCAGGAGCAGTGAACTCATAAATTTGCTCTTTCATTCATTCACTCATTCATTCATTCATTCATCCATTCCCTAAACATTTGTCTCAGGTTGGCTTCTACCCTGTAGCAACAACCATCCTAGGTGCTGGCTTTCCTTGGCTAGTATGTGGCAGGAAGTCAGTAAGTCAGGGATGATGTTAATATATAGAAGCTGCAAGCCATGGAAAATGTGAAGTTTCCTTCCTGGCACTCACTTTTGGGTGTGACAGTCACTTTAAAGACACATGCACACATGCCTGAAGCTTAAAGTTCTTGTGCTTCCACTAAATAAATCAAAGCCACAGCATGCCCTCATCCTTGACTACTCCTAAGAATCCTGCAGTTCCCAGACAGACACATGCATCTGCTCAAAGTCACAGCAACCATCCTGGCAGCTGCTTTCCCTCTGAGAATTTTATGTTGCTCCCAACAGAGGAAGGGGTGGCCTAAGTTGCTCAGCAGCCCCTAGTCAAGCTCCAGTCTGGTCTTTCTAGTGATGCGTGCTGGCTTGTTTTGTTCGCACTAGCTGGTCTTATTCAGTCAACGCTAGGCACGTCCATGAGTCCCAGGCAAGTCTTCCGAGGAGAGAGACAGGTAGGATACACCTAGGAGTATGAGCAATGGTGGCTGCCTCTACAACATGATTGGGAGTTGGACGACTTATTGCACCACAGAAGTATCCGCCACCAGCTTACAGATGCCTGATGTTCACTGCAAAGTCCTCTTTTGAATCTTTGAAAGACTAGTTCAGTCTGGAAAGGCCTCAGCCTCTCATCTCCTGATTGCTTTGGAAGGGTCAGAAGGGATCAAAGCAATGGAGGAAGGAGGGAAATTAGGCACAGGCAAATGCCGTCACCAATTTGGTTGGAGGCAAATTCGGCCAATCTGACTGACAACTGGGCATTTCCTCCTGACAGTTGCTGTATAATAGCAGTGCTCAGGTAGATAGTCCCAGCACAGAATATTCAAGGTGCTTGCAGGTACACTAGCTTCACATCATTTCTTCTCCAGCTTCTCTGGCCTGCACAAGAAGCAGGGACAAAGAATACCACTTGCTTTTTCTTTAACAAACATTTTGCCCTGGGAGAAGCATGGGTTTAGTACCATAATGTTACTGACTTTTTCTTTTTTTGAGACACTAAGAATTTCACCTCTCTGAGTCTCAGAAAACTTCTCTAAAATGAGAAGATAATATAGAGGACATTATGTTAAGTGAAATAAGCCAGACACAGAAAGACAAACATGGCATGTTCTCACTCATAGGTGGGAGCTAAAACAAAAAATGGAACTCATGGAGATAGAGAGAAGAGTGATGGTTACCAGAGGCTGGAAATGGTAGCAGGGAGTGGGGATAAAGTGTGGATGGTTCATGGATACAAAAATACAGTTAGACAGAAGAAAAGATCTAGCGCTCAGCAGCCCAATAGGGTGACTATAGTTAACAATAATTTATTGCATGTTGTAAAATAACTAAAAGAGTAAAATTGGAATGTTCCTAACACAAAGAAATAATAAATGCTTGAGGTGATGAATACTTCTATTACCCTAATTTGATCATTATGCATCATATGCTTGTATCTAAATATCACATGTGCCCCAGAAATATTTACAACTATATGCATCCATAATAATTAAAAATATGTGTGTGTATGTATGCATATGTGTGTGTGTGTATGTATAAATATACATATAAACTCTTTCAAAAAAAGACTGGACAAATGAGGGTCTTTCTCACTCTAAAATCTTTGGTTGTGTGGCTTGCTGAATGCTGTTTATCCACACTCTCTCTCACCCACGTCCTGGGGACCCAGAGAGCTGCACCAGCTTCAAGAGCATGTGGCCTATGCAGTTGCACCAGTCTCTGAGGTCAGAAGGTCTCATGTTTGATTTAATGTTCTGCTGCCATTGTCTTGAAATTCTTAGTAATTTTTGAACAAGGACCTCACATTTTCATTTTGCACTGGGCCTTTCCAATCACATAGCCAGTCCTGCCTGAGGGCATGCATCTTGGACATTCCTTCCTCTTGGAAGCCTTTTCCAAGCCCTCAAGGAGAGCTGGCTACCCTTCTGGGCTCTTTAGAAGCCTGATCTATGAGACCGGGCGCGATGGCTCATGATTGTAATCCCAGCACTTTGGGAGGCCAAGGAGGGTAGATCGCTTGAGCTCAGAAGTTTGAGACCATCCTGGCCAACATGGCAAAATCTTGACTCTACTAAAAATACAAAAAATTAACTGGGCATGTTGACACATGCCTGTAATCCCAGCTACTCATGAGGTTGAGGCACAAGAATAGCTTCAATCCAGAAGACGGAGGTTGCAGTGAGCCGAGATCGCAGCCTGGGCGACAGAGTGAGACTCTGTCTCAAAGAAAGAAGAAAAAGAAAAAAGCCTGATCTGTGAGACTCATCACACCATTTGCTAGTACTTCTCTGTTAGACTGTGAGCCCTTTGAGGAAAAGAACTATGACAACATTCTTGTACCTTCTATGGCAGTGAAGTGGTTGGCACTATTGGGCACATAGTAGATGTTCAATAAATATTCCTGGAACGAATTTCAGTGTTTTGAATGTGCACCGTCTTCCTAACAAGTGTTAATATAGCTGTTAAATATATTTATTAACTAATTTAGCAAGTATATATGAAACTTTTATTATGTGCTAGGCCCTGAGTAGGTTATTTAAATAGTATAGAAAACAAAAGGATCCCTAATATGGAAGCTTCACTCAAATGGGGAGATAGAAAATTAATGAGAGATCCAATATATATATTATCAAAATTGTGTTGATTCCTCTAAAAAAAATAGGGCAGAGTAAAAGAAAACAATGTTACAGCACTTATCTCTCTCTACAGAGCTTAAAGCTAAGTAAGACATGAAAAAGTGGGTTCGGATGTTCGGTAGGTTAGGCGTATTAAATGCATTTTGACTTCCCTACAGTGGCTGAATGGCATGTGATTTTCCTGAGAGAATGGGGAGACACTGAAGGATATGACATGGTCAGTTGACAAGTGGAGGGAAAGGATGAGAGATTGACCAGATGGAAGCAGACCAGGGAGAGGTCATTACAGTGATCTGAGGCCTTGGCCTTTAAAGTTGTACTTATGCACCACATGTTAAAGTTTTTGAGCGTGGCCTTCAAAATATAAATATCCATTTATAAATTATATAGGCTAGTGTACAGAGGTCTAATTGACTCACAGTTCCTCAGGACTGGGGAGGCCTCAGGAAACTTACAATCATGGCGGAAGGGGAAGCAAACACATCCTTCTTCACACGGCAGCAGCAAGGAGAAGTGCAGAGCAAAGGTGGGGAAAAGCCCTTAGAAAACCACCAGATCGTCTGAGAACTCATTCACTATCATGAGAATAGCATGGAGGTAACTACCCCTATGGTTCAGTTACCTCCCACTGGGTCCCTCCCACGACACGTGGGGATTACGGGAACTACAATTCAAGATGATATCTGGGTGGGGACACAGCCAAACCATATCACCCATTAACCCACCAACCCATTAACCTATTAATCCATTCATGGATTAACAGGGCAGATCCTTCATGACTCAATCACCTCTAAAAGGCTCCACCTTTCAATGCTGCCATATTAGGGATTAAGTTTCAACATAAGTTCCTCAAGAGGCAACCATTCAAACCATAGCAGTATATATTTCAAACAAATACATGTGTATACATAAACATATATTACATATACTTGAACATATATAATAAATACTATTTTAAAGATGAAACGAAATATGTAAAAATAGAAGTTCTTACCCTGTTTTCCTCTCACCCTGCAGTGGGTTTGCTGAACTAAAAATTCTGATTCTCAGAGTGAGTAGGATTTGGGATACTATTTTTGTGCATTACCGTAATGCACACTCAGGTCTGATAACCATGGGCTTAGACCACATTTTCAGAGCATTTGAATACTAGTAACAACAAATTCTAACACAATTGTTTCCATTGTTTGGGGAAAGTGAATTTTTTGTCTATGGTCGCCATTACAGAAAATAGGAACAGCATCTTACCAAAGCGAAGATAATTTTCACAAATTTTTTTTTCCGTCTTAAAAATTATATTTTTGTATAACTGTTAAAAATTATTGGGCCAGGTGCTCATACCTGTAATTCCAGCACTTTGGGAAGCTAAGGTGAGAGGATCATTTGAGGCCAGGAGTTCGAGACCAGCCTGAGCAACAAAATGAGATCCTGTCTCTAAAATATTAAACAATTAGCTGGGCGTGGTGGCACATACCTGCAGTCCCAGCTGCTCGATGGGCTGAGGCAGGAGGACTGATTGAGCCTAGCAGTTTGGGGTTACAGTGAACCAAGATCACACCACCGCACATCAGCCTGGGCAGCAGAGTGAGACCCTGTTCTCCATCCCCCACAAAATCATTTTGGTGGGGGGACCGTGGGAGAATTTCTCATTGGCCTAGTTAAATTTCTGAAATTACTCACTAATTTTGACTTGACAGTCTACTTGATTTTGGATGAAAGAAGGCGTGTGTTCATCTAACTTAAGTGTTTCAGTGATGAAACTGGTGGTATCGGGGGCTTTTGCCATGATATGTGCCAGCACTGTGCTGTGGCCCATCACTGTGAAGGGTCTAAGCAATGCCAAAGGGGATGCATATGCATAAAGAACCCCATGCCCCTACGCAGATACTGCTGCTGGAGGGGTCCCTAGACAGAAACTCCCAGAGCCGATTGCCTGCCAGAAGTCAGCAAGAACATCGAAGGCTGCTCGCACTGGCTGAGCCACGCTCTCTCTGGACCTGACCTTTTCCTTCCTTTTTGTCAGAGTGGCCTTGTCCTGTTCCCACCCATCTCCTTATGGTCTTACCCCAAGAGCTCAGACACCATGACTCACATTAGCCCCTGAAGCACTCACAGAGGGCAGGAGGTCCAGGTAATGAAACGTTCCTCATGCCTTTTGCTCCTTCTAGGAAAGGGTTTGAGATTCCCTCCCGCACCCTCCCCTAACAAGACAGATGCTCTTTTCCCAACCAAATCCCCATGCTAACAGATGTATATTTGTAAGTCAGTTTCACTAGGGCATCTGTGAAGGCAAATTTCCTTATCCAAATATTCACTGGGACAGAGGGCAGTGGTGGAGGAGTGGAGGGAAAAGAACAATAAAATGTTTCAGGGATTGTAATTATTTGTTAAAAATCATTCTTCCTGATTGTGTTGTATTTCAGCATTTGTCAGGTTCTGGTTTTTATAGATACAGATTTTCCCAGGGACCCACGATAATGTCTCCCTGTTGGATATAGACACACTGGGAACTTTAGGAAGACACAGGTCGACCTCTCAACCACTAGGTTTCATAGGAGGTGTGGGAATACTAAAGTTGTCACTCACTGAGATCGAGAGGAGATTAAGCTACATAGAAACTCAGCAAATAAAGCCCAGGGCATCAAATTATGGGAAGGCTTTAAAACCTAGTCATTAAAATAATAATTCATCTTAAAATAGACATTTCTCTAGATGCAAACTACAGGCCTTTTGTCTCCTTAATGCTCATGTATTTCTACTTTTTTATACTCTGAGAAAAATCAGTTTTAAAAAATGTTTTCCCCAGATTATTTATTCCTTATTTTATTTCTATTTGGTTTTTCTCTTTTTTAAATGAGAAACAATAGTGGACAGAAAGCAAAGTTATTGATAGAAATCAACGATTAGAAATGAAAGCTATTTTTTGTTCTTGGCGTGGCAAATAAAGAGCTAACCTGTGTCCCTACCCAAATCTCATCTTGAATTGTAGCTCCCATAATTCCCATGTGTTGTAGGGGGGACCTGGTGGGAGATCTTTGAATCGGGGGGGTGGTTTCCCCATACTGTTCTTGTGGTGGTGAATAAATCTCACGAGATCTGATGGTTTTATAAGGGGAAACCCCTTTTGCTGGGTTCTCATTCTGTCTTGACTGCTGCCATGTAAGACGTGCCTTTCACCTTCTACCATGATTTTGAGGCCTCCCCAGCCATGTAAAACTGTGAATCCATTAAACCTCTTTTTCTTTATAAATTACCCAGTCTCAGGTATGTCTTTATCAGCAGCGTGAAAACGGACTAATACAGTACTACACTAAACCCTTAATATACACCACTTCCTATGAACCTCACAATGGTGCTCTGATTTAGGTTGTTACTATGTCCATTTTACAGATAAGGAAACTAAGACTTCAAGACTTTCTAGTGCTTAATAGCATGGACTTTGGAGTTTGGGTTTAACTCTGGCAACTTACTAGTTTTAGGAATCTGGACAATGTCCTTTCTCCTTATCTGTAAAATAAGGATAACTGTGGTATGACCCTCGTTGGCTTATTGTGAGGATGAAATGAGCTTTTTCATGTAAGGCACTGAGAAAAGAGTTTGGTATGCCACAGGTTCTCGGTTAATGCTTGTTATTATGATCATTCCTCAGGGTCACACAGCTAGTTGTGACCATTTGCTCTCATCTGTCAGCTGTGCTAAGTTCGAATTGCCATGAGCACTGGAAACCTGCTTGCTCCATACAACTCCACTGCTGTCCAGCACAGTGCCCAGCTCCTGGCAGGGACTCCATAAATATTTACTGAACTAATGAATCACTGTCAGACTCCACATCCCAAGCTTATAACTGCTCTGCCATATCACATCTCAAAATGTTATCTTCTAAGTGAAGAAAGCTGAAACTTAGGTAAAGTTCATTTGCCCAAGATCCTACAGGATCCTGCAAGATCCTGGTTCTTTGCAACTGCTGGAGCAACCTGTTCTTCCTTTCCCTGAATCAAAAGTACACATATTTCAGAGTCTCTTCCTTGCTCTGTTGTCACTGTTCACTTATGAATACAAGAAACCTTGTTTAAACTTCCACTCATACTGCAAGCAGTGTCTTGAAACACATAAGCAACCTTAGTTACAGAATCCAGTTAATTTTGCTTCTTATGGGGGTATAAATCTGGGCAGCTGTAACTTAGGGTAAGAATCTTGTCTTAACATCTTTTTTTTTTTTTTTCGAGACAGAGTCTCATTCTGTCATGCTCAGGCTGGTGTGCAGTGGTGCGATCTCGACTCACTGCAGCCTCCGCCTCCTGGGTTCAAGTGACTCTCCTGTCTGAGCCTCCCGAGTAGCTGGGATTACAGGCTCCCGTCACCATGCCCAGCTAATTTTGTATTTTTAGTAGAGATGGAATTTCACCATGTTGGCCAGGCTGGTCTCAAATTCCTGACCTCAGGTGATCCACCCACCTCCGCCTCCCAAAGTGCTAGGATTACAGGCGTGAGCCACTACGCCTGGCCATCTTAACATCTTTAATGGAAGCTGCTAAGGAGAACATTTTTAGGCGCTACTTCTCAGTGTCTTTTAATTCAAATACATAACACATGCACACACACACACACACACACACACACACACACGTGCTGCCCAGTGGGAATGTGAAGAGGAAACTGTGCAATTAGTATCAATGAGTATTGTAGATAAATGACTACGAAGTCAAATCACATAAATCCAATTTCAATTCTTCGACCATGGACTTGTTCCTTCTAATTTAAAATTCATACTCATTTTAATATATTAATGAGAGTGAATTACATTCACTTACCATTATCTCACTGAGGCCCAGAAATAACATTTGTTACAGTGCAAACTGAATAGTACTTTGTGGGTGTCTGCTGGAAGAGGATGTGAGAAACTACTACAAGGGAATTAACCCTTGCAGTCCCCTGGCCCTGCGCACCACTATAACCCTCTGTCTGAGAATGAATTCCAGCTGGGCAGATGTTGAATTTCAGCTGGGCAGCTGCGTAGATCTCCCTGGCAACCACCAATTACCAAGTTATACCTTGTTTCCAGCCACAATACCTTGACTGTATTAGTATTTAGAGTTTCAGCACTTCTGAAAAAATGCCACTGTCACTACCCCTTGCCAGTGTCCCTGTGAAGTTTGCATTTGTGCACAATATTAGATTGGTACAAAAGTAATTGTGGTTTTGCCATTACTTTTGCACCAACCTAATATATATTTGTGTGTGTATGTGTGTATGTTTCAGAAATTCACTAACTCCAGGAAAGTAAATTTGAGTAATGTGAACAACAAGGCTGTATTTCCAGTCTGGGAAGGTTCTCCTTTAGATGCCATCATGTAGAAATAGTTATCTAGGTTTGGCATTTTAACCTGAAATGAAGTATTTCTCGTTTGCTTTGCTAAGTCGGAATGTACAATGCATTTTCACTTGTTGTTTATTTATCCATTTATTCATTGCTACTATGCAACAAATAATTTTCTAAAGAATATACTTTTCTCTAAATGAGCTAATAAACATAAGAATACTGTATTTACAAACTGACCACTATTAGAGCAAATGCTAAAGTGATACACACATCCAGGCACAGTTTGTTACCTTTAGCACTGATCCCTAACCAGATAAAAATCATAATTTAATCCAATCCTGGCCTCACTCAGGCCCAAGGAAAAACTAGCTTGCTAATTATCTTTGTCTTCTCTTCAGCTTAAAAATATTTCTAGGGAATATTCTAGAATTTAGTGTTGTGGTTTGTTTTCAGCAGCCTCAGCAACTCTGGGGAACTTGTTAGAAATGCAGTATCTCAGGCCACTTCGGAGCCACTGAATCAAGGCTGGACATTTTCATATGATCCCTGGGGGATTCATGCACATATTAAAATTCGAGAAACACTACCGTAGACAATAGCTAGTCCTGTTTTAACAGAAAAGCCACTCTCTAAATTTTGCAAGGAAGGCCACATTGGTCCTTCTAACTTCCTCTCTATTCCCTGGTAAACCTCAACTCTCCTAGAGTCAATCTCTCTGTTCTGACATAGTAGCTGCCTCAATAGCTTAGAGGTCTTTTCACCAAGACTGCTTCTCTCTGAGTGTCAACACACACCTGCTAACTCTAGATTCATCACACCCAGCAAAGAGTGCGATGGAATGTGGCTTACCTCCATGCTCAGCTCATGATGGTAGCACTACTGTTAACAATGGAACAAAGCCATTGTTATAGAGGCCCACATACTGCCTGCTCTTTTGTCCATTTGATATAAATTCCAAGAGGTTCATTGATTCCTTGCCTCTCTCCTGCTTGGTTTGGAGCTCCTGAGCATGTCCATTCAGACTTAATTCCGTGTCTGCCTTGCTGAATTGCTGCAGGATGAATGTCTAGGTCTTGGCCCATTTACAAATCTAATCAGTAGAAAAGCTGCGGGTGGCAAAGTGGTCAGGCTGACCTGACTGTGCAGCAGATTCCTTCCGGAAATTTGCTAATCTATGATCTTGAATCCTATCCAGGCAGCCCCCAGCCAGCTTCCTCCTCCAAGCTTTTACCCCTTCCACCCAAGACTGTTAGACTCAGTACTGATAGTCTCTTGTGTTGAAAAATAAAAAAGACTAAGAAAAGACATATTATAGATATAGAGTGATATATATTATCCAGCAAATGCCCATCTTCCTTTCCCTAGCCAAATGAGATTATTTTTTCTTCTCCTATCGGGTATTTTGCACCACTGTATTTGCAGATTAATTCTCCGCTTGTAAATGAATGCTTTTCTTCCTAATAACCCTATTAGGCTTCTAAAAATCATTCAAAGGTTTAAAAGGACTATACTTTTTTCCTCCTAAATCTATCTATCTATCTATCTATCTATCTATCTATCTATCTATCTATCTATATCTGTCTATCTATATTATCTATTTCTCTGTGTGTGTGTATATATATATATATTTTTTTTTTTTGAGACAGTATCACTCTGTTGTCCAGGCTGGAGTCCAGTGGTGCAATCCCAGCTCACCATAACCTCCACCTCCCAGGTTCAAGTGATGCTCATGCCTCAGCCTTCTGAGTAGCTAGGATTACAGGCGTGTGCTACCACCCGCAGCTAATGTTTTGTATTTTTAGTAGAGACACGGTTTCATTATGTTGGCAAGACTGGTCTTGAACTCCTGGACTCAAATGATCCACCCACCTTGGCCTCCCAAAGTGCTAGGATTACAGGCATGAACCACCTCTCCCAGCCCCTAAATATTTTAAAGTGCTTATACAGATACAAAATTATTTCATCAATCTATCTAATGGGATCCTTCATGTGTTGTGGGATGTAGCAGCAATAGTGAACTAATCACATTTATGGTGAATCTATTGGGTAGATCTCCACAATGTGTCTTGCAGATGACACATTCAATGGTTATCTGAACATGGCTATGTACTTAGCTGGTATAAACTAGCATGGCAACCAGTCCTTGACCTGTGCAACCCATGTAGTTTTGCAGCCTTGGAGCTGATGCTCTTCCTCCATGAAGGCTAAACTAATGAGTAGTGAACAGCAAGGTCATCTTGGGCCTGGTTAGCTGTTTTTATGCAAGTATAAATTAAAAATTCTACAGCACATTTTTCAGATCGTGTCACTCACAAAAAATGGCGACATTCGTACGGTGCACTGAGGTCACCTGGAGATAATTCATATCCCCTAACAAGCCTGCTGTCATGAAGATGACCACTCATGGGCCTCTGGCCACCCAGCCCCAGCTTGGTCATGTGGCAATGGGGTGTCAGTATCTCAGAGCACACTGTTTGGGAGTGTTTGTTCTCCTCAGAACAAATGCCACCGAGTGCCACCTGAGGGCAATTTTTCACACTCTGCCACTGAAATGGGAGGGTTCCCTTATTCCCCTTGCAGGACGTGTGACAGGGGTGTGGTTCACCCTGTGAGTTGCCCCTCTGCCCTGCTGCTCAAACCCCTAGGGGGAGCATGCAGACATGCAGTGCAGAGGCTTTTGGGGGTGGGTGCTGTTGAGCTCCAGGCCCATGGCAGCATCTAGGAGTGGGTGTCTACGACTCCCGAGGCCGCAGTGCACATGTGTTATAGTGTATTCTTTCAGCTTTGCCGTCTGCCGACAGCTTGTGTTAATCAGCTAAATGGAACCTCTGCCTTATCGCAAGGGCAGGGGCCAGTGTGACAGTGTGAGTTCTTGCCCAGTGTACTGGAAGAACTGGATCCCATGTGGGCTGGAAGGATGAGTACAAGGTTTTATTGAGCGGTGGAGGTAGGTCTCAGCAAGATGGATGGGGAGCCGGAAGTGGGGATGGCTTGGGAAGGTGGTCTTCCCCTGGATTTGGCCACCCAGCAGCCAGACTCTTCTCTGACTGCCCCCAGTTGAACTCCCCTCAGCATCCAGAGATCCTTCTTCTTCTCTCTTTCTCTGCCATGCAGCCCCACCGCTCTCTGCTGCTCTGTTCCTCTGCTCCTCTCGACGTTCAGCTGCCTGTGTCTGTGCCTGCTAAGGTCTCGAACTTAAAAAGACACAGGGTGGGGGGCGTGGTGAGCCAAAACAGAAATGCCCGTCCTCACATAGGGCCACGGGTCTTCAGGCTTGAGGGTGGGACCTTTGCCAGGGAACTGCCCTCTTCTACCCAGTATTTCCCTGTCTCCTGTGTGTATCACCACTACTTACCATACCCAGTGCTTTTTCTCAATGCCACCTTCCTATATCGTGCAATTCCTCTGCCTGTCTTCTTCCTTCTTCCTCTCTCCTTGACCACCACTTATGTCTGGTATGGGAGCTGTTAGGGTAATGAAGTTGTTCCTACCTTTAAAGGCTGGATCACACATGCAGATGACAGTGAGGCACGTGCTTGGAGGGCGGACGGTGACAATGCTTGTTGCTGCGGGCCAGGAGAAGGGTATGTTCTTTTTGTTTTTGAGACGGAGTCTCGCTCTGTCGCCCAGGATGGAGTGCAGTGGCGAGATCTCGGCTCACTGCAAGCTCCGCCTCCCGGGTTCACGCCATTGTCCTGCCTCAGCCTCCTGAGTAGCTGGGAGTACAGGCGCTCACCACCACGCTCGGCTAATTTTTTGTATTTTTAGTAGAGACGGGGTTTCACCGTGTTAGCCAGGATGGTCTCGATCTCCTGACCTCGTGATCCGCCCGCCTCGGCCTCCCAAAGTGCTGGGATTACAGGCGTGAGCCAAAGCGCCCGGCCAAGACATGTTCTTAAGAGGAAGCCCTGCAGAAATAACCTCCTCTGAGGTTATGCACAAGTCAGAGACCATTGCAGTCATCACTCGTCTCACATTTTTTTGGAAATGAGGTTTCTCAGTCCCATCATGCCAGGTCAGTGGATACTTCCAGGACAAACATTTTATGAAACTGAGAGCGATCTTGGAATTTCCTCCATTGCATGTTAGAAGTACATACTATCTTGTTGCGTAGTCTGAAAAGTCTGCCACCCACCTACAGAAGCAAAAATTCTAAAAGAAGGTCCTTATCTTTTTTTAGCCTCAAAGAAATAGATTTCCAATATTCTCAAAATGCTGGAGTATTCCTGCTACATTTGTATATATTTCACAATAAAATAGCACTTGGCATTTCTCAAATTTGAAAATTATATTCACTTATTTCAAAGAAAATACAATTCTCAAGAATCCCAGAAAATAAATGCTGACTTTAGAAACTAGTCTGTTTCACAAAAACATCTCTTAGTTGCAAATTGCCATTGCACTAAGAATGTAATATTTTTACTTTATATTAGGAAAAATTTCAAATATATACAAAAGTATACAGACACAAGTGATATAAGCAGGCGATACGCATACCGTCACCCCGTTTCAACAATGACCGTTCATGGCTAATCTTGCTTTTCCCTTTACATGTACTTTGATTGAATTACTATAAGGCAAATCCTAGACATCGTTATCATTTTGTTTGTAAACATTTCAACATGAATCTCTAAAAGACAAAGACTATTTTTTCACAAGATAAATCACAATTCCATTATCTCATTTAATTTTTCACTGTAATTAAATATCTAGTCTGTTACATTTTCCCAGAATATCTCATAAATGTTTTCGTTACAATTGATTTGTTCAAATCAGAATTCAACTTTTTATCTTATAACAAGTAAATAAGCAAATGTTTACTATTATCGTCAGAATAAAAACACCATCTTTTTTTTAAAAAAATTGGGGGATTATTTCCTAAACTCTAGGCCCACAAAATCAGTGGATCAAAGTTTGTGAAACATTTGTGCAAAAGTTAAGTGTGGGCTTGGGAATGAAATCAGTTCTGGGTTTGAATCTTGAGTCCTGACTGCTGTTTAATCCCAGCCTGTCTTGGAGTTTCTGAGGAATTCTGACTGAAATGATTACTGACTGCAGCTTCAGGTGACAACCATCTTACTGATGGTCAGTGCGTGCTAGCTAGGTGACTTTGAGCATCTCACAAATGAACAACTTCTTTCATAAATAAAGTTACGACCATCTTGTACTCTCATGCAGGGTCACCAGATAAAACACAAGAGGCTCAGTTACATATGAATTTTAGAAAAACAACAGATTTTCATAAGTATATCCCGAGCAAAAATCCCAATGTCACTGAGCCTCCAGTGTTTTTATTTGCTAAATCTGGCAGTGCTGCCTTCATGGTTATTTTGTGGCTTTCATGGGGTGACACATGTAAAGTGCTTAACACAAAGCCTGACACATCGTCACTGCATGATCGACATCAGCTGTTCCGCAGAGTCCACCCTTCGGGAGAAATGGGAGGGAGGGGCCCCTCCTTGGGCTCCCATCTGCTCTCTGCTTTGTTTGAGGACTGCTCCCCAGGTGGGAGACAGCCATCTTCTCCTAGCTAGAAGTTTGAGTTACAGCCAGTAATTACCTCCTGTAGGATTCCAAGTCTAGCTAAAGCATTGTAGTTTGCTTCAGCAGCCTGCCATGTTTCTGATAACAAAGATATTTCTGACTTCTACTTAAAAATTGAGAGCTCTGGCAGCTCTGGGACTACACTCCCACCTGGCACCCATCAGGGGAGCTGTGTAGCAGCTGCTCCCTTTAGTTGGGCATGTGCTTGCCAGTTTGCCATCTGGTCCATTCACCTACTCAGATCACTTGCCTGGACCCTGTGGGTATTTGAGTTTGCTACCGCCGTGCCTCATCCCCAGCCCTCTCCCTCTGCTGCATCTTTGGCTCCAGAAAATGCTGAGCATTTTCTGTATAGAGAGGAGAGGCTGGGGGTTGGAGAGCGGGGTTTGCTAGGAGAAAAGGAGAAAAAAAATGATCCAAAGACAACATCTTTAATGGCCCAATTCAAGCAACTGTGAATTGCATTGCCCATGACGCAGAAAAAAAAAAAAAAAAAAGAGAGAGGGGTTTAGTACGAATAAGAATGGAAACAGACAAACCAAAAAAGGGAAGGGCAGTGTGGTTATGAGTCTGGCTGGGGTTTAAGGGGCTCAGGAAGAAAATAGAGAAGCAGATGAAAAAAGACAAGTAACCAAAAACTGCAAGGAATGAGGAGGTTAGCTAATAGGAAGAAAAGAGAGAGAAGAAATGACAGGTTCATACTAACTATTAGAAACAAACATTTTCCTCAGTGGAGTAGAGTCTCTGCAAATAGAATCCCGGCCTGTCTTGGAGTTTCTGAGGAATTCTGATTGAAATGATCACCAACTGCAGCTTCAGGTGGCATCCATCTTACTGATGGTCAGTTTGTGCTAGAATCCAGTTTGGGATCTGAAGGGTAGCGAATGGGATTTAAGGCCTTTGCACCTCATGTGTCTTTCCCACTGGTGTGCCCAAAAGCTGTTGACAGAGTGACTTTGAGACATGGTGTTGCAATGACTGCTTCAAATGGACCTTTATGTGGTTCCCAGCCTTTCTTCTTACTCACTGAAAGCAGCTTCTGAAAGATCCTGTTTCTCCCAAATGGGCATGCAATTATTGGAAAGAAAATCTGCAGAAGGGAATTCTGTCATGTAAGAGCTGCTTTGAGAAAGAGGAAATAAGGGTCTTTGCCTTCTGGGGGAGAATAAGCAACTTCATAGGGAGGAGATATACCATGTTCAGCAAGAGCCCTCCTGAAGCACATGATTCTCTGGGCTTCAGTCACCTAGGCAAAGGACCATCCCTCTCTAGTGGGGAGGTAGCTTCCTCATCCATAGGCAGCTGGTTTCATCAAGACGAGAAGCACAGAGGTTAAAAACAATGTGGGGGAATGATGGAACTTATTGTACAGGAACTCAGACTATCTCTGTTTATGCAATTGGCATTACATGCCTTTCTGTAAATAACAATGCAATTGTCATTACATGCCTTTCTGTAAATGTGACAGATTTTTCCACCTGGATCTTGCACATTTCTTATTAGGATATTCCTAAGCATCTTCTTTTTTGTTTCTGATGAGAATGGAAGTCCTTTGAAATTGAAATTCTCACTTGGTTATTTCCAGTGAATATCCTGCTATCTACATTTGTATGTAAATTTTGAATCTATATATCTTGCTGAACTTTTTTATTAGCTGCAGGAGTCAACTTGTGAATATTTTATTTAGGATGTTTGTACCTTTTTCATACGTGTGATTTGCATGTCATTTTCTCACGCTCTCCTTGTCTAGTTTTGCCATCAGGGTTATGCCAAACTCATTAAATGAATTAGAAGGAATCTCTTACTTTAGCTCTGGGATAATTTACACAGTATTGGAGGTATCTCTTCTTAAGAGATTGGTAGAATGTACTTGTCCAAATTTCAAACCGAGTGGCATTTATTAGGAATATATCTTTGATCACTGTCTTTCAGGTTTCCTGTGGGGTGTGTGTGTTTGTGTGTGTGTGGGGGCAGGGGAGTGTTTCATGTCAGATCTTCTTAAGCCAAATTTTGATTAATTTTTTCTCTACACAGAAAATCATCTTTCTCATTTATATTTTCTATATTTAAGGCAAAGTCACAAAAAGTATTCTTCATTGTTTTAAAAATCTGTATCTTGAGTCCTGCTCTTTGTTAATTCTAATTTTTCTTATGTATGTGATTTCATCTTGTTCTTGATGACTTGCCAAAGATTTGCCAATTTTATTCAGCTTTTGTAAAGTACCAAGCATTTGTTTTGTTCATCCATCCTACTAATTTTTTTAAATAACATTTTGCTTAATTAGTTGATTTTTTTCTTACTCCTTAGGTTTGACTTTGTTATCTTCTTAACTCTTTTAGTGCCAGATTAGTTTACTTATTTTCAATTGTTCCTATTGAATTAGACTTCTTTTACTTACCCACTTCTACTGAGTATTTATGTTTTAGGTGGAGCAGACCCGCTCCTCATTCAAAATGGTCACATTGAAGTTAGTGGACTCTTGCTTCTTAGCAAAGATGCTCATTTTCTCTTAGGGTTGGTGAACTGAGGGTGGATAGGCCACGCACTGCAGCTGATTACTATTTTGCCACTACAGAAAGAACCTGCCTAAGAACAAAGGCAGCACAGAGGAAATAGGAATTGATGGTGTTTTTTGAGCACCTGGATCTAACCATGTTCGAACTCTACTCTGGACTCTAATTATGTAAGCCAAGTTTTTCCATTTGCTTAAGCCGGTTTGAGTTGGGTTTTAGACTCTTGTAACTAAGGAATCCTGCCTTGTCTTTGAATAAGGGCTTTTAGGCTTATCTATTTTTTTTTTTTAGCATATTGACTATATGCTGCGGGTTTTGATATGTTGTACTTACTGTATAACATTTCTAAACATGTAGCTAATAATTCTTATTTTAAATTTCCCTTTAACTTGAAAGGATTTAGAGTTTTAAAATTCTAGTTTGATAATTTTTAATATATTTTTTGTTTCTGTCTATCTCTATAATATTAATTTTATTGCATTATTAGTGAATGTGGCTTAATTTTTGCTTGATTGGGAATTTCAGAATTTGTTGAGATTTTCTTCCCATTAATACATGAGCAGCTTTAGGAATGTTTTATGTAGGTTTAACAAATATCCCAGCACTGTTCGGAGGCCGAGGCAGGAGGATCACTTGAGGCCAGAAGTTCAAGACCAGTCTGGGCAACATTGTGAAAAAAAAAAAAAATTAGCCAGGTGTGTCCCAGCTACTTGGAGGGCTGAGGTGGGAGGATCGCTTGAGCCTGGGAGGTAAAGGCTGCAGTGATTCATGATTGCACCACTGCACTCTAACCTGGGTGACAGAGTGAGACCCTGTCTCAAAAAAAGATCATATATTTCTTATGTCTGCACAGATATAATTTTGGTTTTTGTATAAGTATTGTTTTGTAAACAGTAATATATACATATAGATTAAGGTTATTAATTGTATCATTCAGATGCTGTGTATCTGTCTATCCATTTTTGTGGGAAACACTTTAAAATCTTTCTTTAAGATTGTGAATTTGTTTATTATTCTTTGTGTTTGTGCCAGTTGTTGCTTTATGTAGCTCAGGCAATTTGTTGGTTATATTAGAGTTCATGTTATAATTTCCTAGTTAATCGTAACTCTTCACAATATGAAATACAATCTCTTTGTTTCTTTCATTGCCTTTTCTTTTGCCTTGCATTCTATTTTGTCTGGTATTGTATTGTCACACTTGAGGTTTTTTGTTAGCATCTGTTTTGCAAAACTTTTTCAACCTTTCTGTATCATAATTGCATCTCTGGCAAGTAACATATAGTTGCATTATCTTATTGTTTTTGTTTTGTATCCAGTGTGAGAATATTTAGCAGGTGAACGTAATTCACTTATTTTATTGTAATTGCTGGTATGTTTACTTTCTGAAAGTAGAAGTAAAATTGAACCAATTAGTGCTATAGTTCCACACAAGGAAATATTCTTCTAAAATTATTTCCCTAAAGTTATGTTCTTAAGATTTTCTTCCCTTTCTTCTTTCTATCCTTTTCCTTAAGGTAGATGTTACCATATTTGGATATGTTCTCTAAGACCTTCCTTTCCCATTTTCCATCTTTCTGTCATTTGGAACTATCTTCTTAGAGAACTTTTTAGCTCCATTCTCCAGCACACCGCTTTTAAGATTTATCTATTTGCTATTGATCCATCTATTGAAATTGTTATTTCAATAATTATGATTTTTATCTTCAAGTCCCCTATTAGTCATACAACCTGATTTTGCTTCGGGAATGTGTGATATCCTATTCCTTCTGAAGATATTATTCATAATGACATCTCTTTTCATCCTCCCATCTCTTTCCTCTATTGGCTCTGTTTTCTTTTATTTCAGTTCTCCTGTTTATAAGTTATAGTGTCTCTCTTAAGTTGTTTATTTACCTAAAATGTTACGTAATTTTGGTTGTGGTTCACATTTGCATTTGAGATTCTCTCCTGCCTGTTTGTAAATGCTACATCTTGTCAACCTCACTTGTCCCAGTGATGTAAGGAAGGGGGAGGGTGTGCTGTCAGGGTGTGTTCTAATCAATAACTGGTATCCTGGGTCTAGGTCTCCCATGCTCCCCCTGGCTGTGAGCTGCTTCTGGGTCCGAAGTGCTCACAGCCACTCCTGAATGTAACTGAAGGGAAACATTCCCGCCTGCCATTTTGTGACATCCCAACCTTTCATGCTGTTGTGCTTTGTGCCACGTGGAAGCTAAAAACACCCTTAGCTTCCAAGGGTGTTCCTGGAACTACACCCACCATAGACAGCAGGCTTCTTCTCTCTTTGGGCTTCATTTATTTTATTTTATGAATATCCAATTTTTAAATGTGCTGGATCAAAATAGTTTGCAGCCCCCTGACACATCGCAGGATCACATAATAGAATTGACTCCTTTCATAACCTTAGTTTCAGAAGGTCTCACATTTGTATTACATAATTTAAAATATTTACACTTTGAATTTGCTTCAGACTGTCCCTTTAAAAAACAAGGAAACATTTTCCAATTTAAAGTGAGATGTTTCTTGGAATTATGTTGCACATTTCACTGTGTTCCAGAGGGTTTATAATTAATAGTCAAAGCAGCACCTGCTCTAAATCTTAATTGCTTTCTTCCCCACGAAAACTGATTCTGCAAGTGTTGGTGAATTGATTTGTGCTACATAAGAATGGCTGCAATCTCGGCTTTGGCATACGCAGTTTAGAAAACTGAACCCAGTATTGAAATTTTTCCCAAGGAAAAAATTAATTATATTTGTTTCAGATATTCAAGTCAAGTACCTGCGAATGGCTGTGATGGCAACAGTACCATTATTACCATTTTGGGTCACCCATGACTCAGGGGGTGAGGTCTATGTTCAGACATCTGAAGAGATCCAGAAAGTGTTATAATTTATCTGATAACAATAGAAACGTTCTAGAATTCAGTAACTTTGTTTAGCATAAACTGTCTGCAATAGATTGAATGTTTGTGTCTCTCCCAAATTTATATGTTGGAATCCTAAACCTCAATGTGATGGCATTGGAACTTGGGGCCTTTGGGAGGTAATTAGGTCATTACCTTATAATGACCTGGTGTAAGGGACCACAGAGAGCTCTCTCACACTCTGTTATACCTTATGAGGGTTCGAGGAGAAGTGGGTGATCTGTAACCCAGAAGAGAGCTCTCACCAGAACCTGACCTTGCTGGCACCCTGGTCGTGGACTTCCAGCCTCCAGAACTGTAAGAAATCAGTTTCGGCTGGGCACAGTGGCTCATACCTGTAATCCCTGCATTTTGCGAGGCTGAACTGGGAGGATTGCTTGAGGCCAAGAGTTCAAGACCAGCCTGGGCAATATGGTGAAACCCCATGTCTACAAAAAAATACAAAAATTATCCAGGTGTGGTGTTGCACACCTGTAGTCTCACTACTTAGGAGGCTGAGATGGGAGAATTGCTTGAGCCTGGAAGGTGGAGGTTGCAATGAGCCAAGATCATGTAGTTGCCCTCCAGCCTGGGTGACAGAGTGAGACTCTGTCTAAAAAAAAAAAAAAGAAAAAGAAAGAAAAAAAGAAAAAAAAAAAGAAAATTTCTGTTGTGTATTGTGTATAAGCTACCTAGTCTATGGTACTCTATTATAGCCATCCAATCTGATGAAGACCCTGCCCTAATTCCCTTTGTATTCAGCCTCCTCATCACTTTCATTTCAGTGCATCCCTCTGTGTAATGGGGTCCTGGGATCCAAGTCCACCTGTGCCAGTCACGGATGTGCCTGTGAGTCCATCACTCACCTTCCTTGAACCTCGTCTTGCTCATCCTACAGAAGGGTTCAGAGTCAGGCTTGGCAAATGCACAGCCTGCAGCTGTAGTAGAGTTGGCATCAGCTTTAAGACTCTGTGAATAAGATTTAATTCAGAAAATATTTACGGAAATACCGCTTTTGTAAATTAAACTGCATTAAAAAGAATATCTTCCATTACTTTTTCTTTTTTAAAAAGTCACATGTATTTGTTTCAGAAGAGAAAAAGAGACAGAGAGAGAGAAGCGAACGAAGTAAATTTCCTGCACTGCTTTAGTTATAGCCTTCAATACTTAATCAGCTGCATTTTAAATGTCCTAGGGGGATGCGGACCTTAAAAGAAGCAGAAAATGAATTCTTTTGTAATATGAATGCTTGATTTGTTAGCTCAATTTTTCATGTAGTAAATTTACTCTTAAAAGTATTCAGTGGTATTTCTTGTGATAGACTCATCCTTTCGTTCAGAAAACCCTTCAAGGGTCCTTCTGCTGGAAGACCATTTCTTGTCCCTACTTCTTTCTGTGTCACCTCTTGAGTCAAGACTACTCTTTTTTGTGTATAATTGCAGGTGTTTTTGTTTCAATTTCACAGTGTGGGGCAAAAGGCCCACTTGTCTTTTGATTGGCTCACCATCCGTGCATTTAAGGGCCCTAAGTTGCAGAAACTCTGGTGACTCAGTGCAGACAATGAGATACCAGTCAAATACCTAAGTGAGCTTTATTGGTGTTGCATTATAAATCTATTCTCTAAAGGAAGCATTTTTAAAACATGATTTACTTTGGGGGTGAATTTATTGCTTTTTTCCCAGTCCCTTGGGTGGAGAGGTAGGTGAGGGGCCAGGACAGCGAACTGATAATTGCTCCAGAGGGGCTGAGGGAGAGAGCTGCCAGCCTCACTCTGACCATGTATTTCATTAAATGCTTAAGTGGAGTAATCAGATTCAAGCGCAGACCAAAGAGGCGCTGGAAGACTTGAAAGGCATAGGTCATGTCACATCTCAGGTCTTATTGTAGCTGTTGTTCTGACATCCCCTATCTGAATGTAGAACAAGGAGGCCCATTATTAGTCTGCCCTGAAGGAACGATCATCATAAAAGGAAGCCAGGCTGATTAATTCAGTCATGGTCTTTTGGATTCCCAGTTCAGCTTCTCATGTTAATGAAACATGCGTAGTCGTTACAGTAGCTGTTGAAATTACCTGTCATATTTACGGTTTACCACAGCCTTTTCTTCTGAGGTTTCTAACAAAATGACAGGGATTTCCCAGTAGTCTCGTTCTTTATTTCTCTGGGTTTATTTGAGATGACAGTAGATGCAAGATGTGAGTTTTAAAAATGTCTATTTTTCCAAAAGAAGATTTATTTGATTCTCCAAAAACGTCTTCTTTTGTATAAAAAGATAGCTATTCACAGTATTGTCTTATTATCATAAGTATAGCATGTCAAAGCACGTTGATTAAAGCAACCAAGTGCACAGTGCTCAAACACAAGTCACCCTCGCAAGGTTTTCAATAGATTGGCAGTATAAATGTAGGCATATATATCTCAAATATATGTACATTTTATATGATGATTTTAGGTCTCGACATAAATTTTGGAGGCTGTTTTATTTGCTTGGTGCATATTTACAAAACATATCCTGAAGAAAATATGAGATCGGTATTTATAATTTCTAATGTACTTTAGACATCAGCTTTATAGCATTAATTATTAATATACTATTGGAAATAATTATAAAATGCTGGAAGCTCTGTAGTCATTTGAATTTATCTACAGTGAGTTTTTAAGGGTTTAATCAGTCATTACTATTATTATTTATTTTTTTTTGAGACAGAGTCTCGCTTTATTGCCCAGGCTGGAGTGCAGTGGCATGATCTCGGCTCACTGCAACCTCTGCCTCCTGGGTTCAAGAGATTCTCATGCTTCAGCCTCCCAAGTAGCCGGGACTACAGGCACACACCACCATGCATGGCTAATTTTTTGTATTTTTTGGTAGAGATGAGGTTTCACCATGTTGGCCGGGCTGTTCTCGAACTCCTGACCTCAAGTGATCTGCCCACCTTGGCCTCCCAAAGTGCTGAGGTTACAGATGTGAGCCACCACTCCCAGCCATCAATTATGTATTAAGGGATTTCTCTGCATTGTGTGAGTGAAATAAGACACTATTTCTAGGTTGTAGGGAAATGATGCTTCAGTAGAGGGACAGCATCTTTTGCAGAAAGGGGGCAATGAACTGCTACAGATACGGATGATGGGTAGATATTCAGGCCAAATACAACTGGGCCACTAGGTGAAGGATCATTAGTCCATATGGAGGTAAAAGAGAGAGCTCAATTCTCATGCAACGACCCTGGGTGAATCTTCAATTTGGTCTCACACGGTGACATTCTGACCCACAACGTAAGAACAGCACATAAATGCAACCTACTTAATGTTGACTCCAGGAGTGGGACGAGTGCAGTCAGTGGGTTCCGGCTACTTCCCTAACTTTCCCCACATAGTTGCATCTCTTCCTAAAAACTGCCCAGCTGTGACCAACTCCTGGTCACTTATTTTATACCAAGAGGAACACAGAGAGTTCTCCAGGCTCCTCACAGAGACAGGGTTTGGCCAGGCATGGCGGCTCACGCCTGTGATCCCAGCTATTCGGGAGGCTGAGATGGGAGAATCACTTGAACCCGGGAGGCGGAGCTTGCAGTGAGCTGAGATCGCACCACTGCACTCCAGCCTGGGCAACAGAGCAAGAGTCCGTCCCCCCCGCCAAAAAAAAAAAAAGGAAAGAGAAAGAAAAAAAACTCAGAGATAGGCTCTACTTAATTATTGTTCTCGTATTTGAATTAAAGGACTTACCTGTTTCTGGTTAGAAATTGATGGACATTTTCCTTCCTTGGGTGGGTTAAAAAAATAGCAGCCATGATTTGTATTAGCCTCTTTGGTTTTCTCTGCTACTTGTGTTTTTCTCAGCAGTTTGTCATTTAATGTGTTAAAGTCATGGTTCTCAATCGGAAGTGATTTTGTCCCCCAGAGGACACTTGGCAATGTCGGGAGACATTTTTGTTGTCACAGCCAGGAGGCAGAGTGGTGCGAAGATGTGGAAGAGGCCAGGGATAGTTAATAAGCACCCTACAATACACAGTAGAGCTCCCCCAACAGTTTTCCAATCCAAATTATCAATGGTGCCAAGGTAGAGAAACCCTGTGTTAGAGAATAACATGATCTTTTCAAAGCATGAGGCTGGGGGAGATGTGAAGATGATGGTCTGAGTGGAAGGGGATAATATTTTTCTAGAGGTCGGTCTCTTGGTTGTGAAAACTTAAAGGCACATCTGCCTCCAGAGACATTTAGCAAAACCTATGGCAAGAGGCAGCAGTGGCTTGCTGACCTGTCTGAAATGGAACTCACTGGATTGTTGCTTCTGTGGGCAATTCCTTCCACCTTCCAACCGGCCCACCATCCATCCACGCACACACCTTCCCCTCTCTTCCAACCCAGTGTCTCTGCTGCTCTTCATTTTCCATACTTTCCCCCTTCTTTTTTTCAGATGGAGTCTTGCTCTTGTCACCCAGGCTGGAGTGCAATGGCACGATCACGGCTCACTGCAACCTCCGCCTCCTGGGTTCAAGCAATTCCTGCCTCAGTCTCCCAAGTAGCTTGGATTACAGGTGCCCACCACCACACCCAGCTAATTTTTGTATTTTTAGTAGAGATGGGGTTTCGCCATGTTGGTCAACCTGGTCTCGAACTCCTGACCTCAGGTGATCCACCCACCTCAGGCTCCCAAAGTGCTGGAATTACAGGCGTGAGCCACCCCAACTGGCCTCATATCCTTTCTTAAATGCTGTTTTATTTCACCATGAAATACCACCCATGAGAAACACAACCCTGGAGCCTGCAACCTAATTCATACAGCTGAATCCTTCTTCAAATTAAAGAATGTTGATGGCAGGAGCCGATAACAACTGCACATTTTTTTTTCTGGCATTCGCAGAGAGACATGTATTTCAAAAAGCTGCCTCTTCTTTCCAATAACCATTAGAGGAAACGTAAAGCAATTTACCCTTTGAAGTTTTTTCATTAACAAAGGGTGGGGGGAAGAGTGGTGGAGAGAAAGAATGAAAAAAGGAACTTTCCTCAAAGGAAATATTCTAGACAGATGACTTGATTTAGGGCTCTTAATGCACTCAGCTTTTTAACAGTCTGAATAACTCAGCAAGACTGAAACAAAGAAGGTTCTAAAAAAGCAACCCGTGGCTGGGACTGTGGGTAATGAAATTTGCTTTGAACAATATGATCACTGTATGTGCATGTTTCAAATGATCACCACAACATACACACAAAAATCTTTGTTCTGTTAATGCTGTTCTAATCTTAGAACCAGATTAGATCTTGTGCTCTTCCCACTGTGGAATTTCGCTTCCCATGGAAATAGTTGCTCCTTCCTTATCCTTACGAGTGGGTAGAAGACAGTATTTCAAGCAGTGAGAGATGTTCTAAGGCGGAGGTGGCGAAGATGTGTGGCATGAACGTCACAGCTGCTGGTCTCTACTCCCTCTCCTTTCCCATGGACAACACTGTAAAATCATCACCACCTCTTTCTGGTTGAGCCCAAACAAGGTCTCAGAATCCTCACATGGCATTTCCTTCTGTTCTAAGACACTCGAAGAAGTCTCACTGTAGACTAGAAGATCTGGCCAGAGGTGTTTAGTGTCCCTTTTCACCCATACAATGCAGCCCAGAATGTTGCTCTTTATGAAATACAGCCAAGCAACTGCACTACTTTAGCTGGACCAGAAGTATCTGTGAATCCTGAATGATCAGGTGAACTACTCAGTTTTCATAACTGTAGTGGACTGATCACAAAACAGCTCCAACCACCCCCTATATCCATACTCTATGAAATGTGATGTTGCAGCTACTCCCATCAAGACATGTGACTGCTTTGCACCTTGTATTTGATCTGATCTAGTGACTTGCTTTGGCCAATAGAATAAAGTGAAAGTGACAATGTGAGGGCTGCCTGGGCCTCAGAGGGCTTCGTGCTCTTCCACTGTGTCTCTGGCTCCTCTGTCCTCCTCCTGACACTGTTTCTACATCCGCTGCTAGCCTGCTGGAGGACGGCGAAGTGGAGCAGAGCCAAGTCAGCCCACTGGGCCTAGCCAAGTCCCCAGATTTGAAAGGGAGCTCAACCAAGATCACCAAAACCACCTAGACTGCCACCACCAACCACAGATGCGTAAGTGTGCCCTGCTGAGTCCAGTTCAGATCAACACATCCAGAGCAGTGAGCAAAAATCCGTGTTTATTACATTATACATCTGAGGTGAGCAGTGGTTTATGAAACAGTAATAGCTAACATACAATAACAAATCTCTGCTCAATTTGCACCTCGTCTATGAAGTATTCTTTTCTTTTTTCTTTTTTTTTTTTTTTGAGACTGAGTCTCACTTTATCACCCAGGCTGGAATACAGTGGCGTGATTTTGGCTCACTGCAATTTCCACCCAGGTTCAAGCAATTCTCGTGCCTCAACCTCCCGCGTAGCTGGAATTACAGGTGCTTGCCACCATGCCCGGCTAATTTTTGTATTTTTAGTAGTAGAGACGAGGTTTCACCATGTTGGCCAGGCTGGTTGCAGACGCCTGACCTCAAGTAATCCACCTGCCTCAGCCTCCCAAGGTGTTGGGATTACAGGCGTGAGCCACTGTGCCCAACTACAAATTATTCTTAACCACTTCAACCATACTGACTTCTTGCTTTTCTGCACACCAGGAAGAACTCACTGACCAAGCCCATGGTTCCCAACTTTTGTTCCAGTAACAAAAACTTTATGTATAACTTTGTGCTATACCTTTAACGCTTGGGAGTTGAAAAAACAAACCATCATGATCACCTGAATTCAGTAACCGTTACAAATGAATATTTATTTTCATAATCACATCACTGTATGCACGTGAAAAGAATAGTATGCATATGTATGAGATATTATGTATTCAGTCAAAAAACAATGTGTGGTTCAGCTGGAGATTCAAAGCCTCCTTATTAAACTTGAGTGTTCTTTGGGAGTCTTGGACCCCAGTGATGGAAAACGTTGGTCCTTGCTTGCTTTTTAACATTTACTCATGCAATATTTGGGAATGTGAGTTAAATGTTCTCCCAGGTATCCTGTGACATTGTTCATGTTTCAGAGGAGGGATTCTGTCTTGTCCTTCCCTCGCCCTGTTTAGTGCCCCACCTTGTAGCACATAGAACCATGTTGTGCACACAACAGCATCAGTGTGGATGAGGCTGGTTCCAGCCACCCAGGCCTTGTGCTATTTGGAAGGCTGTACCTTCTAGTCATTAGACAAGCAGGCTCTGCAGTCAATGGGCCTGGGTTCAATACCTGGCTCTGCCACTTACTAGCTCTGTGACCTGGAGCAAGTCACTTACTTAGCCTCTCTGCCTCAGTCTACTTATCTGTAAAATGGGCATATTCTTATATCCTCATTAGCACCCATCATTTAAGGTTCTTGTGAGGATTAAATGAATTAATACATATAAGACACTTAGCTCATTGCCTGGCACATATTAACATGTTAATTTGTTAATATTAACTTATTAGTAATATAATATAAATATTAACTTAAATTATTGTTAATAATGAAGTCCTTAGAAAGAGTACCTGGTGCAAGTAAATGTCATTAAACATTAGATGTTGTTATTAATGTTGGTATTGTTATTATTACTATGAAACCCTCAAAGTCCCTGAAAATTTTTGATTTGTTTAAAAAGACATTTTGCCAATATCATTGCTAAATATATAATCCATGATCTAACTCAGCAAAGCTCCTCAATATGGTAAATTTGGGGCATAACTTTGGTTACTTTTGGTAGGTGGTACTCGATTTCATGTGGGCAGACAGACCATTCTGAGGAAGCAGCCAGCTCCCTTTCTGTGCAGGAGGGAATATCTGACAGGTCCTTGCAAAGTGTTTTTCTGGTCAACATTCTCTTCTGATCCTTGGAGTTGTTCATGCTCACTTTCTATACTGTGAGCCCTTTCACATTCAGGAGAAAGAGAGGTAAAATCTGGGGACACCTAAAAAGGAGGTTTCTAATGTACTGTTGAAATGATACGGTGTCTGGGATTGATTGCTTCAAAATAGTTACGAGGTTGAGGACAGGAGAGAGCGAAGCTATTAAACCAGATTGGCCATAGATTAATGACTTGAGATTGGATGATGGATACATGAGATTTCATTTTCTTGTTCTCTCTGCTTTTGTGCATACTTAGCAGTTTCCATAATTAAAAAATTTAAAAAAAACCTGCATGTACCCTGTTAAGAGGGCTAAACAAAGAGATTTCATTGTCTTCTAAGATAATGTATTATATTGTCTCTGAACACTTGCTTTTAGTTAAATGTTTCCTTTTACTTATTCTTACATGAGTCTATTCTTCACCTAAGGTTCATTTCTCACGGCCAATGAAAAAAGAGCCCATGACCCCTTGTATTAGTCCATTTTCACACTGCTGTAAAGAAATACCTAAGACTGGGTAATTTAAAAAGCAAAGAGCTTCAACTGACTCACAGTTCCACGTGGCTGAGAAGGCCTCAAGAAACTTACAATCATGGCAGAAGATGATCCCTCAATACCTGGGGATTACAATTCAAGATGAGATTTGGATGAGGACACAGAGCCAAACCATATCATCCCTCATTCATCCACTCTATAAACACTTATTGAGCAACTACTATGGACGGTGTATAAGATAAAGAATGCTTCTCTTCTCTCTCATGGAGTTTATATTTTACTAGGAAAAATAGAGTACAAGCAAATAAGCAAGAAAAATAACAGATAATGAGAATTTTTATAGAGGTGACAATTTTTATAAAGGTGATCCCTTAAACTGAGGGGTTATCTTAAATTAGATGATCGAGAAAGAGCTCCCACAGGAGATAACACTTAAGCTGAGATCTAAAATTTAAAAGAAGCCATCCATCAAAGGTTGGCAGGAAGAACACTCCAGCCAGAAAGGCCAGGCAGTACAAAAGCTTCAAGGCAGAGCAAGCATGGTGATGTTTCAAAACCGGGAAGATGGTGGCCATGCCGGGTGTATGCTGGGCAAAGGGATTGTGGCTCAAGATGAAAGTAGGACAAGAGAGAGGCAGAGGTCAGTTCAGACTTTGAAATCCAGGGTGAGACTCTTGACTTTTATCCTAAGTGTGTTGGAAAAGGAGCTGGAGGGTTTACAGCAGGGATGTGACATGACCTGGCTTCAGATTTAACAAGAATACTCTGCTGCTGTGAGAGAATGAGGTGCAGCAGGACTTATCGCAGGCAGAGCATGTGGGAGCTTTTATGGCCAGTCTTGGCCAGAGAAGGTACTGTTTTAGAGCAGGGCTACAGCAGGGAGGTGATGAGAAGGGGTCCCATCCAGGCTATTTGAGGAGTGGCATTGACAAGTCTCGCTGCTGGCTGGGGTGGAGGTAGGGGGATGGCGAGGGAAGGACAGGAATAACTTTTGCGTTTGGAACTTGAATGACTGGGTGGATGGAGGTGCTGTTTTCAGAAATAGGAAAGACTGAAAGGAGACCAGTCTTTTTTGGCATTTGCATGGGTAGAGGGAGTGAGGGTGGGAGTCATTTGCATGCGCCAAGTGGTTAATACTAAGTAGCTAAACACAGTTGTCTTAAACTCTGGGTAGCAGCTTCTTTCATTGGCCTGATATGTAGATGTGTCAAGAAAACAGTCACCGTCGCAACAGCTTTTTTGAACATGGCCAAGATTACAACTGCTTCTTAAATAAGTTCACAGGATCAAGTATTTGGTAGGGTTTTCTTTTACAGCCTTATGTGCAACGAAGTACATAAGGAATGCCTTTTCATGAGAGCAATAGTGATAATTCATTGGGGAAAGCCGACATTTATCTTATAAACCACAACAGTGTGATGATGTGTGTAACTGCTGGTTTATTGTCTGTCTCTATCACTAGAACGTAAACTCCCCAGAGGCAGGGCCTTATCTGAAAGGTGGAGAGATGAAGACAAAGAAGTCAGGGACCTCAGGATCTAAGGGAAGAAAAAAGTTGGTGAGTTTCTTTTAGCATCATAGACCTGAGACTAGTAGCTGAAGAAGTAGCTAACCCAGAAACGCAAACAGGTGCAGACAAAAAAAAATTTCCCCCCAAACCTGCTCTCTATAGCCAAAGGAGCAAGAAAGGAGAAGCCTAGCAAGACAGAAAACTTGTAGACAATAACCATGGTACTCCAGCCAAACATGCGGAAAAACTACAGCCTCACCCCATCCATGGTATTAAGGACTAAATATTTGTGTTCCCCCCAAAAAGGAATATGTTGAAATTCTAATACTGTGATGGCATTTGTTGGCAGGGCTTTTGGAAAGTAATTAGAATTAGATAGAGTCATGAGGCTGGAGTATTTATCAATAGGGTTAGTGCCCTTGGAAGAGCTTGCTGGCTTCTCTGCACCACGTGAGGATACAGCAGGAAATGGGCCATCTGCAATCCGGAAGAGTCCTCATTGGAACCCGGTGATGCTGGCACTGTGACCTCAGGGTTCCAACCTTGGAACCATGAGAAATAACTTCTGTTGTTTATAAGCCACTCAGTCTATGGTAATTTGTTATAGCAGCCTGAAATGACTAAGACACACACCAGTACATCCAAGTGGAGAGCCAGACTTCCACCCACACGAGACTGTCTCAAGGTGCTCCAACACCTCCCCTGTAGGGAGCATCTGAGACAGTCAAACAGAGCCTGTCATAAGGCCACCTCGTGGTATCTGTGGAGAATGTCAGGAGAGTCTTGCCTTTCTCCTCCACCAGCAATAACAAAGCGCCTGTCCTCCTACCATCTGGGTGGCGTCAGAGGGATATTCTAGTGGAGACTCGGGACTTTCAAGATTTACCATCAACAATGAGGTCAGCTCTACCTCAGTATCAGTGGAGACCACAAACACAGCTGAAAATTCCTCTTCCATCCAACCGTAACAAGGAGCATCCCCACCCCCAAACTTGGGTGTCAATGAAGGATGGGTGGAGAACCTGGATTTCTTCCTCTACCTGGCAGTAAGAGACTCCTGTTTTCCTACTGAAGTAGTGTTGAAAAACAAAACAAAACAAAACACAGCTCAAACAGAAGGTTTAAATAAGATCCAGGGGCTCACAACATAGTAAAAAAATATCCAGGTTTCGAAAGAAAAACACTCATCATACCAATAAGCAGGAATAATTGTAAATGAATTAAAAAGTAGAATCAAACTAAGCATGATGGCTCATGCCTGTAATCCCAGCACTTTGGGAGGCCGAGGCAGAAGAATGGCTTGAGCCTAGGAGTTCAAGACGAGCCTGGGCAACATAGCAAGACCTCATCTGTACGACAAACAAACAAACAAACAAAAATAGAATCGACAGATGTCAACATTGAGATGACAGAAATGTTGAAATTATCTGACAAGGATTTTAAAGCAGTCATTGTAAAAATATTTCAAGAACACACTTGAAACAAATTAAAAAATAGAAGGCCCAGCAAAGAAATAGAAGATATAAAGAAAAAACAAACAGAAATTTTAGAACTAAAAAATACAATAACTGAAATAAAATTATCCATGATGGGCTTAATAGCAGAATAGAGGGTATGAAAGAATAATGCAGTGAGCTGAAGGAACAGTAGATGTTATGCAATCTAAACAAGACAGAGAAAATAAACTAGAATTCAATTAACAGAGTTTCAGGGACCTGTGGTCTCTAACAGAACAGTAACATTCAGGTCATTGGTGTTCCAAGAAAAGAAGAAGGACGATGGGGCTGAAAATGTATTTAAAGAAATAATGGCAGAAAACAGAAATCTACAGATTTAAGAGCCTAAGTGTAACTCAAACACACACCCCCACAAAGTTCCATGCACAGACACGTCATAATTAGACTTCTGAAAATTAGAGGAAATGAAAAAGTAAACCTTGAAATCAGCAGAAGAGAAATAAGATCTCACCTACAGGAGAAAAACAATTAGAATGGCAGCATAGTTCTTATCAGAAATCTTAGAGCCAGAAGGAAGTGGCACAAGGCTGGTTCATGTTTTGAAAAATCTGTTAATGTAATCCACCTTCTTAACAGGCTAAAGAAGAGAAAGTATATGATTATATCAATCAATGCACCGAAAAGGCATTTGACAAAATTCAGCATCTGTCTGATAAAAACCCTCAGAAAATTAATAATAGAAAGAAATTTCCTCAACTTGATAAAGATTATCTGTAAAAAGCCTGCAGCTAACATTACACTTACTTAATGGTAATGAATTGTTAGCAGTGTAGGGAATTAGAGGCAGTAGAATTGCAGAGTGCCCGTAGCTGAAGGAGTGACTTAAAGGCCGCCTAATTATCCTTCTCACTTTTTAGGCAGAAAACCAGCGTCTAGAGCTCTCTAATATCACGACAGTGCCAGATGCACGTTTCCACATTCTCAACAACTGTTTTTCTTCATCTACATATTTCCCCTCAGCATTTGATGTCTAATCTCAGAAGAATAAAGAATATAATACTTCCAAGCACAGTGGCTCACGCCTGTAATCCTAGCACTTTGGGAGGCCGAGGCAGGTGGAGCACCTGAGGTCAGGAGTTCAAGACCAGCCTGGCCAACATGGTGAAACCCCGTCTCTACTAAAAGTACAAAAATTAGCTGGGCATGGTGGCACGTGCCTGTAGTCCCAGCTACTAGGAAGGCTGAGGCATGACAATCACTTGAGCCCGGGAGGTAGAGGTTGCAGTGAGCTGAGACTGAGATCACACCACTGCACTCTAGCCTGGGTGACACAGCAAGACTCTGTCTCAAAACAACAACAACAACAACAAACATATATATATATATATAAAATACTGTATGTTCATAATTTGCTTCTATGAGAAATATTAGACTATAAGTCCCTGGAGGGTAAAATTTCTGCTTTTTGTTTTTTTGTTGTTGTTGTTTTTTAGAGACAGGGTCTTGCTATTTTGCTCAGGCTGGATTCGAACTCCCGAACTTAGGGATCCTCCCACCTCAGCCTCCGGATTACAAAGATTACAGGCACTGGGATTATAGGCACCTGCCTCGAAATTCAGCTTTGGTATTCATTGTGTATACCATCTAGCTCAGTCCCATGTGTGGTCATTGAATACACTCACATTTGAATGGATAATATGAGCATTTATCCCTTCTTTCTTAAGGCGAGTGCTGGTGATTTTTCTTGATGAGGGCCTGCATGACATTTGCATTTCTCAGAAGGGAGTAGCTACACAGAGATAGTTCTGGGCAGAACTGCCAAGCAAAACTTTTGGATGAGCCCTGGCCTGTGCACTCGGCAGGTTCGCTTTCTCACAGTCAGCTCATCCAGGGGCAGTTTGATCTCCTCCCGAGCAGGGTTCTTAAAGCTAAGGGGTGGTTCCACACTGCTGGCAGAAAGGCATTTTTCTCCTAACTGCCTACTTTTTAACTGATTGACTTAGGGTCCAACCAATTTGCAGCACAGTGACAAGCAGGAAAAAAAAAAAAAAAGCACATAGTCACACGTATACACATTTTACAAATTTGCTAAGGACACTGTTTGAAGTTGATTTCTACTTGGACATTCCAAGCCAACTGAGAGCCTCTCAGGTGTTTTGACATCCACGGGCATAACTGCTAATTATCGACTTTGATTTGAGTCTTTTTTAATTCCCTCAAAGCTATCGGCTCATGCAACTTCTCTGAGAATTTGAAATGCATCATCCAGGTGAGTTTGAAAGGGGGTCACCGTCCTCAAGAAAACAAGCGTATGAATAGTCCTCGTGGAAAAAAAAATCTCACACTTTCCAGATATCAGATCTTAAAGGATAAGAAGCCTTAAAATTATTTACGGTGATTGGTGTGAGATTTTTAAAGCCTGGCTATGTCTGTGACTATCAGAGGGCCCAGCCTCTTCACCCACTCTGGGAGCACAAAGTGACAGAGATATGGGGCAACACAAATATGAAATGGAAATGATGCTTGTGATTGCCATCTGGCAATACTTATTACACGACGTAGCCCAGAACGTCACAGAACAAATCACTTAGCCCAAGAAAAGCATTCAGATCAGGAGCAGCTGGTTGGGGTGTGTGTTTCCCCATTACAAAACTCACAGAGTTCGGTGAGTCCTGATTGGTACCTCCCACTGTGTGTGGTTCCTCCCAGGGGAAGCAGGTTAAGGAAGGGTAGACAAATAAGCATCAACTTCTTATCCCATGAGCAAGCTAGCCAGGGGTCCTTTTGTACATGAAAAGCAACCTGTCCCTTTTTTTCTTCTAGTTTCAGAAAATTATTTTAGGAATGAGCTCTCACTATGTCACCCAGGATAGAGTGCAGTGGCTCTCCATATGCATGATCATAGTGCACTACAGCCTGGAACTCCCAGCCTCAAGCAATCCTCCAGCCTCAGCCTCTCAAGTAGCTGGGATTACAGGTGCACACCACTATGCCCATCCCGTTCCTTTTTGTAATCCCCAAAGCAACTATTGCTAAAGAAAGATGTCTGTGAAAGAGACAGCTCCAGCCAGGACGGTAGTTCGGAGTGTCTGGGCTCAGTTTCCAATCGCAGATGATTGCAAAGCATTCCTTCTCCCCTTCATCTTCCAAACTCCTGGATGATGAGCTAGTATAGTAGAGGAAGATGAAACTGGTGGACTGCTGCCCAGACAGAAAATCTTAAAGGACCATATTGCCCTTTGCTGAGGCTCCATTACCACTGAGATGCATTCCTTCACCCATTCATCTTCCAAACTCCCAAATGATGAGGTAATATAATAGAGGAAGATGAGATCGGTGGACTGCTGCCCAGACAAAATCTTAGAGGCCCATATTGCCCTTTGCTCAGGCTCCGTTACCACTGAGATGACTGGAACCTTGGATGGTAGCTGGTTTCACAGTGAGGGCCTTTGATGTGGTGCACAACTGTTTCTTTGAAACCATCATAGTGCATTCCTTTTTTTTTTTTTTTTTTTTTCAGAGAAACACAGCAGAAGGCATAGCAAGTCCATGCCCATCCCTTCTTCCCAGAGGTAACATTAAGCTGGTGAATATTTCAGCAGCCCTCTGGCCATGTCTCCTTTGACTTCTGCACAGGACTAAACAAGTGAGAACAAAATCAGAAAAAAAGTTAGTGCACACACAGACCTTGTCTTCTGTGATAACTCAGAAAAAAATAGAATGTGAGGAGTAGAATTACGCAAAAGCACTGACTCATTTTTAAAAACTTTTTCTGTGTATTTCATATCAAACTATAATTTATTAACATGGCAGTACACAAATCACAAGTAGCTAAGTGGATTTTGACAAATGCACACTGCTGTAACAATCTTCCAGTTAGTCATTATTTTTAAGTGCTCAGATTTCTAAAAGCAACATTAATGGGCTAACCTAGTTTCTCCATTGTTCTCAACTGAACCTGTAATTTTTTTTCTTGAAAAGTCAGATCTTGGAGAAGTTGATAAACAGAGAAGGGATAACAACCTCCTGTTTCTTCATTGGACAAGAGTTTTATGAGTTTGAGCTAGGTAAGAACCCACCCTTCAGAGAGAAATCAAATCTTTGAGTAAGCCAAAGTTTCTTTAACTTTCGGTATTACAGAAATCTTTTTTTTTTTTTTCTTTTTTTGAGACAGAGTTTCACTCTTGTTGCCCAGCCTGGAGTGCAATGGCGCAATCTCGGCTCACTGCAACCTCTGCTTCCCTGGTTCAAGCGATTCCTGCCTCAGCCTCCTAAGTAGCTGGGATTACAGGTGCCTGTCACCATGCCCAGCTAATTTTTGTATTTTTAGTAGAGACAGGGTTTCACCGTATTGACCAGACTGGTCTCAAACTGCTGACCTAAGGTGATCCACCCACCTCGGCCTCCCAAAATGCTGGGATTATAGGCATGAGCCACCGCTCTCGGCCAGTTTTTGGTATTATAGAAATCTTGAAGCAAGTCTTTAAAAAAAAAATACTCTTTCTACTTTTTAATTGAATTTCCGATAATTTTTATTTGACCAATTTCCTCCCCCCAACCTATTAAGAAAACAAAACTGTGACCTTAAAAAGAAAAGTCTGAAGAGCTCTGAATGCTACTAATTTCAAAAAGAAATATTATTTTTGATGTGTAATTTTGATTCAATATGGCATTGAATTTTAGGCAGTGCTTTCTAAATCCGAAAACATTAGGCTTATTTGAGGCAGTTATTAAAAATGTAGCCCCACCTTAAGCCAGTCAAATTAGAATCTCTGAGAAGTTGTATTACACCAGATGATTCTGAAATCAGGGCTCCTAGAACAGTTTGAGAAACTCAAAGTTAAGAGGACATAGGCAACAGGCCTAATGAATATCTAGAAGTGCCTAAAACTATACAAAAGTATTGTGTTTTTCCTTTTTTTTTTTTTTTTTTTCTTTTTGAGACAGAGTCTCACTCTGTCACCCAGGATGGCGTGAAGTGGCACAATCTTGGCTCACTGCAACCTCTGCCTCCCAGGTTCAACTGATTCTCCTCGTGCCTCAGCCTCCCGACTAGCTGGGACTACTGGTGCTGGCTACCACACCTGGCTATTTTTTTTTTTTTTTTTCTTTCTTTCTTTCTTTCTTTCTTTCTTTCTTTCTTTCTTTCTTTCTTTCTTTCTTTCCTTTTTTTTTGTATTTTTAGTAGAGACGGGGTTCTACCATGGTGGCCTGGCTGGTCTCGAACTCCTGACCTCAGGTGATCCACCCGCCTCAGCCTCCCAAAGTGCAGGGATTATAGGCGTGAGCCTCTGCACCTGGCTTCTTTCCTTTTTAATTACATCAGTGTCACCTTGATGGGTAGGCTCTGGTCATGGTCAGCTGTGCAGTCCACGGTTTGAAATCACTCAAGGGCAACATGATTATAGGGTTAACTTTCAGCCTCATACACCAGACTTAAATCCCAACTCTACCGCTTACTCGCTGTGTGACCTTGGGCAAGTTGCTGACCTCTCTGTACCTTCATTCTTTCATCTATTAAAATGAGAGTGACATTTTTGGAATCTGTTAATAAATTTTTTTACAACTTATTCAGGATTCTGGAACTCATTCTGAGTTCTTGATCCTTATCAGGATCAAAGAGGGGCGAGGATAACACCTACTTCATGAACTGTTAACAATTAAATGAGTGAATACTGCTGATCCTCTTAATTCTGCATTTGTGATCTTGCCTACTTGCTAACATTTATTTGTGACTCCCAGATCAATACCTAGGACACTTTTGTGGTCATTTGTGGACACGTGCAGAGCTGCAAGCATGTGTGTCACCAACATGCATGTTCCCAGCTGTGGCTGAACAAGGTTACCCTCTGCCCTACTATTTCAGCTCTCAGTTTGTAAACACGTCTTTTTTGCAGTCTATTTAGTACACATTTATTGCACGTTTGTACTTTTTGTTAGTCATTTTTCTATCTGAAATGGGCCCCAGGCATGGCGCTGAAGTGCCGCCCCGTGTTCCTAAGCACAGAAAGTTGGGACGTGCCTTACAGAGAAAATATGTGTGTTTGGAAAAGCTTAGTTCATGCATGAGTTATAGTGTTGTGGGCTGTGATTTCAATGTTAATGAGTCAACAATATATGTGAAATAAGATGTCTTTAGACAGAAGCTCATAGAAAGCCAAATTATGTACTGACCTGTTAACAAAACATTGTGACCTTCTGCTCATACAAACCTCACTCTGGCTCTCCCCTAGGAGCAATGGTTCAGTATTTGTTAACTCAGTGTTTGCTGAGAATCTATAGAACATAACTACATACCAGGCGTGGTGGCTCGCACCTGTAATCCCAGCACTTTGGGATGCCCAGGTGGGTGGATCACTTTAGGCCGGGAGTTCGAGACTAGCCTGGCTGACATGGTGAAGCCCCATCTCTACTAAAAATACAAAAATTAGCTGGGCGTGGTGGCAGGCACCTGTAATCCCAGCTACTTGGGAGGCTGAGGCAGGAGAATTGCTTGAACCTGAGAAGCGGAGGTTGCAGTGAGCTGAAATCATGCCATTGCACTCTAGCCTAGGTGACAAGAGTGAAACTCCATCTCAAAAATAAAAAAGAAAAAAAAGAACATAACTATGGCAAGTAATGAGAATTGATTGTGTATGTAAAACACAGTGCTGCCAGGCACATAGTGACTGTTCTAGAAGTGTTTGTTAAATGAAGAATATCTGATGGAGTTTGTAGGGAGGCCAGATCCCATCTGCAGGGAGCTATACAACCCAGTAGAAAGCAGATAGACTGGGTAGTTCCAATGTCCTTCTGATGAAGGAGACCGGGGTCCAGGATGAAGGGAACTGCAGTGGGTCAAGGCAGATCTGGTGGGTGGAATCTCAGGTCTCGGGCCTTCTTACAAGCACTGATGCTGCTTTCACCAGGGTCAGAGGTGTCGGTGGGAGGGGCTGGTGCCGTGTGACAATCTGGTGCCTGATCCAGCTAAGGACCCAAATTACCAGGAGGGCTTTAGAAATATTTGCTGAGGCGTATTTCTCAGCCTCACCTCAGAACTTCTAAATCAGTTTTTCCAGAGCTAGAAGCAGACATCTGTATCCTTAAGCAGCTTCCAACACCAGTCGGCAGGTAGTATTTGGGTTCTACTCTCATCATGGAAAGAACTCTTTCTTTGGAGTAGGACCAGCCTGGCTCCAAATCCAGCTACATGGCCCTGGGGTAGGTGACTGAAAGTCAGTGAGCCTGAGTTTCTTCCCCTGTAAAATGAGGATGGTAACTCCAACCTTGGGGCCTCCTTTTCTTTTCTTTTCTTTTCTTTTTTTTTTTTTGAGACAAATTCTCACTCTGTCACCCAGGTTGTAGTGTAATGGCACGATCTCGGCTCACTGCAACCTCCGCCTCCCAGTTTCGAACAATTTTCCTGCTTCAGCCTCCTGAGTAGCTGAGATTACAGGCATGTACCACCATGCCTGGCTCATTTTTGTATTTTTAGTAGAGGCGAGATTTCACCATGTTAGCCAGGCTGGTCCCAAACCCCTGACCTCAAGTGCTCCACCTACCTGGGCCTCCCAAAATGCTGGGATTACAGGCATGACCCACTGTGCCCAGCCCAGGTCTCATCTTTGAGAATAAACTAGAGTGAACGTAAATTGTCAGATCCAATATCTGGTATGTTGTAGACATCCAATACACGTTGGGCCGACCTTCCTTCTTGTTGGTTCAGCTCTGACTGCTATTTCCACATTCTTCCTTTATCTGTGAAAGTGGCATTCGTCCAGAAGGGATTGGATTCTTTTCCAGCAGGGTGGAAAGTTAGAGCCAATCCGCTCACCTTCCTTCTCCTCCTCCTCCCACTGGCTGGGCTCACAGGTTTGGTGTAGAACATACGAATGCAAGGGCACCCGGGCAAGGGCCAGGAGCACTCAGCCTGGTCTCACTGTCCTTGTGGTTTCTGTGACGCAGGGACACCTGCCACAGGCTGCATTGTTGGTTCGAATGGGAACGGGAAGGAAGCATTCCTCCCTTGGGTCTGATGTCAGCCTTCCTTGGGAACTTGATCTGGAGCCCCTGGAGCTTTTGCAGATGCTATCGGTGGGCTGAGTAAATGCACACAGGCCAGGTGGGGAGCGCGGGTGCCAGAGCTCAGGTGGTCACTGCCTCGCGGGCATCCTCCACCACCAGCTGCATCTTTCCCAGGGTCATCCGCAGGCCCTCCAGGCTACATCTGTTCGCCACTGTTCGGAATGCAGGCCCCAGGTCCCTGAGCAATGAGTCTACAGGATGATGAACTGTCCTTAGTGAGAAGACCGTTCAGCCTTCTTCCTTTCCTCCCCTTCCATCTCTGACACTTGGTCCAAAACTGCCTCTCTTCCTGTTCCTTTCCAGTCTCTCCTCCAACTCCCACCCCATCTCCAAGTTGAAGCTTCTCTCCAGTTTGCTTTGGGTTATTCCCAGCCTTTCTCCTTCATGTTATTGCTGGACCTGTGCTAAAGGCTCGGCAAACAGGAAAGCCTCCCTTTCTAGTGGCAAAGCCATAACCCTCTGATAAAAGTAATTTCCCTCTGATTCCCTGGTTGTTAACTTGCAAAAAGATGTCAGTTTCCTGGCAGACTGAGATGAAGTCCCAGATGGCTTCCCTTCTGTTCCCCTTGACTGGGCTTGGCCTCAGTCAGTGTCCAGAGCTTCTTGAAGTTCAGTCCTGACCATTAGAAGGCAAGCATCGTATGATCTGTCATCAAGGTGCTTTCAAGTCAAGTGGAATTTTCCTAAACTTTCAAGTCTGTTCCATTGCTGTCATCCACGCTGATTGAAGAATGTGGACAGCTATGCTGGATTGGAGAGAGCTGAAGGGCAGTTCATGAACACGTGGACTGTATTACCTGACATTTCTTGAGTGCTTACTCTGTGTCCAGCTCTGTTGTGTTATATATGAATGAATTCATTTACTATTTTCAACATTCAAGGAATTAGGTACTATTAGAATTAGGTATAATCCTAATTTTATGGATGACAATATTGAGACATGGAGGAATTAAATAATTTGAACAAGATCTCAAAGCTTGGAAGCAGCAGCAGCAATCAGAAACCAAATTGAATGTCCCCAGAGCCAGGGCTCGTAGTCGCCATGCTGGGCTGGGCTCTACTTTGCATTTTTGCAGCTGAGACACCACTGAGTCTTAGAGTTCCTGAGACCCTAGGAATAGCCAGGGAAGTAGAAGGTACCAAGTTTATGGGGCACCAAGTTACCCTGCCTCTACCTGCCTTCCCCAGTATCTGCTGCAACCACAGCCCTTCTGCTTTTATCTGGTATAGATGATGGACATCCATACAAGTCTTAACTTGAAAGGGGGGATCCGAGGGAAGTATGTGGCTCATCAGACTGGGTTCCATCGGAAAGGAACTGTTAGATTTGTGTTCCTAACTCTGGCACCTAGTCAGAGGTCTGGCAAGGGGTCGCTTCCTTAACAACTGTTTGTTGGATGAGCAAACAGAGAAGTTTCCTGGCCCTGCCTTCTTCTCCTTTTTAGAGATGAAGAAATGAGGCCAAGCATAGTAGCTCATGCTTGTAATCCCAGCAGTTTGGGAGGCCAAGGTGGGTGGATCACCTGAGGTCAGGAGTTCGAGACCAGCCTGGCCAACATGGTGAAACCCTGTCTCTACTAAAAACACAAAAATTAGCCGGGCATGGTGGTGGACACCTGTAATTCCAGCTACTTAGGAGGCTGAGGCAAGGAGAATCACTTGAATCCGGGAGGCGGAGGTTGCAGTGAACCAAGATCGCACCATTGCACTCCAGCCTGGGCAACAAGAGCAAAACTCAGTCTAAAAAAAGAGAGAGAGAGAGAGAGAGAGAGAGAGAGATGGAGAAACGAGCATAGAGAGAGGAAGAGTGTGACCAAGTGGCCAAAGGCGGCCAGCATGATTCTGGAAGTGACCCTGCGCTCACTGCGCTCCTCAACCAACGAGCTCCATAGGTTTCAGGGGCCTCACTTGCAAACTCTAGGGTTCGGATTACAAAACCTCAAGTTCTAGTACACCTTTAAGTTTCTGTGTGTCAACAGTCAGGATGCCAGAACCGGGAGCCAGCTCAGCATCGGAGGTGTCAATCACATCTCTTTTTTTTTTTTTTTTTAATTTTTTTTTTATTATACTTTAAGTTTTAGGGTACATGTGCACATTGTGCAGGTTAGTTACATATGTATACATGTGCCATGCTGGTGCGCTGCACCCACCAACGTGTCATCTATCATTAGATGTATCTCCCACTGCTATCCCTCCCCACTCCCCCGACCCCACCACCGTCCCCAGAGTGTGATATTCCCCTTCCTGTGTCCTTGTGATCTCATTGTTCAATTCCCACCTATGAGTGAGAATATGCGGTGTTTGGTTTTTTGTTCTTGCGATAGTTTACTGAGAATGATGGTTTCCAATTTCATCCATGTCCCTACAAAGGACATGAACTCATCATTTTTTATGGCTGCATAGTATTCCATGGTGTATATGTGCCACATTTTCTTAATCCAGTCTATCATTGTTGGACATTTGGGTTGGTTCCAAGTCTTTGCTATTGTGAATAATGCCACAATAAACATACGTGTGCATGTGTCTTTATAGCAGCATGATTTATAGTCCTTTGGGTATATACCCAGTAATGGGATGGCTGGGTCAAATGGTATTTCTAGTTCTAGATCCCTGAGGAATCGCCACACTGACTTCCACAATGGTTGAACTAGTTTACAGTCCCACCAACAGTGTAAAAGTGTTCCTATTTCTCCACATCCTCTCCAGCACCTGTTGTTTCCTGACTTTTTAATGATTGCCATTCTAACTGGTGTGAGATGATATCTCATAGTGGTTTTGATTTGCATTTCTCTGATGGCCAGTGATGATGAGCATTTCTTCATGTGTTTTTTGGCTGCATAAATGTCTTCTTTTGAGAAGTGTCTGTTCATGTCCTTCGCCCACTTTTTGATGGGGTTGTTTGTTTTTTTCTTGTAAATTTGTTTGAGTTCATTGTAGATTCTGGATATTAGCCCTTTGTCAGATGAGTAGGTTGCGAAAATTTTCTCCCATGTTGTAGGTTGCCTGTTCACTCTGATGGTAGTTTCTTTTGCTGTGCAGAAGCTCTTTAGTTTAATTAGATCCCATTTGTCAATTTTGGCTTTTGTTGCCATTGCTTTTGGTGTTTTGGACATGAAGTCCTTGCCCACGCCTATGTCCTGAATGGTAATGCCTAGGTTTTCTTCTAGGGTTTTTATGGTTTTAGGTCTAACGTTTAAATCTTTAATCCATCTTGAATTGATTTTTGTATAAGGTGTAAGGAAGGGATCCAGTTTCAGCTTTCTACATATGGCTAGCCAGTTTTCCCAGCACCATTTATTAAATAGGGAATCCTTTCCCCATTGCTTGTTTTTCTCAAGTTTGTCAAAGATCAGATAGTTGTAGATATGCGGCATTATTTCTGAGGGCTCTGTTCTGTTCCATTGATCTATATCTCTGTTTTGGTACCAGTACCATGCTGTTTTGGTTACTGTAGCCTTGTAGTATAGTTTGAAGTCAGGTAGTGTGATGCCTCCAGCTTTGTTCTTTTGGCTTAGGATTGACTTGGCAATGCGGGCTCTTTTTTGGTTCCATATGAACTTTAAAGTAGTTTTTTCCAATTCTGTGAAGAAAGTCATTGGTAGCTTGATGGGGATGGCATTGAATCTGTAAATTACCTTGGGCAGTATGGCCATTTTCACGATATTGATTCTTCCTACCCATGAGCATGGAATGTTCTTCCATTTGTTTGTGTCCTCTTTTATTTCCTTGAGCAGTGGTTTGTAGTTCTCCTTGAAGAGGTCCTTCACATCCCTTGTAAGTTGGATTCCTAGGTATTTTATTCTCTTTGAAGCAATTGTGAATGGGAGTTCAGTCATGATTTGGCTCTCTGTTTGTCTGTTGTTGGTGTATAAGAATGCTTGTGATTTTTGTACATTGATTTTGTATCCTGAGACTTTGCTGAAGTTGCTTATCAGCTTAAGGAGATTTTGGGCTGAGACAATGGGGTTTTCTAGATATACAATCATGTCGTCTGCAAACAGGGACAATTTGACTTCCTCTTTTCCTAATTGAATACCCTTTATTTCCTTCTCCTGCCTGATTGCCCTGGCCAGAACTTCCAACACTATGTTGAATAGGAGTGGTGAGAGAGGGCATCCCTGTCTTGTGCCAGTTTTCAAAGGGAATGCTTCCAGTTTTTGCCCATTCAGTATGATATTGGCTGTGGGTTTGTCATAGATAGCTCTTATTATTTTGAAATACGTCCCATCAATACCTCATTTATTGAGAGTTTTTAGCATGAAGGGTTGTTGAATTTTGTCAAAGGCTTTTTCTGCATCTATTGAGATAATCATGTGGTTTTTGTCTTTGGCTCTGTTTATATGCTGGATTGCATTTATTGATTTGCGTATATTGAACCAGCCTTGCATCCCAGGGATGAAGCCCACTTGATCATGGTGGATAAGCTTTTTGATGTGCTGCTGGATTCGGTTTGCCAGTATTTTATTGAGGATTTTTGCATCAATGTTCATCAAGGATATTGGTCTAAAATTCTCTTTTTTGGTTGTGTCTTTGCCTGGCTTTGGTATCAGAATGATGCTGGCCTCATAAAATGAGTTAGGGAGGATTCCCTCTTTTTCTATTGATTGGAATAGTTTCAGAAGGAATGGTACCAGTTCCTCCTTGTACCTCTGGTAGAATTCGGCTGTGAATCCATCTGGTCCTGGACTCTTTTTGGTTGGTAAACTATTGATTATTGCCACAATTTCAGAGCCTGTTATTGGTCTATTCAGAGATTCAACTTCTTCCTGGTTTAGTCTTGGGAGAGTGTATGTGTCGAGGAATGTATCCATTTCTTCTAGATTTTCTAGTTTATTTGTGTAGAGGTGTTTGTAGTATTCTCTGATGGTAGTTTGTATTTCTGTGGGATCGGTGGTGATATCCCCTTTATCATTTTTTATTGCGTCTATTTGATTCTTCTCTCTTTTTTTCTTTATTAGTCTTGCTAGCGGTCTATCAATTTTGTTGATCCTTTCAAAAAACCAGCTCCTGGATTCATTGATTTTTTGAAGGGTTTTTTGTGTCTCTATTTCCTTCAGTTCTGCTCTGATTTTAGTTATTTCTTGCCTTCTGCTAGCTTTTGAATGTGTTTGCTCTTGCTTTTCTAGTTCTTTTAATTGTGATGTTAGGGTGTCAATTTTGGATCTTTCCTGCTTTCTCTTGTAGGCATTTAGTGCTATAAATTTCCCTCTACACACTGCTTTGAATGCGTCCCAGAGATTCTGGTATGTGGTGTCTTTGTTCTCGTTGGTTTCAAAGAACATCTTTATTTCTGCCTTCATTTCGTTATGTACCCAGTAGTCATTCAGGAGCAGGTTGTTCAGTTTCCATGTAGTTGAGCGGCTTTGAGTGAGATTCTTAATCCTGAGTTCTAGTTTGATTGCACTGTGGTCTGAGAGATAGTTTGTTATAATTTCTGTTCTTTTACATTTGCTGAGGAGAGCTTTACTTCCAACTATGTGGTCAATTTTGGAATAGGTGTGGTGTGGTGCTGAAAAAAATGTATATTCTGTTGATTTGGGGTGGAGAGTTCTGTAGATGTCTATTAGGTCCGCTTGGTGCAGAGCTGAGTTCAATTCCTGGGTATCCTTGTTGACTTTCTGTCTCGTTGATCTGTCTAATGTTGACAGTGGGGTGTTAAAGTCTCCCATTATTAATGTGTGGGAGTCTAAGTCTCTTTGTAGGTCACTCAGGACTTGCTTTATGAATCTGGGTGCTCCTGTATTGGGTGCATAAATATTTAGGATAGTTAGCTCCTCTTGTTGAATTGATCCCTTTACCATTATGTAATGGCCTTCTTTGTCTCTTTTGATCTTTGTTGGTTTAAAGTCTGTTTTATCAGAGACTAGGATTGCAACCCCTGCCTTTTTTTGTTTTCCATTGGCTTGGTAGATCTTTCTCCATCCTTTTATTTTGAGCCTATGTGTGTCTCTGCACGTGAGATGGGTTTCCTGAATACAGCACACTGATGGGTCTTGACTCTTTATCCAACTTGCCAGTCTGTGTCTTTTAATTGCAGAATTTAGTCCATTTATATTTAAAGTTAATATTGTTATGTGTGAATTTGATCCTGTCATTATGATGTTAGCTGGTGATTTTGCTCGTTAGTTGATGCAGTTTCTTCCTAGTCTCCATGGTCTTTACATTTTGGCATGATTTTGCAGCGGCTGGTACCGGTTGTTCCTTTCCATGTTTAGCGCTTCCTTCAGGAGCTCTTTTAGGGCAGGCCTGGTGTTGACAAAATCTCTCAGCATTTGCTTGTCTATAAAGTATTTTATTTCTCCTTCACTTATGAAGCTTAGTTTGGCTGGATATGAAATTCTGGGTTGAAAATTCTTTTCTTTAAGAATGTTGAATATTGGCCCCCACTCTCTCCTGGCTTGTAGGGTTTCTGCTGAGAGATCAGCTGTTAGTCTGATGGGCTTTCCTTTGAGGGTAACCCGACCTTTCTCTCTGGCTGCCCTTAACATTTTTTCCTTCATTTCAACTTTGGTGAATCTGACAATTATGTGTCTTGGAGTTGCTCTTCTCGAGGAGTATCTTTGTGGCGTTCTCTGTATTTCCTGAATCTGAACGTTGGCCTGCCTTGCTAGATTGGGGAAGTTCTCCTGGATAATATCCTGCAGAGTGTTTTCCAACTTGGTTCCATTCTCCACATCACTTTCAGGTACACCAGTCAGACGTAGATTTGGTCTTTTCACATAGTCCCATATTTCTTGGAGGCTTTGCTCATTTCTTTTTATTCTTTTTTCTCTAAACTTCCCTTCTCGCTTCATTTCATTCATTTCATCTTCCATTGCTGATACCCTTTCTTCCAGTTGATCGCATTGGCTCCTGAGGCTTCTGCATTCTTCACGTAGTTCTCAAGCCTTGGTTTTCAGCCCCATCAGCTCCTTTAAGCACTTCTCTGTATTGGTTATTCTAGTTATACAGTCTTCTAAATTTTTTTCAAAGTTTTCAACTTCTTTGCCTTTGGTTTGAATGTCCTCCCGTAGCTCAGAGTAATTTGATCGTCTGAAGCCTTCTTCTGTCAGCTCGTCAAAATCATTCTCCATCCAGCTTTGTTCCGTTGCTGGTGAGGAACTGCGTTCCTTTGGAGGAGGAGAGGCGCTCTGCGTTTTAGAGTTTCCAGTTTTTCTGTTCTGTTTTTTCCCCATCTTTGTGGTTTTATATACTTTTGGTCTTTGATGATGGTGATGTACAGATGGGTTTTCGGTGTAGATGTCCTTTCTGGTTGTTAGTTTTCCTTCTAACAGACAGGACCCTCAGCTGCAGGTCTGTTGGAATACCCTGCCGTGTGAGGTGTCAGTGTGCCCCTGCTGGGGGGTGTCTCCCAGTTAGGCTGCTCGGGGGTCAGGGGTCAAGGACCCAATTGAGGAGGCAGTCTGCCCGTTCTCAGATCTCCAGCTGCGTGCTGGGAGAACCACTGCTCTCTTCAAAGCTGTCAGACAGGGACACTTAAGTCTGCAGAGGTTACTGCTGTCTTTTTGTTTGTCTGTGCCCTGCCCCCAGAGGTGGAGCCTACAGAGGCAGGCAGGCCTCCTTGAGCTGTGGTGGGCTCCACCCAGTTCGAGCTTCCCGGCTGCTTTGTTTACCTAAGCAAGCCTGGGCAATGGCGGGCGCCCCTCCCCCAGCCTCGCTGCCGCCTTGCAGTTTGATCTCAGACTGCTGTGCTAGCAATCAGCGAGATTCCGTGGGCGTAGGACCCTCCGAGCCAGGTGTGGGATATAGTCTCCTGGTGCGCCGTTTTTTAAGCCGGTCTGAAAAGCGCAATATTCGGGTGGGAGTGACCCGATTTTCCAGGTGCGTCCGTCACCCCTTTCTTTGACTCGGAAAGGGAACTCCCTGACGCTTGCGCTTCCCAGGTGAGGCAATGCCTCGCCCTGCTTCGGCTCGCGCACGGTGCGCGCACACACTGGCCTGTGCCCACTGTCTGGCACTCCCTAGTGAGATGAACCCGGTACCTCAGATGGAAATGCAGAAATCACCCGTCTTCTGCGTCGCTCACGCTGGGAGCTGTAGACCGGAGCTGTTCCTATTCGGCCATCTTGGCTCCTCCCTCCACATCTCTTATCTCTTATCAATAACAGGGGAATCCTCCTCTTTCTGCAAGGAGTGCACAAGGCAAGTTGTTCCATGCTGTCTCTGGGAGTTTCCCTGGGGAAAAATTAATATTAAATTTCCCCAGGAAAGAAACAAACACATCGATAGTGTCATTTCAAGCGTAACTGATCAAGAATGCTGCGTGAGAATAGGACTTGCAAGAAGGTTCTGTCTACAGAGATAATGTCAATGAAAGACTTAGGCCAATAAGTTACTAAGGACCTACAATGAGGCCCCACTGTTACTCAGACAGAGAAAATAACAAATGCAGAGATACCACCAATCAAATCATGCCCCTCAAGCATATCAACACTTAGGAGAGTAGAATGGTGGCCACCAGAGGCTGGGGTGGGTAATGGAAGGCAGGGAAATTGTAACGGTTAATGGGTACAAAAATATGGTTACATACAGTGAATAAGATCTGGGATTTGATAGAACAACAGGGTAACTACAGTCAGCAATAATTTGTTGTACATTTTGGATTAGCTGAGAGAATACAATTGGAATGTTCATAACACAAAGAAATGATGAATGCTTGAGGTGATGGAAATCCCATTTATCCTGATGTGATTATTACACATTGCATGCCTGTATCAAAATATCTCATGTAACCCATAAATACATATACCTACTATGTATCCATACAAAATAATTTTAAAAAATAACACGCAAGACAGATAACCAGCTCTTTTCAGAAGCATTGAAATAATTTTTAAAATTGTTTCTTTTATAAACAGGATTTAAGGCCATGTGCAGTGGCTCACAGTGTAATCTCAGCACTACAGGAGGCTCAGACAGGAGGATTGCTTAAGTCTGGGAGTTCAAGACCTGCCTGGGCAACAAAACGAGACCCTGTCTCTAAAAAAATAAAAACAGGATTTAAAATGGAATTCTTTCCACCCTACTGTTGGCTAAGATTCTTCTATTAATTTTCTGTGGCTGCTGTAACAAATTACCCCAAACTGGGTGGCTCAAATTTATAACAATTTATTATTTCCCAGTTCTGGAGTCCAAAAGTCCCAAATCAGTATCCCTAGGATGAAATCAAGGTGTCTGCAGGGCCGCACTGCCTCAGGAGGCTCTGGAGGAGAATCGATTCCTTGCCTCTCCCAGCATCAGGTGCCGCCAGCATTCCTTGACGTGCGGTTGCAGCACTTTCATCTCTGCCTTCATGCACGCTGCCTCCTCATCTGTGTGTCAGCTCTCCCTCTACCTCCCTGTTCTAGGGATTCTTATGATTTCGTGAAGAGCCCACCCAGGCTAATCCAGGATAATCTCATCTCAAGATCTGGGGCAGCCCTGGAGAAACACCTGAAAGAGCTCATTATTTTCTTTAGCAGTAGATAGCTGAGAAAGCTCAGTATTATTTCTTTTTTTTGTATTGTTTTTTTGAGATGGAGTCTCACTCTGTCACCCAGGCTAGAGGGCAGTGGCTAATTTTTGTATTTTTAGTAGAGATGGGGTTTCACCATGTTGGCCAGGCTGTTCTCAAACTCCTGACCTCAGATGATCCACAGATATTATTTCTTAAACAGCTTATTTTATTCTCTGGATCTCTTGGTATGCTAGCTCACAAGGACTCCTGATGGTCCAGCAGCTTCAGAACATTTTACCAGTTATCAGAGGAAGATAAAGCCTGCTCAAACCCAGAAAAAACCAGAACCAGCAACTCCTTGTTGCCTTTAGATCATTAACATATCATTATAATACTAAAAGCCCCACCCATGGAAGAAAATCGCCGCCATTTTCTGAACATGCTTTGTATGAAGAGGCATGTTTATGATTTGCACCTGCACATACTTACAAACCTCCCACATCCATAGCTAACGCCTTAAAATCCCCCAGCTTCCCACAGCTTGGGGAGTAGGAGGTGTCTTGGGAGCGAGAGCTCACTCCTTCTCCTTCTCTGGCCAGAGAATAAATCCTGCTTGCCTTTTTTCCAATTGGGTATTCTTTCCCTGTGACCAATGTAAAGTAGGAAAGGAACTCAGTTTACCAGTGACAGATGCTCAGTTTAACCACATTTTTTTGCCAAATAAAGTAATATTCACAGGTGAGGATTAGGACCTGTAATATTTGAGGAATGTTTTCCATTCTACTATGGCTCCCAAAGGCCAGGGACAAACCACCAGGAGCCAGGCTAATGCCAGACTCAAAATGCATCAAAGGGGTAAATTAAAAAAAAAAAAAGAGTCAAATGCCGTCACCTGCCTACATGTACAGCAGGGGACACTGAGGAGGCCCAAACAGGGGTATAGCTTGTGCAAAGTCAGCAGGATGAGTTTCCTCCCATCCCCACAAAGGAGGAGAGGGGACCTTTTCCCCTTTTCCCTTCCCATCAGGCTATGTACAGTGCTGCTGGGAACACAGGGGAGCAGGGTAGCCACTTTTAACTTGATTTGCATCCCCTAAAACTGTGCAGAGTGCAGACATTGGCACCTGACTTATTTCTGGGGAAAACTAACAGCAGAGACTGTGACCACTGGCCTGACCTAGAAGAACCGAGTGAGAGAGGGGTGGGACTGCTATGGATAGAGAAGAGTCTCTTATGAACCACATGAGAAGCCATGGAGGACCCTGCCAGCACAGATGGCTTCCTGGAAGGCACCATGACCCAACAGAGGGACCGACACACAGAAGCCCCAGGATGGAGGGAGGAATCTTCATAAAGCTGCTTGCCCAGAACACGGCACTGCCTGCATCAAGAGATTCACAATCCAAAAGGTCCCGGAAGGGAGAGATGTAGAACTGGTCATCTCTACACCCCATGTCTCATTACAGCTGTGCCCGCCAACGAGGACTTTCTGGTCCCTTCCCATATCTCCTTCCCCTCAGCTCCAGCCCCAGGGAAGCCAGAATCAATATCACGAGGCAGCAGGAGGAGGAAAGAATCTCCAGTCACGGATCTTGAGCCTCAGGCAGGCACAGAACAGAAGAGGAAAAGAACTTTGGCTTTAGATAAAGCTTTCTGTTTTGATGCCTACATTGCCTTGGCCATTTTATTTATTGAAATGCTTGATTTCCAGGAGACTCATCTTGGATTTTAAACAACCTAGAAGACTTTTTATTACCAATAGCGATAAAGTTATTTGATTTGCCTGATTTTTCATCCAGCGTTGCAGAATGTACAAAATTACAACATGGATTCTAATGCATTGGAGAGAGAAAATAAGGTCGTTTTCTGCAGGTACCTTATCAAGGCTGGTTCATTCACTGTATTTGTTGTAATTTCTTTTTATCTTTCTATCTCCTTTTATTATTTAAGCCAGAAAGCTATATTTCACAGATGTTTCTAAGACACCAGGCAAGGCTACTATCAGTATGTGTAGCAGCCAGAGCTTCCCGCGTCTTTCTATTTTCAAAGATGAACTGTAAAAATCACCTTCACAATGTATGTCCCTAAGCCATAGATTACAAAGATTTCTGGGTCTGTGGGGAGTGCCCGTGGTTCCACAATTAGCTGAACCCCTGACCTCGCCGCTTAACAGCAGTTCATTTGGCTTCTAAATGCCATCCAGCCGGCCGATGTCAGTTTAGATACAGCATTTTTCTGTAGCCTGGGAACAAAGGTCACTGTTTTCCTCATTCTTCCGGTGCCTGGGAATCCCCTGTCTTTTCTCACCCTTTGTAGGTGCTGCAAATGTGTCCATCTCTGCATTGATCTGCTTCTAGGGTAAGCAGCCCTCACAGTTGGAGCAGATAAAGACAGACAAGAATGGAATGAAAGAGTTTTACACCAGGCTTCCCTCTTCTGTTTCTCTTCTTTGTAGACTCAGGCTGTGAACATGAAATTTGAATCAAGGTGATAAACAGCATCAAGGTTTCCCATAATCTCTGGTGGGCCCAGGCACATCATTCTTTCCCGTTTCAAGTGTTGTCCTCGGAATAGCCCAGGATAGCATCTGAACACGTGGAAATGGCACTGGGTTAGATGTCAAGAGACCTGCGACGTGGTCTCGGCTAAGCGCCCTATTATTCCCGTGGGCATATGAAGGCCTCCTGACCTATCTAAAACGGCTGTGAGAAGCAAGTGAAGCAGGCTTGTGGAGGTGCTTATACACACTCTCTAGCAGGCAGACAGTCGATTTTCTATCATTTTAATAAAAGTGGTGATGGGGCGCTCTGATTCCTCCATTAAGGATGATGGATTGAGCACACTCGTTTAGCTCCACTCCTATCTGTGTCCCCAGTAAAATGAGGGTAGAAAGTTTCAGTGAGGACATAAAGTCACTATGACAAAGAGATTGAGTCACAAGGTCATATAACAGATACATGTGTGTAATATAGATACGTGTGCATACTTTTTTTTTTTTTCACACAGAGTCTTGCTCTGTCACCTAGGCTGGAGTGCAGTGGCGAGATCTTGGCTCACTGCAATCTCTGCCTCCTGGGTTCAAGTGATTCTCCTGCCTCAGCCTCCCAAGTAGCTGGGACTACAGGCACACGCCACCATGCCTGGGTAATTTTTGTATTGTTAGTAGAGACAGGGTTTCACCATGTTGGCCAGGCTGGTCTTGAATGCCTGACCTCGTGATCCACCCACTTCGCCCTCCCAAAGTGCTGGGATTACAGGTGTAAGCCACCGCTCCTGGCCCGTGTGCATGATTTTTTTTTAAAGCAGGGGCATAACTAACTGATCACTGGCAGAGTGCATTCTGGACAGATGCATTCTAAGTCAGCCAATGGGAAAAGCTGAGATGCAACTCAATTTGCATCCAGGTCCTTGAAAAGCCTCAGGAATGGATAGCATGGGTACCTTTGGAAGGGAGGGTAAACTAGGAGCTTAAAAGAAGATGGTTGGTGAAAAGTGTTTTCAAAACATTTAGATGCACAGATCCCTTTCCTAACTCTGCATGTTAGTGATACCGATGCTGGAGTTTCCTGAGGAAACGTTCAGTGAAGCCAGAAGAGACAACCCTCCTTCTCCCCATTTATGCAGTTTCCAGTCTGCTTTCTGCACCTCTCTGACACTCACGAGCAAACAGCCAAAGATCACAGAACATCTGAGGCGGATTCCAGAAGAGACAAACAAAAAAGCAACTTGAAGTAAACAGAAACTATGCAAGAACATGAGATTACACCTCACCCACCAATGAAAGCAAACAAACAAACAAACAAACAAGAAACCAACAACCATGATTACTCTGAGAGAGATAACAGCAGATTCTACACCTTGGTAACAAAATAGAGTTGTTTAAGAAAGGAAAGAATAGTCATATGGTGAACATATTGCATAGCTCTGCTATTTACACAATTCATAATACTTACACAGTCCAAATAATGTAATCCACTCTGGTATCATCAAAGGTAGATCAGGAGAAGTGGGCAGTAATGGGCAATGAAATCTACACCCTCATTTTCCATTTGGGAAGGTAACAGCCAAGCCTTGAAGTGAAAAAAGCAAAAGTCACATTATAAACAATGATAGAGGCATAGATATCAATATGAAAAGAAATAGCCAAAATGATTAAAAGTGATCACCTTGAGGATGAGGAAATAGATCAGCTGGGGGATAAGAAGGGGACTGGTAGACTGGTATTTTTGGTAATGAGCTTTGGAGAACTATTTGACTCCTTAAATTATGTATATTTCAGCTGGGTGTGGTGGCTCACGCCTATAATCCCAACACTTTGGGAGGCCGAGGCAGGTGGATCGCTTGAGGTCAGGAGTTCGAGACCAGCCTGGCCAAAATGGTGAAACCCCGTCTCTACTAAAAATACAAAAATTAGCCAGGTGTGGTGGTGCACCCCTGTAATCCCAGCTACTTAGGAGGCTGAGGCACAAGAATTTCTTGAACCTGGGAGGTGGAGGTTGCAGTGAGCCGAGATTGCGCCACTGCGCTCCAGTCTGGGCAACAGAGAAAAACTCTGTCTCAAAACAAATATAGGCCGGGTGCGGTGGCTCATGCCTGTAATCCCAACACTCTGGGAGGCCAAGCCGGGCAGGTCACGAGGTCAGGAGATCGAGACCATCCTGGCTAACACAGTGAAACCCTGTCTCTACTAAAAAATACAAAAAATTAGCTGGGCATGGTGGTGGGTGCCTGTAGTCCCAGCTACTCAGGAGGCTGAGGCAGGAGAATGGTGTGAACCAGGGAGACGGAGCTTGCAGTGAGCTGAGATTGCACCACTGCACTCCAGCCTGGGTGACAGAGCGAGACTCCATCTCAAAAAATATATATATATTATATATAATTTATATATATTATATATAATATAATAATATTATATATAATATATAATAAAATTGATTATGTACATTTCATGTTTTAAATAAAAAGCAAATTGTGAAAGAGCTTTGCCTCTGAAGTCAGATTGTCTAGATTAGTAACTGGTTCTCTTCACTGGCTCCCTGCAAAAAGCCTTGGAAAATCTACTTAAACTCTGTGCACCTCTATCTAGTTCCCCTTCTGTTTAGGTGGGATAGTAAGAATACCGCCTTATAGAAGAATTGTTAGGATTAAATGAGATCATTCATGTAAAGCACATAGCTTGGAACCTGATAGGCAGTATATGCTCAGGACTACCTGCTGTTGTTCTCACTGATGTTTTTCCTACCCCAGAGATCTGATTTAATTGGTCCAGGGTGCAGCCTGGATATAAGGAGTTTTCAACTCAACGCAGGTGATTTTAAGGTACAGCAAAGGTGGAATACCAGTGGCCTGCAGCCTAGAGGAAGCTTCCATGCAGAAGTGGGTGAGGATATGTAATTACTGCCACAAAATAGCTGATTCCAGATGTTTCCTTGTCGGTCATTCCACTTCAGCCCTACACTACCCCGATGATAAGGAAATGGAGTGTTAACACCACCGTACTCCTCATTTTATGAGTTACCCATCTGAAAAAGTTGACTGTAAGCAGTTATCTAAATTGAACCCCATGTACTCTCTTAATTAGGTTTGATTTCAGAGATAAATTCCCACAGGAGAATGCTGACCCTAAGAGATACCAAAACTCAGGCTTAAGAATGTAGCAAAAAAATTTAAGAATGTACAATTTAACAAGAGACAATGATATGAAAACTATGAATAAGCTCTACATTTGTGTTGGGTTCAGCTATTGGCATCTTGAAAGCCCATAGTTTGAACCAATATCAAAAGCTTGGGCGGGGGGGGGGAAACCAATGTATTTCATCTTTAGACATTTTACAGATCCGCCTCCAAATTTCCAGGTTTAAAAATGGCAGTACTCCAACACAAGTCAAGTTAGCCTGTGCAAAAGTGGGAATTAATAGGCTCTGGTAGCTGGGAAGGCCGCTGTTGAAACCAGCAGAATAAAGGAAAGAACAGCTGGGACCAGCACCCGGAATGCCAGGATTGCAACTGATTGTAGTCACTAGGTTTCAGGGGCCATTCAGTGTTTCAGCTGAGCGTTTCAGGTTTCAGCTACACGGTGATGAAAATTATGACATCAACAACAAACAGAAAAATAAATATATAGTGTGCAAAAATTACAAAAAAAATAGCCGTGTCAGAAGACAGAGAATTGTGTGAGTGGAGGGGAGGGGTGTGGTGGGGTAGGGAAGGCCCTACTACTAAGGTGACATTGAATAAAGGCCTGCAGGGCTTAGGGGGTGAGCCCTGCCATCTTCCAGGCAGATAGAATAGCCAATACAAAGACGTGAAGCTGGGAACGTGCATGTTCTGTTCAAGGAACAGTGGGGAGGACCGTGAGCAGAGGTGGACAGCAGGTTGCAGGGAGTGGCAAACTACCGTAAGGCATTGGCTTTTACTGTGAGTGAGATGGGAATCATTTGGAGAGTTTGAGCAGAGGAGCGACAGAATGTAAGGACTGTTTCAAAGCTCTCTAGCCAAGCAGACAACAACCAAATGACCTCTTTGCTATATGGAAACTAGCCTATGCGGAAGCAAAGCAGAGAGCAGGGAGACCAGATAGAACACCACTGTTGTTTTCTAGGAGAGACCTTCTGCCCTCTGGACTTAAGATTGTCAAAGTGGGCCTGGTGAGATGTCATTACATCATCAGAATTTGGTTCTCTTTCAAAGGTGGAGATGAAAGACCTCGCTGATGGGTTTCACATGGGGTTGGGGAGAGCGAGGAGTTGTGGTCGACTCCACACTCCCAGGACTCTCCCTGTCATGCAGCTTCATGCCCGCCTGCATTTATCTTTCATCCCTGCCACCTGTCTGTCGGCCTCATTCCAAGTCTCCCCATGTCAGGTAATAACACGGTGCCCAAGAGCCCCAAATTCACAGCCTCCTATGGAGCAACCATGGATATTTACTTTATATTTATCGGACCTTGGCAAGACCCAGTTTGACCCTTGGGTCAATCACTAACGTCAGGACAGAATGATTGGTCACACCTGAATACATACCTACCCCTGTGGCCAGGGAAGCAGGCAGCCTTCTGGAACTGGTGAATTAGGAGAGGCTTTCTTGGCGAGCAAAACAAACAAACAAAAAAAAACAAAGTTAGCGTAGTCTCACCACCAACTACAACCCAAGTTGTTTTTCCTTTGAGTTCAGTCCTCTTCCCTTGGATCCTGAAGATTCTACCCCAAACCCAGAGCAGCTTCCAATATGGGGAACTCACTCACCTCAAAAAGAATATTGCTCTTTCAGTATAGAACAATAAGAGATCAAATTCAAAGCCATAGTAATTCTGAATCTGGCTTCAGGGCTCAGGTTAGCCTGTCACTCAAAAGCAACTGGAACTGGGAAAGAGGAAGAGGGAGAAGGTTTTTCCCTAACTGCAGGAAAGCTCTTCCATCCCACACCAGCTTAATTGTTGAAAGAGAGCCGCCTTTAAACGCTTTAGACAAAATCTGGATGGAGAGGCACTTCCAACGAGTTCTTTCATCCTGAGATGTTTTAGGGCAAGACACACCTGCATTTTTTATCCTACCCAGGGCTTACTGAGCTCTTTGTCAGTTGAGGATTCTTGGCCTTAAACCAGCTCCACCACTAGCATTTGTGTGCTTTGGAAAAAACCTCTCTGCTGAAGAATTGAGAAAGTAGTCCATGGTCTCAAAGTAATGACACACTGTGGCGATACAGGATCTTGAAATGTGTGGGTAAGATGTGGCAGGGGCCTCGTGTGCTGTGACGTTGGCTGCCCGGCCACATTAACCCTCAGTGACTTCCCTGAGCCCAGGGTCTCATTGCCCATCCCACTGCAACTGCTATCTTCATCCTTCCTTTTAGAACACCTGCTCCCACAGTCCCTGAGAAAGAACTGTTCTATGTTGACAGTTCACCCCAACCCCAAACCACCTTGGGCTGTTTACAGTAAATACTGCACACTAGTGAGGTCTTATTGATCTCTTTCTTCCCAGACACCTTCCCAGCCCCTCCCTCCCTGCTCTCATTTCTGTGTCTGCCACCTGGAAGCAGCAAATGCGGCTCGGCTTGCTTTTCTGCATACCAGAGGCAATGATAATATTTACCGTGGCAGTTGGAGGACTTTGCTGCAGTCTTCACAGCTCTGGCACTCAGGTTGCAGTGAGATCCAGGGAGAGCCAGAAGTGAGGCGCCCAGAGAAGTGTTCACTTGTGGCTCGAAGTCCAGGTGTGATACTGCATGAAAACCCCCCGATTTGGCCATCCAGAGCATGGTAATCAAGAAACGCCTAGATGTTTCCAAAAATGGATTGGGTGTCCCTCCAAGTGTTCATGAAAAGGTTGAATTTCCTCTTGGTGGGGAGTTACAGAGGAGATTAGCAGATCAGGCTGAATTAGGTAAGTTGTCTCCAAAACAGATTCACATATCCCAAAAGGAACAAAGCTAATCCATTAAGGCACAGGAGAAAATATTATCATTTTATTTATTTTTCTTTTTAAATATAATTTTTGTATATGTCTTAAAGTATGTTGGTACAGAAGTATGTCATTTATAAATGAATAAATATACATCAATTGAGGTTACATACTCAAATTATTTTTATTGCTTAGGACAACTGAGCCAAACCATTTGAAGCCCATTAAATTAGGAGATGCCTAGGCTCTTTTCTCACACCGAAACTGGGGTGTTCTGTAGTTTTATGTTCTGGGACAAATTCTGCCATGATAGACCTGAGAAGGGGAGAGAGGAGGAAACTGACAATTGAGGCAACTGGTCTCGGCTGGGCGCAGTGGCTCACACCTGTTCACACCTGTAATCCCAGCACTTTGGGAGGCCAAGGTGGGCAGATCACTTGAGATCAGGAGTTTGAGACCAGCCTGGCCAACATGGTGAAACCCTGTCTGTACTAAAAATACAAAAATTAGCTTGGCATGGTGGTCAGCACCTGTAGTCCCAGCTACTCAGGAGGCTGAGGCAAGAGAATTGCTTGAACCCTGGTGGCAGAGGTTGCAATGAGCTAAGATTGTACCACTGCACTCCAGCCTGGGTGACAGAGGGAGACTCTGTCTCAAAAAAAAAAAAAAAAAAAAAAGGGCAACTGATCTCCCGGTGGTAGCCAGATTCTGTGGGCTTTCTGCTCTCTGAGACTCTTGATCCTCCCGGCCTCCTGGAACCTGGGATCATGGCGAACACTTGAGATGGAGATGAATGAGTTTACAGGCACAGGACAGAGGATGGGCTGGTTGTTGCCCCTTGGAGACATCCAGGGGCTCTGTCTCTTCTGGGGGTGCAGCTTCAGCAGGCAGTGGGACCAGGCTGGATCTGATACAAAGAGAATGATGGCTTCTAGTCTTAGAGACTGTGCCGCCTAGATGGCATCATCCTAGTTCTGTTGAGGATTTTTGCCTGATTCAGGCCATGTTATCTCCAGCTTTAAAGTGGAAAGGTTAGCAGGAATTTCTGATGTCACAGAAAAAAATTAAAAATGAAAACATCAACTGGAAAGGCCTGTCTGCTGATCATTTGGCTTAACTCTGGGTGCTTTGTAATTCCTCTTCGGAGGTTTAATAGAAGATTTTTCTTAACCTTTCCACTTTTTTGTACTCTTTTATCATCCAACTACTCTCATTTATTGTTTCATCACTTTTCTTCTTGCCATTATTCATTCCACCTTCCTCCTTTCTTCTGAGGATGCCTGACCATCTGTGCCCCTCTCCCCCAGGCAGTACATTTTGCCAGTGACTCCATTCCATTCAGCAATCATTTCATAAAGAACCTCTGGGGAGTGTGAACCTTCACTTCAGTTGCTCAACATTGATATGGATTGGCGGTGTGTCCCCATCCAAATCTCATCTTGAATTGTGACTCCCATAATTCCCACCTGTTGCGGGAGGGACCTGGTGGGAGATAATTGAATCATGGGGGCAATTTTCCCCATATTGTTCTCATGGTGGTGAATAAGTCTCACAAGATCTCGTGGTTTTATAAGGGGAAGCCCCTTTCACTTGGTTCTCATTCTCTCTTGTCTGCTGCCATATAAGACGTGCCTTTCAGCTTCCGCCCTGATTGTGAGGCCTCCCCAGCCACATGGAACTGCGAGCCCATTAAAACTCTTTTTCTTTATAAATTAACCAGTCTCGGGCATGTCTTTATCAGTAGCAACAAATACACCATTCCCTGCAGTGCTTCTCACCTATCCTCCCAAACTGCTCCTGCCTGGGAAATTCTCACTGATATTTTTAAAAACACAGCTTAGACATCACCTCTTGCAGAAGCCTTCTCTACTTCCTTATACACCATCCAAACAAACTAATCACTCCCTTCATTATACTGTCTGCGTATGTGTCTTTCATGGCATCGATGATGTTTGGTTGCACGGATACATTGGCGTATCTGTCTCCTCTCCCTCTGCTGGTCTGTAAACTCATTCATGGCCAAGCCTGAAACCCTTTTTACCATCTTCTAGCACAGTGCCCGGTGCATAGCAGGTTCTTAAGAAAGTGAGTGAATAAAGGAATGAAGGAGATTTGAAGTCAGCTACTCTTTCTTGGTCTTCTTGTGGGTTCACCAGAGCTTAGCCAGCTGCAGAGCTAATAACAACAACAACAAAGCTAGCATTTATTGTGTGCTTTCCTTTGTTCTCAGTGAGAAACCAATTACACATATCACTGGTTGAGTGGAGACCACCAGACCAATTAATTATATACTCCTTTCACTAAGAAGCAGCGCCCTTCTCCCCACTTACTTGGAAAGGATGTTCCAGGCTAAATAACAGTACCCTGCTGGCTTGGTTCTAATTGCCAGACTGTTTCTCAGGTTCATTTCTGTCTTTTAATCAAAGTTTACATACATCTTTGTTCCTGGATCTTAGTAATTCAAACCTTGCACCAGGAGCAGTAACATGTTCTTGCTCCCAGAAATGTATTGTACAATTTTCCAGTAACAAAAAGACTAAGTCCAATTGAAATACATTTTTTTTCTTTGAGACAGGGCCTCACTGTGTTACCCAGGCTGGAGTGCAGTGGTGCAATCACAGCTCACTGCAGCCTCGACTTCGCAGGCTTAAGCACATCTCCCACCTCAGTTTCCCAAGTATCTGGGACCACAGGTGCGTACCACCAAGCCCAGCTAATTTTTCTTATTTTTTGTAGGGATAGGATCTCCTTAAGTTGCCCAAGCTGATCTTGAATGCCTGGGCTCAAGCAATCCGCCTGCCTCGGATTTTCAAAATGCTGGGATTACAGATGTGAGCCACCATGTCTAACCTGAAACACAGTTTTAAATGAACACAATTTGTTGTTGTTGTCTTCTCCACCAAAGAAAATTAGTTCTTTAAAGACTCACCAAGTTAAAAAATAAATAAATAATACAATTTATCAACTTTAGTTTCTAATTTCTTCAACTGATCCCTCATTCACAGCCAGGAAAAATCACACTTTTTTCTTTTATATCTGATCTCTCTCTCTCTCTCTGTCTCTGTCTCTGTCTCTGTCTCTCTCTCTCTCTCTCTTAGAGACACACACACACGCACACAGGCTGGAGCCATGAAACTTTAATTCCCAGGCAATGAAAGCTTTTGCACAGGTGAGAGCTTTACTCTCGGCCTTACAACCGAGTCAGGTCTTACAACCCAAATCCTCCTATTAGCAGCTGCCCAGAAACCGACAGAACCTGGGAGAATAATCTACCCCACTCTGGCCTCTGCCAGAACTTGCCTTTTCTTCCCAGTCCCCACTCCCAGACTGACACACCCATCCCAACAATGTGTCCACGAAGAAAAACCCTCTTGAAAGGCATGGAGAGCCCCTTTTTAATGTTACAGGCATGGCTGTCCTGTAACATTAAAAATATATCCTCCCCTCTCTGGTTGAAGCTGTAATCACCCAGTGACATCATAGTGTAGCCTGGAAAACTAAAAATTGAACTAATAACCAAACATCCAGGTTCTAAGATCATCATCCATGCGATACCTGTGAGACCCATGATGTTTCATTAAGCCTCTCTGAGCCTCTCTGGGTCATTTGCAAATTGGGCAAAATTGCATTTTCTCCTCTTTTTCCTTCTTTCTCTCTGTCTCAACTGACCACTCTCTTATTCTCTCTGCTTCTGTCTAAGGCCATTGCGAGGACAAACAAGATAATGTTTGTGAAATGCCTTAAATTCCTCCAAAGGAGGTTTATCAATTCAAAACACTATTGATTTTTGAGATGTTATTTTTAGTGCTATGCCAACGCTGCTAAAATATTTGTATTGATGAAAAGAGTTCTGTGGACAGATGGTGATGGTGGTACAACACTGTGAATGCCCTTGATGTCACTGAACTGTACACTTAAAGATGGTTAAAAGAGTAAATTTTACGTTATATGTATTTTACTGCAATTTTAAAAATAAATGTATGCAGCCATGAAAAAGAATGAGTTTTTGTCCTTTGCAGGGACATGGATGAAGCTGGAAACCATCATCCTCAGCAAACTAACACAGGAACAGAAAACCAAACACCGCATGTTCTCACTCGTAAGTGGGAGTTGAACAATGAGAACACATGGACACAGGGAGGGGAACATCACACACCGGGGCCTGTCAGGGAGTGGGGGGCTAGGGGAGGGAGAGCATTAGGACAAACACCTAATGCATACGGGGCTTAAAACCTAGATGATGGGTTGATGGGTGCAGCAAACCACCATGGCACATGTATACCCATGTAACAAACCTGCACATTCTGCACATGTATCCTAGAATTTAAAGTAAAATTAAAAAGTAAATAAATAAAATAAATGTATGAAAATAAATCACTGCAGCAACTAAAATCTTTATATTGTTCAGGTAACTCTCTGTGCCCCCATGTTTCTCAATTTGTGTGATTGCTCTTGTGTTTGGTGTAGAATTTTCACAGAGGATAAGAAAAGGGGTTTATTTCACTCCTTCTTCCCATGTAATAGATGAGGAATGAGGCCCATTCGAATGAAAGGGCCAGCTCCAATGTAAGTTTCCTAATTCAAGGTCAAATGCAGTCGTCATAGAGGAAAGTAACACATCATCCTATGTATTGTCAGTAGCAACAACTCATGATATTAGTAGCTATCATAACAAAAATCTGTAAGAAGAGCCCCCATCAGCACACCCACTCCTACTGGCCCTAGGAGAAGAGAGAGCTACAGAGAACTGCTCCCAGCTTGGTGCAAGCTCGCAGCATTGCCCCATCCCCTCCTGGGAGGGCACACCCCACAGCAGCTGCTCTGGGACTGACAAGCAAGGGCGGGGCTGCCACCTGGAGCGGACCTGATTTCCGTCCACCTCTCCCTCAGCTTTCAAAGTGACCAGTTCGCAATGCTCTGCCATCTCAGAGAACTGAAAGCCAAGTTTCGCCCGAGAATGGGCACTTTACAACCGGCTTATAAACTGTAATCAAGGGGCTCTCCGAGACGTTGACACAACCTCCAGCTAGCCTGACCAAGTGGCGCCACAGGAGCTGGCCCTGGTTCCTTCTGGAGAGTGCTCTCCCTGGAAACAAATGTGCTGAACGTGCTGTGTCATCACCAGGCAGGGCAGAGTCCTGGGAAAGGAGGCACAGCTGCATGAGTCACAGAGAGACTTCTAGAAAAGCAGAGCAAGAAAGGGCTGCAGTGATCTAGACAAAGCCCATCTTTCTGTAGATAAGGATCTGAGGACAGGCACCCAGGGTGGGGTCAGGCCAGCAACCTGCCCAGGGCCGCCATCCATCAGCTGCATCTAGGAGTGGACACCACACCATTTAACAGCCGGCGTCCAGCGTTCTTGCCCCCAGTGCCATCCCACCCGTAGCCCGAGAGGCAGAAGGGTACGGTGGGAAAACACGCACTTATAAGCCAGACCCAGCTATGCATCCCATCTCCCTTCATGGCTCCAAAGCTTTGGGCAAGTCACTGTCTCTGAGCCTCAGTCTCCTCATCTATAAAACGGGCATAATAATTCTCATCTTTCAAGGTTAACGTAGGATTAAATTAAGTGATGTGTGTAAAGTGTTGGTGCAGTTTCTGGCAGAACAAGTGTCCCACAAGTGGTAGCTATGACTTATGACTATTAATATTACCTTGGCCACTACAGTTCTCTGTGCATGATGGTCCTTATCTGGGGCAGGATTCCCAATGCCCTGTGGGTCCTGCTTATTGGATTAGGCCAGATTCAGAGCGCAGAGTGAGGCCGCAGATCAGAATGGGGCAGAGGACAGAGAGAAGGCTTCCCTCCATAGATGGAGTGCCAGTAGGTAGGAGGGACTCCAGGCAGCTGGCTCATGTATGCCCAGGACACCATGTTCTTTGGGATTATCTGACACCACAGGGGAAATTAGATGGCTTCTAGAAAAATAAATAAATAAATAAATAAAAAACAAGAACAGCAAAGACTGAAGCCCCTATATTTTGAGACTGGAAAAGAAGAGGCTGTCCCACTTCACCAGGCTTCAGTGACTTGAGCAAATAAAATGCACAACTTGCCCTTCAAGCACACGCAAAAGAGCATCCAGGGAGCTCTGTCGCTGATTTGAGAGGGCCACAAGGAATGCTGGATGGTTTCCTTGTCTCAGCACATGGTAACATGGTACACCTCGGCTAGGGGTCCTCAAAGCGTGGTTCTCAGTCCAGCAGCATCAGCATCACCAGTGAGCTTGTTAGAAATGAAGAAACTCCTGCCCCACCTTTACCTACGGAATCGGAAACTCTGAGGATAGGCTCCAGGAAACTGTTTACCAAGCCCTCCAGGCAATTCTTAGCTCTGTTCCATGGCTGTCAATCTTGGCTGTACCTGAGAAGTCAAGGCTACACCCCAGGCCAATTTAATCGGAGTCTCTGGGATTGGACCAGGCACCAGGTTTTTAAAAAACTCCACCAGTGATTTCAATGTGCAGCCAAGCTTGAGTCCCACTGGTTCAGAACAAGAATTTGAATGGATCTGTAAGTAATTCATAATGTTTGTTAGAATCCCGCAACATAAAACAGTAGCCATCAACTCCAAATACTGGGGACCTACCTCTTTTCCTGTGTTTAGTGTTTCTGTTTTATTCCTGCCACTACTTCTTCAACGGTTCTGTGCAAATTCCGTATCCTAGAGAAGTTTCGAATACACTTGTTACCCCTACATATTCACCCACCAGTACCACTGTTGATTCAATGAAGTTGAATTCTTTGGCTCATGCTAAGGAAGACTGAAGAGGAGCCTCCATTCATTCCAGACCCTTAGGATGCCACGCAAATTTGCACACTAGAGATAACTATGTTTCTGACATGTATGTCTCTTTTCTGTTGGATTTTGTCTAGTGTTCTTGTTATGTTTATGCATTTATTCAGCTTTTAATTCAGATCAGCACCAAAGCAGGCTAATAAGGCCGCCTTTTTTGTTGTTGTTGTTGTTGTTTTCTTTCTTTCTTTTTTTTCTGAGACAGAGTCTCACTCTGTTGCCCAGGCTAGAGTGCAGTGGCGCGATCTCCGCTCACTGCAAGCCCCGCCTCCCGGGTTGACGCCATTCTCCTGCCTCAGCCTCCCGAGTAGCTGGGACTACAGGCGCCCGCCACCACAACCGGCTAATTTTTTGTATTTTTAGTAGAGACGAGGTTTCACCGTGTTAGCCAGGATGGTCTCGATCTCCTGACCTCGTGATCCACCCGCCTCGGCCTCCCAAAGTGCTGGGATTACAGGCGTGAGCCACTGCGCCTGGCAAGGCCGCCTTTGTTTTATGTTTTCTTCAGCCTTTGAAACGCATAAAGGTTTCACCTGATACTTAACATCAGTGAGAGGGGGTGATTCTCACCAGTGCTTCCTCAGCTGGGGGATCAAGGGGCAAGGATAGGAAAACAGAATCAGTTATTCTTGAAGTTTTCTGTGGATTATACTGCAAGAAAGCTGGTCAGTAGACTTAGGATCAACTCTTTCAGGTCCTAATGAAAGTACTATATTTTTTATATATATGTAAAATATATATATATATATTTAAAAATAGGGCAGTAGAATAGTACAAGATGTTGTCATAAAGGCTAAGCTTATGCCCTTAGCTTCAGATCAATTACTTGGAAGGTTTAGAAGTCCTCCAAGAGCCCAATTTAGAAATATGTACAGTTTGTGGAGTTAACAATCTTCAGTCTGCCAATATAAAACAAATGTTAATTCACAGAGTGTTTCCCAGGGTGCCATTTTCCACGAAGTCTCCAGGAGTTCTGAAAAGACTCTATTTATGCAGCAATGAATATTGAGTATTATTGGCCATGTTTCTCCTCACACGTTAAGGTGAAAAATCATTCTGAATCAGAAACTCTGCTGGGCTCCTGGAAGCTGTTTACCAAGACCTCCAGGCCATTCTTAGGCACATTGCAATTTGAGAATCACTGACCTAGGCTGTGTCTCCTGAGCTCTGCTCAAGGGTTGTCAATCTTGGCTGCACGTAAGAAGTCAAGGCTGCACCTCAGGCCAATTAAATCAGAATCTCTGGGAACTTTTCCATTTTAGCACGGAAAGTCCCACATCCTGGGAAACCCTTCTATCCCAGGCAAACTGAGACAGTTGACCACCCTATATTCTCCCCAGATTTCCTCGCCCACCATCTCATTCTTTTTTTTTTTTGGTTCATAAATCCTTTCTGTGTATGATTCATGATGCACTACCTCATCTCAGAACATCAGCACTTGTGCTTAGAAGAAAACACACACACACACACACACTCACACACACAGTCACTAAACGTTCCCAGTTCCTCAAATGCTACTGCAAATATATTCATGTATTTGTTTCTAATTTCTACTTTGCATTTTCCCATTGCCATCACCACCTTATCTCTCCACAGGGATGATTCCGAAAACATCTTGTTTTTTTTTAAATCAGATCGACAGAACAAATGTAGGAAAGAAAGAAAAGTGACTCCTACGTGTCAGAGCTGAATGTGGATGAAAGAGTCCATCATAAAAATTAAAGAATGCCTTTTTTTAATCCAGTGAAATAAATCTTTATTGCCTGACCCTTCTGTGCCAGATACTGTGCTACTCAGCATCTGCAGAGCACCAGACAAGTCACCTATGTCAGGCTGAGAAATGAGACAAGTGTGCTCCCTTAACTCAGTAACACTCACCAGTACCCTAGATTGCTTTGTTCCTTGACTTCCCATCAGACTGGAAAAACACGACTGTGCTTTTTGCCATTTCTTATCTTGGGCTGTTAAAAAATCAGCTGGATCTACTACCAATTCATGCTTTCTAACTTCAGGGCTTCTCCAAAGTTATAATAAACTTAATTTCTCACAACAGTTCCAAATATTTTCTACTCAGCACCTTAGCCCTCTGTCAGGCAGCCCATGACTTTGTCACCTACCTTCCTGAGATCAAAATCCTTTCTTAAAAATAATTTCAACTTGTATTTTAGATTTAGGGGGTACATGTGCAGGTTTGTTATGTGGATATATTGCATAATACTGAGGTTTGGGGTACAATTGATCCTGTCACCTGGGTAGTAAGCATAGAACCCAATGGTTAGTTTTTCATTTCTGACCCCTTTCCTTCTCTTCCTCCTCTAGGAGTCCCCAGTGCCTATTGTTGCCATCTTTTAAATTTTCTTTTGAGACAGGGTCTCTCTTTTGTCACCCAGGCTGGAGTGCAGTGGCACAGTCTCAGCTCACTTCCGCCTCTGCCTCCCAGGCGCAAGCGATCCTCTCACCTCAGCCTCCCAAGTAGCTGAGACTACAGGCATACCTCACCACACCCAGCTATTTTTTTGTATATTTTGTAGAGACAGGGTTTTGACATTTTGCCCAGGCTGTTCTCAGACTCCTGGGTTCAAGTGATCTGCCCAACTTGGCCTCCGAAAGTGCTGGGATTAGGGATTACAGGCACGAGCCACTGTGCCTGGCCTGTTGCCATCTTGATGTCCATGAGTGCCCACTGCTTAGCTCCCACTTATAAGTGAGAACGTATGGTATTCGGTTTTCTGTTCCTGCATTTGCCTAGAATTATGGCCTCCGGTTGCATCCACGTTGCTGCAAAGGACACAATTTCATTCTTTTTTATGGCTACATGGTAATCCATGGTGTATATGTACCACATTTGCGTTATGCAGTCCGCCACTGACACTACCGTGAAGTCCTGCGATGAACATACAGGTGTACATGTCTTTTTGGTAGAACAGTTTATTTTCTTTTGGGCATATAACTAGTAATGAGATTCCTGGGCCGAATGGTAGTTCTGTTTTAAGTTCTTTGAGAAAATGAGATGGAGATCATTGGATGGAATTTCAGCTAACATTGACTCTTCTACATTAAATTTTCTCTGGTTCATCATGGTCATTTTCTCTTGCCCTTTTGTCTTTTTTTTCATCTTTTAACACCTCTCAGATATGTGTAGCCTCTCTTGTCTTAAATAAGGAAATATATTTTCCCCTCCTTGAAGCTACTTCCTTTTTCCTTTATCACTTCCTCTTTTAACTTGTTTTGTCAATAATTACTCGTCTGATGTATTTTTTTTGTCTTTTGACTTCTCTTCAACATGCAAATGTGTTTACATCACAATTATTCTTAAGAAAAACAAGAGGCGATCTGATTTCACCACAACTCTGGAATTCCCACACCTTTCCCTCTTTTTTGTGCCTCCCCTCCCCCTTCTCATCTCCCATCCTTCTCAGCCTTGTGCAGTCTGGGATTTGCTCCTGCTAAACTGAAATCTTCTCTCAGGGGGTGCCAGTAAACTACTTGTAAAATGCAATGCCTCTTCAAAACTCTCATCCATTCCAGTGTCTGCATCCAGAGAAATGCAATGCCTCTTCAAAACTCTCATCCATTCCAGTGTCTGCATCCAGAGAAATGCAATGCCTCTTCAAAACTCTCATCCATTCCAGTGTCTGCATCCAGAGTGCCACGACACTTTTTTTTTTTCTGAGATGGAGTCTTGCTCTGTCACTCAGGCTGGAGTGCTGTGGCACTATCTTGGCTCACTGCAACCTCTGCCTCCCAGGTTCAAGCGATTCTCCTGTCTCATCCTCCCAAGTAGCTGGGATTACAGGCACCTGCCATCATGCCCAACTAAGTTTTTTGTATTTTTAGTAGAGACAGGGTTTCATCATTTGGCTAGGCTGGTTTTAAACCCCTGACCTCAAGTGATCCATCCGCCCGCCTTGGCCTCTCAAAGTGCTGAGATTACAGGTGTGAGCCATTGTGCTGGGCTTTTTTTTTTTTTTTTTTTTTTTTTTTTTAGAAGAATCTCACTCTGTTACCCAGGGTGGAGTGCAGTGGCATGATCTTGGCCTCACTGCATCCTGTGCCTTCCAGATTCAAGAGATTCTCCTGACTCACCCTCCTGAGTACCTAGGATTACAGATGTGAGCCACCATGCCTCGCTAATTATTATTATTATTATTTTTTGTATTTTTAGTAGAGATGGTTTTTTACCATGTTGGTCAGGGTGGTCTCCAACTCCTGACCTCAAATGATCCACCCACCTCAGCCTCCCAAAATGCTGGGATTACAGGTGTGAGCCACCACACCTGGCCAAGAGCACAACAACACTCTATGTGTCATTAGAACTACCCCTTGTGACTCCTCTCACCTTACACATGCCGATTCTCCTTGTCGTGCTCCCACAAGGCCGTGTCGCCTGCTTCTGTTCCTTGCCCAGTCCTTGGTCTCCTTCTAGCCCCACTCTGTTCCTCTTGCAGTGTCATGGCCTTCAGCTGCAGCTCCGTTCAGTTGGCTCCCAGATCTACAGCTTCATCCCTGAACTCTCTGCTGAGTTTTCTATCCACGTTTCCAAACAACAAATGGAACAGCTCCACATGGGAAAATTCAAAGATCCTCAAACTCATTTTGCCCAAAACTAAGTTCATCATTATTATCATCATCATCTCCAAAACCTGTCTCCGTGTGTTTTCTATGAGTCACTGAGTCCACCTTGCTCGATATTCCTGCTTGATTCTTGACTCTTTTCTCTTGCTCACATCTCAGCATCTGCCAAATAACAGCATGAACTTTATTATTATTAGAACTTTTTTATTACAAATGCAGAATTCCAAATCAAGTTAGATTAAACAAGGAAAAGGGATGTATTGGCCCATGAAAACAAAACGTAGAAAGGAAGTTTTCCCAGGAATGGGGGCAGATTTCTGCCTTCGCCTCTCATCTCAGCCTCTGTTTTGGCATGGCCTCATTCTTTCCAGCTTCTTCGTGTGGACGGGACCCAGGGCCACTGGCAGCTCTGAATGCATCCCCTGATAACAAGAATGAGAAGAGACACTTAGCATATACCAAGTACCATTCTAGGCATGAATTCTAGGCAGAGCTCATAAGGCAAGAAGAAAAAAAATTCTCTACTTCAGATTTATTTCTCAAAAGAAGACATACAAGTGCCCAAAAACTATGAGTACATGCTCAGTATCGCTAATCATCAGAGAAGTGCAAATTAAAACCCCAATGAGACACCATCTCAAACCAGTCAGAATTGCTATTATCGAAAAGTCTAAGTACAACAATTGGCGTGGATATGGAGAAAAGGGGACATTTCTACACTCTTGGTGAGAATATAAATTAGTACAACCTCTGTGGAAAACAGTATGGAGATTCCTGAGGGATCTAAAAATAGAACTACCTTTCGACCCAGCAATCCCAATGCTGGATATCTACCCAAAGGAAAAGAAATCATTCTATCAAAAAGATACCTGACCTGGCATGGTGTCTCACACCTGTAATCCCAGCACTTTAGGAGGCCGAGGTAGGCAGATCAAGACTGAGGTCAGGAGTTCAAGACTGGCCTGGCCAACATGGTGAAACCCCATCTCTACTAAAAACGCAAGAATCAGCCAGGCATGGTGGCAGGCACCTGTAATCTCAGCTATTTGGGAGACTGAGGCAGCAGAGTTGCTTGAACCCAGGAGATGGAGGTTGCAGTGAGCTGAGATCGTGACACTCCACTCTAGCCTAGGCAACAGAGTGAGACTCTGTCTCAAAACAAAACAAACAAACAAACAAAAAGACACCTGCACTCATATGTCTACCAAAGCACTATTCCCAAGAGCAAAGACAGAATCAATCTAAATGTCCATCACTGGATGACTGGATAAAGCAATGTGGTATGTATACAACATGGCATACTATGCAGTCATAAAAAAGGATGAACTCATGTTTTTTTGCAGCAACATGGCTGGAACTGGAGGCCATTATTTTTTTCTCCCAAGGACAGGGTGGTGTTCTTATTTTTTAAAATTTTTATCTCAATAGCTTTTGGGATACAACTGGTTTTTTGTTACATGGATAAATTCTATAACGAATTCTGAGATTTTGGTGCACCTGTCACCCAAATAGTGTACATTATCCCTAATATGTAGCTTTTTATCCCTAGCCTCCCTCCCTACCCTCTGCCTTCTGAGTCTTTAAAGTCCTTTATAGAGCTCTGTATAAAACCTCTGAGTACTCATAGCTTAGCTCCCACGTAGAAGTGAGAACATGCAGTTTTTAGTTTTCCACGCCTGAGTTACTTCACTTACAATAATGGGGAGGTCATTATCCTAAGTGAATTAACTCAGAAACAGAAAATCAAACACTGCATGTTCCCACTTCTAGGTGAGAGATAAACAATGGGTACACATGGACATACAGAGAGAAGTAATAGACACTGGGGATTTTAAAAGCGGAGGAGAAGGGGAGGGAGGCGAGAGTTGAAAAATTACCTGTTCGGTACAATGTCCACCATTCAGGTGATGGGTACACTAGAAGCTCAAACCTCACCATTATGCAATATATCCATGCAACACACCTGCACATGTACCCCCGGAATCTATAATTTTTTATAAAGGCCTGGCCGGGCGCAGTCACTCACACCTGTAATCCCAGCACTTTGAGAGGCCGAGGTGGGGGGATCACCTAAGGTCAGGAGTTTGAGACTAGCCTGGAGAACATGGTGAAACCCTATCTCTACTAAAAATACAAAAATTAACTGGGTGTGGATGAATGTGCCTGTAATCCCAGCTACTTGAGAGGCTGAGGCAGGAAAATTGCTTGAACTGGGGAGGCAGAGGTTGCAGTGAGCCGAGACCGTGCTGTTGCACTCCAGCCTGGGTGACAAGAGCAGGACTCCATCTAAAAAGACAAAAAAAAAAAAAAAAAAAAAAAAGGCGGGGTGCGGTGGCTCATACCTGTAATCCCAGCACTTTAGGAGGCCGAGGCGGCTGGATCACGAGGTCAGGAGATCGAGACCACCCTGCAGTGAAACCCCGTCTCTACTAAAAAAAAAAAAAATACAAAAAATTAGCCAGGCGTGGTGTTGGGCACCTGTAGTCCCAGCTACGCAGGAGGCTGAGGCAGGAGAATGGCGTGAACCCGGGAGACGGAGCTTGCAGTGAGCCGAGATTGTGCCACTGCTCTCCAGCCTGGGTGACAGAGCGAGACTCTGTCTCAAAAAAAAGAAAAAAGAAAAAAAATTACGAAGGCCAAATGGATAAATATTGGTATTGAACTTAGAAAACTGAAATTTAGAAAATTCACTAATGGAATATAATCTGGACCAGCATGAAATATAATCTGGTCCATACCGAATGGAACAATCACTGGGTCTGGAACCAGGAAGTAGAGTCACTTATCAGGCTTGGTGCATTTTCCCACCTTAAAGATTGGGTGTTTCAAGTAAAAGAGCCCTCATGAGGCATAGTAGGAGAAAGTGTGCATGGTGGACTCTGGGGCAAGAAACTGAAATCAGAAGCTCAATGGTGCTAATTAAAGTACACATGTCTTTGCATTATTTTATGAAAATTAAGGGGCCCAACAAAAAATGATTTCTAAATAGATGCCTCACCCACCAAAAACAAGCAAACAAACCCATACAGAAGAGAAACAAGACTTTCCTCACAACAGTTTTGGGAATACACCAAAACACAAATAAATGAATCATCAAGGCCTAAAGTTCTATGCCAAGAATTCCTAGCCCTTCAAGTACAGAATCCTCCTTAAAAATATTTTTTAATGTTTCAAATTTCTAAACGCTAGTGGCTGTCATGAGAAAATGTGTGATGCTGAGAAAAGAGTGCACCGTCGTGTAAGATCACTGGTTCAGCTTGCAGGCGATGGCTGATGCATTCCTTGTCGGCCTCTTGCACTGACTCCAAAGTCCCATGGAAGTCTTACAGTCACGGGTGAAATTTCGCTTTTCTTTCGTAGAGCGTTGGGAGGATTTGTACGTGGAAAACATTCAAAGTGCATTCTGAAATTGCCCACTGCAGCCATGCAGATCTCAATAATGTACCCATAGGATGTCTGTTCTACACAATTTTTCTTTCTTTCTTTTTTTTTTTTTTGAGATGGAGTTTCGCCTTGTTGCCCAGGCTGGAGTGCAATGGCTTGATGTCAGCTCACTGCAACCTCTGCATCCTGGGATCAAGTTTTTCTCCTGCCTCAGCCTCCTGAGTAGCTGGGGTTACAGGCATGCGCCACCATGCCGGGCTAACTTTGTATTTTTATTAGAGACAGGGTTTCACTATGTTCACCAGGCTAGTTTCAAACTCCTGACCTTGGGTGATCCTCCCACCTCGGCCTCCCAAAGTGCTGAGATTACAGACGTGAGCCACTGTGCCCAGCCTTTTTTTTTTTTTTTTTTTTTTTTCCAGACAGGGTCTCACTCTGTCGCCCAGGCTGGAGTGCAATGGAGATCCTCCCACCTTGGCCTCCTAAGTAGCTGGGACTTTAGGCATGCGCCACTGTGCCCAGTTAATTTTCGTATTTTTCTACAGATGAGGTCTTGCTATGTTGCTGAGGCTGGTTTCAAACTCCTGGGCTCAAGCGAGCCTCCTGTCTTGGCCTCCCAAAGCGTTGGGATCACAGGCTTGAGCTACCACACCTGGCCTCCACTGTCCCTTTCTAAGATAAATAATTACAAATTGCAACCTTAGGTAACTGCACAAGTGGAATTGATGTCATGGTTTTAGACCCCAGAATACTGTGCATGCAGATAGCACTTACGGTCGTGGATGGTATACTCTGTTTTTCTTCTGGTTCTACATTCACAGTTCCTCTGGGTGTTTATTGACTTCTCATTAATCAGAAGAGAATTTGTAAACATAATGAAGCCTAAATGGCGAGCAGATGAATATGAATTCCACAGCATGTATAAATTAAGCCTCCCACTGCAGCATCTGGGGGAGATAGTTCTCCCGGGACTGAATGCTGCCAACTGGCAGGTGTGTTATGAGACGCTATTTTCATCTTCCATGGTTTAGGGTTTAGGATGTGACTGGAAACATTCCGTGTGCTTGGGGAGGAGCTAGCCCAGTGATCCTTGTGGGAACTGTTATTCTACATCATGCCCCACTGGGCTTGGGAGTGAATAAAAACCAATGTTCAAGAATGCCATTTCCACATTCAGCTAGTTCATCTGTTTTCTTGTCCTCTTGCACCTAAATGTGGCCAAAAGATCTTCTAAAATAGAATGCAGTCAGCCTTGTATGAAATCAAATTAATTGCTTATTTTTATTTTACCAGAGAATATTTGGCCTGAGTATTATTAGCCTGCAAAGCTATTCTATTAATATTTATGAATAATAAAGAACAGAAATAGGGAAAGCCATTTGAGTTAAACATTAAAAAGAGAAAGCTATATAGTGTGTTCTACATTTGCAGTTCTGCGAGCTGTCAGGAAACTGAATTCTTCCGGTAAGGAGAGAAAGGCATCTATTTGTTGGATTTCTCCACCTCAGTGTTCACTTTTACCATGCCCAGTCAGATGTGTATGAAGTTCAAAACGTTCTAAGAAATGCCCTGCCCTAGCCAGGATCAAAGAGAAAGCTTTCAGAATGGAATATCAGCTGTGCAGCTCCCTTTGTTCATGTTTTCCGCTCCATGTTATTTTTTTTTACTATTAGCAGTGACTACGTTTCAGAAACAAAGCCGCCTGCTATCTAACACAAGTGAAGGAATAGGCTTTGTGTGTGTGCATGCAGGCATGTGTGTGTGTCTGTGTTGGAGAATATCGATCTATGTGTTTCCATGTAAGAGGTGTTATTTACATGTCTAACCTTCAATAGTGTTACTTTCTTTAGGCTATTACAAAATATTCAGCAGGCTGTAATTAACGTCTCTGGAGACTGCTAAACCCCAAACAGACGTGTCAGAGAGTGACGGCTCAGTCACCTCTTCATAGGAAGGGTCAGAAGTTGTGTCGTGAAGGCACTCATGCTGAGAGGCTTCTAGCTTAGCGGACAGAGCATTGGCCTGGGGTTAGGAGACCTTGTTGGGGGCTGCAATTCTTCTTCTTTTTGTTTTTTAATCTGGAAGATGAAAAGTTTGGATTAAGTCAGGAGGTCTGCAGTCTGGCTGCACATTAGACTCACTTGATTTTTTTTTTTTTAAATAGTAATGCAAAAGCCTTACTCCAGACCAATTAAATTAAACTTCTGGGGCTGAAACACAGATCTGGGTATGTTTTTTAAAGCTCCCGGTTGAGTCTCCGTGCCCTCTGAGGTCTCCACAGTGCGAACCCTACTTAGATTTGCTCCTGTCAAGTCAGGTGCCCATGGGGCCGGCTCTATCTCCTCAGCTGTCTGCCTTGCCCACCCGTTCCGTCTTTAATGGAAGGTTCCACGTGCATAAGACATTAGGACCGCAGCCCCAGCAGAATCTGCTGGAACGATCAATGTAATTAGCTGGACTACCCAACCTAAAGGGTGAAGAGATTGAGAGAGTGGAGTGAAGCAGCTATTGTTAAAGGAAATCTTCATGGTTCCTAAGAAAACTACGGGACGGCAGCAGCGAAGCCAGCTCTTTTCTCCCTTGGAACTCTGCACAGCAAGCTCATTTGCCAGTTTGCATGGGCTACGATTCCTCTTTTGCAGCGCAGCGCTGTGCTGCAGAGATAAACTAACTTAATCAACAGCAAGAGCTGCATTTTGATCTCGTAATCATGTCACATAATTTCCTTTTCCAGGGCAGTGCCACACTTCTCTCTTTGAGTCCTCTCATCTCTCAAAGCTTTTTATTTTTTCTCTGACTTCTTTTCAGCCCATCCATCCCCAAGTCATATCATCCGCAGACCTGCCCTACTGCTGCGTGTCCCCAACACCTTCTGCGAGAATCTTTGATTCTCGCCCCCTCTTTTGTGTGCTGCCCCACTTCTTCCTACCCCTCCGTTTCCCAGCCAATATTGCTGGGCCGCCAATGGCTGTGAGGATGTGACAATCTGAAACACAGGCATGAATAATGAATTGGGAGAGCCAGACTGAAGCCAGTGGAACTGAGAACAGTATTTCAGAAATGCAGCCAAATCATTTAGAGAGAGGCAATATTGAGTTCCTGCAATCCCTGGAAGACCCAGACACACTGTTAATTATGAAAACGCAGTTCTGACTACGTAAGAATCCGCCTTCTTCCAGAGGCCGACTAAAGCTTCCTCCCATGCTTTGGGGCTGAAACTTGGAGCTTGCCTGACCCCATTGCCCTGACCGGCTAGAGAGCCTGCTACCTCATTCCAGAGTTATCACTGCCACACCTCGGGGTCGGGGGTGGAGGCTCGATAGGGCTGGTTAGAGGGTCTGGAACTAGAAATTCCACATAGCAGCCAGATGAGGAAACAGGGAAGACGAGCAATCTAGAGCTTGAGGTTGCCAGAGGGGAAATAGGCCAGAGCTCTGGAAGCCAAGGAGGGCACTGTTGCTCTTCCCAGCTATTAGGAGTCAACCTAAGCACCGGCCCTGGGCTCAGAGCATTTCTTTTTTATTTTTATTTTTATTTTTTGGGGACAGTTGCCCTCACTATGTTGCCCAGGCTGGTCTCGAAATCCTGGACTCAAGCGATCCTCCTGCCTTGGCCATGCAAAGTGCTAGGATTACAGGCGTGAGCCACTGCGCCCAGCCTCAGATTATTTCTGATTCCAGACTGTTCCCATCTAGTCTGAGCCCTCCTTTGGACCTCCTTCAACAAGCAATACTTGGTGATTGGTCTGTGAAGCCCTTGGTTTAATCTGGGGACTTAACTGGAACTGGGATAGCACAAGAGGACTTCAGGACAATCATCTTGGCTTAGTATTCTTACTGCACCTCTGCATCCAGACACATCTTTGTAAAATGTAAACTTGGCTATCCCGCTCTCTTGCTGAAAACCTGTCAGCAGGTCCCTGTCAACTACAGAATAGAGGCTAAATTCCTAATCATGGCATTCAAGACCCACCATGACTTGGCCCAAACTTCCATCTCCAACCTCATGTCTCCCCGCTCCCTAACCTCACCTGACAATCCTGCAGCGCCAAATGCCTTGTCCTTTCTGCATGCTCTGCCTCCCTCCCTTGCATGCCTTTGCTCAGGCTACGTCCTTGGCAGCAATTTCTTCCCCAGTCATCTTGTCTGGTGTAATGAGCTCCTACTTAGCCTCCAAGAGTCAGGTTAGGAGTCCTCTTTTCCGGAAAGGTCTCCTGGTCCCTCGAACTAACCAAACTCTCCTCCCCTCATGTTCCCACCATGCCTACTCCCCACTGCACATTGAAAGCATCTGTTTGGAACCCTGGAATGGATACTCTGAGGCCAGACACCATGTCTTTTTCACCCTTTAAGGTGCCTGGCATCCGATACAATGCCTGGAATATAGTAGACACGGGTTTCTATTTGTCTAGAGAATCCTGGCTGGGGTAGGAGTATAGGATAATTCCAGTCTCATAGGCATGGATATGACCATAGTCCCAGCAATCTGAGCAATGGTCCCCTTCCCTGCTCCTTCACAATAGAGAGCTCCCCAGCACCCACCCCACAATTCTAATGTGCCACAGCTGTGATCTCATGGTATCAGTTGCTCCCAGTTCCAGACTCTTTTCATCTTTATTCTGCCTTGGCAGGCAGCGGAGACACGCCCTGATGACTCCTGCATTGCCAGTGGTGAGTTGAAGTTTCCAAGCCAAACCTGACTTCATTTTTGCTAAATAAGGGCAATGCTTGAGTCATGGAGGAACAGGTAGAGCAGGTTTGAATCTTTATCTGCGAATTCAAATGTGCAAAAATATGTATCTTGATTTTTTTTCATAGCTCAATTTAACTTCTATTTAACGTCCCATTTCTTTTCCTGGGGTGGCAGAGTCAGTTTTCATCCTCTCCCTTTTCCCTAGGGTGGCATCAGAGCCCCAGGGGGTTTGTGTGGTGCTGGGTGGGATGTATCTTGTCCTCATCCTCAGCATCGTTTGTTCACTCTGGTTCTAGCTGGGAGGCCCAGTCTTGTCAGATATCACTGTCCATCCAGGTGGCTCCTGAAGGGTGGCCTCATTCCCACCCGCTGTCTGCCATTCTACAGGGCCAAGAAGCCATGTGAAGGCCATGATAGGTCCTAGAGAATACTGTAGGCTGATTAAGGCCATGTTCCTCTATTCTCAGATCCCATAAACTTCTATGTGAAGGTTTTCTTTGTTGTTGTTTTTTTTTTTTTGTTTGTTTTTTTATGGAGTTTTGCTCCTGTTGCCCAGGCTGGAGATCTCAGCTCACTGCAACCTCCATTTCCCACGTTCAAACGATTCTCCTGCCTCAGCCTCCCAAGTAGCTGGGATTACAGGCATGCACCACCATGCCAGGCTAATTTTGTATTTTTAGTAGAGACAGGATTTCTCCATGTTGGTCAGGCTGGTCTCCAACTCTTGACCTCAGGTGATCCGCCCGCCTTGGCCTCCCAAAGTGCTGGGATTACAGGCGTAAGCCACCGCGCCCAGCCCTATGTGAAGGTTTTTAACTGGTTGGCTTGCTGTTTGCTTGGTTTGGTTGGTTTTGGCTCCAGCATCCCTAAAACTTGACATGGGACCCAGGGTTCATGGACCTCTTTCTCAGGGACCTACCACTATCTACACTCTCAACTCCCAGACCCAATTCATTCTCCTCCCAGTCTTAGGCAGCCTTTTCTAGCCTATATGTATGCAGGCGTGAAAGGCAGAACCTCTTCCTATTATTCATTTGATATTCTATGTATCTCTTGTCTCTGTCCTGTCTCCGTTTCCCTCAGAGCTTACCTTTGAAACTTAAAAGCCAGAAGAAGACTTTTTTCTCTCTCTGATCTTTGCCGTCACGTCCCTTCCCTGTGTCAATGATCACAGACTACAGTCTAGTCATTGGCTGGAGAGAAGGAGCAAAGTGTCAAAGGAAATTCACAAAGGAAAATACATTTAAGAAGATAAGCAGGCATTTCTCTAGTTTTACAAGGAATCAGGCACTGCTGTAAGGACTTTGCAGGCATTAAGTCATTAAATCACAGCAGCTCAATGGGGCATATATTGTTATTCCCATTTTACAGATGAGAAAACTGAGTAGGAACCAAGTGGGGGAGTTAGAACTTGAACTCAGGCATCTAGCTCCAGAATTTGCACACTTAACCACTAAAATGACGGCTTCTTATACATCATTGCCCCAACACACATGTTATTCCATTGTAGATTCTTCTTCCTTGAAGATGTATAGGAAAAGGAAAGTTTAAAAATATAATAGAGGCTTCTTATTCAATTCAAAGTGCTTTTGCTGGGATTTAACAAATTTTGGTTTTTATGAGAAATGTATCAGTCATTTGTGTGCCTGTTAAAGAAAGAAAAGTGTAGACATCTTTAAATACAATCTCCTACCACGAGCAACACCATTGCCTTCATCTGCTTGGAAGTATTTATTAAACCCTTCAGCAGTGGGGTAAGAATTAGAGGGCTTTACTTTGTTTTGTTTTGAGACAGAGTCTTGCTCTGTCACCTGGGCTGGAGTGCAGAGGCACCATCTCGGCTCACGCACTGCAACCTCTGCCTCTTGGATTCAAGTGATTCTTCTGTCTCTACCTCCCGACTAGGTGGGATCACAGGCATGCATCACCACGCCTGGCTAATTTTTGTATTTTTAGTAGAGACGTGGTTTCACCATATTGGCCAGGCTGGTCTTGAACTCCTGAACTCAAGTGATCCATCTGCCTCGGCCTCCAAAAGTGCTGGGATTACAGGCTTGAGTCACCATACCCAACCCTTTGAGGGTTCTGTCTAAGAACTATGATCCTTTTTAATGAAAAGATGTCCAAGAAACACTTGTGTGCTTCTAATTCCTCTAAAGCAATCATTGTTAACATTCTGTAGATCAAAGGATTTTTGCAATCTCTAAGTACCTTCCCAGAAAAAAAAAGATGCATAGATCCAAATGCATAAACAGTTTGTCATAAAATTTTAGGCAAATTACTGAGCTCTCTGCTCTGAATTCTTCTCAGAGAGAAAGTTACTTTACTGGTTCCTGTACCTTCAACAACTAGAAGAGAATAAACTCATTGAGATAGACCCATTCTCCTCCGACTCCAGCCCATGGATAATGTCTTTCTATAGTACCATAGGAGACAGCAAATCTTCCCCCACTTCTTTGTCCACCTCAGATTCTCTGCACATGCCTGGTGCTAACAGAAGACAGTTCTTTGTGTGTTGCTTGTCTGGGTACTTGTCTCAGAGAGCCAAGCACTGACTTTTTGCAGGAACTGATTAGAAGTGGCCACTCTGGTTCTAGACAATTTGGGGATTGCCCACATAACTCTACATGCCTCGTAGGAGCCAGGTAGGAAAGCACAGACACTCTTGTCCTCTAAGCCTCTTTATGTCTGCAAGGTAGACAAACCCATGACTGGGATTTCCCCTTTCAGGAGGAAATTATTTAACAGCTCAAGTTTTAAAATATCTTCTCAAAACAATTAATGGGTTTCCCTGCAACTGAAGAGTATCATGGAAGTGAAATTAACTCAGCTTCTCAATTCTCTAATCAGGCAGCAGAGAGATGTTTGGCCAAGGCCAAACATTATTCTTTTTTGAAGGAAGCACAGAGATGGTTCAGAATAAACTTTCCATAAGCAATTCAGAGAGCTTTGCAAGAAATCATTGTACCAGCAAGTGCAAACACTTGCATGATTATCATTTGCGATTAGTTGGATTTATGCCACCAAGCTGATTATTAAGAATGCACAGGCCAAACAAAGCAGATAAAGGCAATATCTTCTTTCATTTCTTTTTTTCCTTTCCTCTGGTGTTGGGTGGCATGGATTATCTTTTTTGCTCCTTCCTGTCAGCATTCTCTTCATAAGTTTCTTCGATGATTTTTTTTCTTGTGATCTATTCTTGCTATCAAGTTTTAGTATCTTAACTGTGTTCATCAATTCCTGTATTATACCCGTAGAAAAGGCCACCTGATTTCTTATGTTGATCTCTGAGCCTTTGTGGTTACACATCCATCAGTAACTATTCTGGACATGTTCCCTGTTATGAGCATATTTATAACTATATAAAGTACATGCATATAAAATCGTACAAGCACATTCCATATATTATAAAATTCCACTGAAATAAATTGTAAAATGATGAGATGAAATCATTGTAAATAGAGCTCAAATATTTTATTCCCTCTCTTAATAGACTGTCCACTCCACCTTGGGGTTTAGGAATCCTGCTTTGGAACATAGGGCTAGTGTTTCATCAAGAAAATAAACATCAGAGCAAAATACTCCAAAATATTTAAAACTGACTGTCACTGCCTTCATCATGACATGTCCCTTAACACCTGACATGTATATAGGTGAATTTGTAAAAGACTTAAAAAAAACTTACCTTATTATATCTTTAGTGTCAACTTTATAAACATGGATTATTCCTTTACTCAAAACTCTGTGAACTCTACCAAGTTTGTCTTCTGGTACCAATTTTATGACCAGCTTTGATGCAAAAGTATGAAATGTGTATGAGTGTGTGTGTGTGTGTGTGTGTGTGTGTGTGTCAAGTAAAGAAATACTTCAGGTTTATAGCATTTAAAGTAAAAATAATCTGATGAGTTTATGGAGTTTCAGAAATGTACCAGCTTCCTCACTGTGCCATGGTGTAACCGCTCGCATGTCATAATTGATTTCAGCATATGCCTCAGAGAGGCAAAAATTGAAGTGGCTGTGAGAAGTAATTAGAAACTGAAGTTCAGCTGTTAAGAATTTTCTGGGCTGCTGTTTCTTGACATAGTGCTGAAGAGATAGCCTCATCTGCTGTTCCACTGAAAACAACAAAAATAGATACCAGTTTCATTTACTTATTTTTAAATAAATACACCTCTTTCTAAAGCATTTATGAACATACAAAAGAAGAAAAATCATTGGAGAGTATGAGTTAGTTGGGTGTTGGATTGTTTGTTTTGAGACAGAGTCTCACTCTGTCACCCAGGCTGGAGTGCAGTCCTGAGTTGAAGTGATTCTCCTGCCTCAGCCTCCCGAGTAGCTGGGACTCCAAGTGTGTGCCACCATGCCTGGCTAATTTTTGTATTTTTAGTAGAGACAGAGTTTCACCATGTTGGCCAAGCTGGTCTTGAACTCCTGACCTCAAGTAATCTGCCCACATCTGCCTCCCAAAGGGCTGGAATTACAGGCATGAACCACTGTGCCTGGCCAGAGTATGAGTTAGTTAAAAGAACAAATACTTATACACAACTGAGCACTGAATCCACCTTTTGTACTGGGAAAATATTTTAAAATGTCATTTATTTGAGTTCTGGTTTTGACAACTGTGCAAAGTGTGAGAGACGTAAGAAAAATCCTTGAGTCCAACCAAAGAGGAGAGTCTGTAAGGAAAAACCCACGAGCAATCTATGAACATGTGACAAAGCTAAGAACCCACAGAAGGAACTGTTAAGAAGTACATCTTTTTTCAATCTTGGAGCTAGTCTCTCTTACCGAGAACTCGCAACCATAATCCAATTTCCATAGGAATTTTTTTAGCAGAAATACTTCAAACCTAGAATTGATTTTAAAGTTTCCCTTTGAAGGGAGTGCCCTTCTGGTGCCAGGTAGAAGTAAATGCACATTCTCTCTGAAGGAACTTACCTTCAAACATGGTTTCAAAAATTACTAAATGTAAAGCACCAAGGAACATGTAACTACAATCAAAATTATAACAAATATATAAACGCAAGGCATCATGAGTGAAAGATTATAAAATCAATATAAAAGATCTCAAAATAATGTTTGAAAACAAAAATACAGTAAATTCAATTTAAAACTCAATATTCAAATTACATAACAAATAAAGCTTAAGACTAGGTTAGTGAAATGGAAAATAGCTCTTCAGGAATTAACCAAAATGCAGCACAAAGAGAAAATTAAATTAAAAATTTTCAGAAGATATTAAGAATTTTATAGTATGGAGTGAGTTTAAGAATCACAGAATCACAATCAGAATTACAGAACATAATAGAAAGAATGGGGAAGTAGCAATATTCAATTTGAAAATGGCTAAGGATTTTCAGCCGGGCATGGTGGCTCATATCTTTAATCCCAGCACTTTGGGAGGCTGAAGTGCATGGATTAGTTTGAGCTCAGGTGTTTGAGACCTGCCAGGGCAATATGGCAAAATCCCATCTCTACAAAAAATACAAATACAAAAATTAGCCAGGTGAGGTAGTACATGCCTGTAGTCCCAGCTACTCAGGAGGCTGAGGAGGGAGAATCACTTGACCCTGGGAATTGGAGGTTGCAGTGAGTTGAGACCCTGTCTCAAAAAAAAAAAAAAAAAAAAAAAAAAAAACCAAGAATTTTCTGTTACTGTTGAAAGATTCCAATTATTATATTTAAAACACATTCAAAGAAGATTAAATCTTTAAGAATCTACAGCTATACACATCATAATCAAATTGCAGAAGGAAAATAATGAGAAGATTTATCTAAAAGCAGCGAGAAAGAAGTATCAGCTACAAAAGGGTAACAATTAGACTGGCAACTGACTTCTTTACAGCAACAATGGAAGTCAGAAGACAGTGGAACAATACTTTCACTAAGCTGAGGGGAAAAAAATGCTCAAAACCTAGAATTTTACACCAACAAATCTATTATTTGAAGGTAGAATAAAGACATTTTAAGATACATAAAAACTGATAGTGTTTATAATGTTTTCATCAAACAGACGGTTGCTATAAGAATTTCTAAATAAGCATTTTATACAGAAAGAAACAAATGTCAGATATAAGATCTGGGATGAAAGAAAAAATGGTGAGTAAAGAAATTCATAAAATTGTGGGGATACATAAGCACATTTTAATGTGGAAGACAATAGTATCTTCTTTCAGAGATAAACAAAAAATATAAACTACACAATGGCATGGAAGTAAGAAAGAGGTGATTGGAGTTAAACATTTATAGATTGAGTTGTTTGCGAGAATGCTAAATATATTGGTTAGTTTTATAAATCATTTGCATTCATATTAAAAACTGCAAGGGTAACGACTAATGGAATACAATGCACATATTCAACAATTCTACTTTAAGAACTTGCAAGAATAGCAACAAACCTGAAACATTATAAATGACTATTAATAGAAAAGTAGTTAACATATTTATGTTATAACAGTAGAATGGTATGCAGCCATTAAAGATGCAGTAGAGGCCGGGTGCGGTGGCTCATGCCTGTAATCCCAGCACTTTGGGAGGCCAAGGCAGGTGGATCACCTGAGGTCAGGAGTTTGAGACCAGCCTGCCCAACATGGCAAAACCCTGTCTCTACTAAAAATACAAAAAAATTAGCTGGGCATTGTGGCAGGTACCTGTAATCCCAGCTACTTTGGAGGCTGAGGCAGAAGAATCACTTGTACCTGGGAGGCAGATGTTGCAGTGAGCCGAGATTGCACCACTGCACTCCAGCCTGGGCATCAAGAGTGAGACTCTGTCTCAAAAAAATGAAAAAAAAAAAAAAAATGCAGTAGGTACATATGTATTTCTTTGAAAGAGTCTCCAAAATAAAAGCAAAGTTCAGAATGGTGCATATCATGTGCGACTAATTTTAGTGGAAAAAAATTAGTAGAAGGGATAAAAAAATTATATACGTACATAGATGCTTGTATTTTCATAGAATATCTCTTAAAGATACATAAGAAACTGACAACAGTAATTGTCTGTGGGTTGACTTTTGAATTTCCTAATGCATATATATTCAAAAGAAAGATTTCTTTTAGAAACTAATCAAATAAACAACAATAGCAAAAAGCAGGAGATAAACACACAGAAATCAACACCCAGAGAAAGATACACATGCACACATACAAATACACAAATATAAATTCATAAAGGAACCCATGACAAAACGTTCCATCTTTAAACGGTGTTCCTTTGTGGAAGAAAAGCAGTTAAAAGAAGCACTCTCACTTTTCCTCCTCTCATATATGATTACCAAGCTTTAATTCTTACATTTGTTGGAATGTCTAGTATAAACGTTACTCCTTCTCTCCTCTGCACCCTCTGTACATTTCTTGAGGGCCTGACTCAATTACATTATTTCCTTTCTCATTCTCATAAAACATATAGTATAAAGCTTTGAATGTCGGAAGGATTTCTAGGATCAATACAAAAAAAAAAAGCTTTGTATAACATATAGTAGGTGCTAAATAAATAATTAACATATATAAGTTACTATGCACCATATTTTATGGGTTTGAAATTGTTTAAGCTACTAATTTTATCTGAATCATATTGAGATTTTTATAACATGATATGCAATGGAATGCAATATGAGTTTTGTTTGGCTTTAAATTTGAAAGTTTACAGGTTTCTTGCACTTCTAGATTGCTTGCTAAATTTGGCACAACAGGGAAGCCTTACTTTAGGCATTTAGAAAAGCAAAAAAAATGATATAAAATGGTCTTATAAGCCACCATATTAACATGTTCTTAATGTCTTCATTCTGTGTGACCTAAAAGTGTGCATATGAAATGCATTGCATGATCATGTTTGTATATGTCACCTTCTTAAATTTTATCTGAAATCGGGATCTGTTGGGCTAAAGGCCAGATTTGAGTATTAGCTGGGGGTAGGTTCTTGGGCGTGGAACTAGGGGTAAAGCATTAATTCTAGATACCCAAACCAACACTTACTGGGGTTTTCAGGGATCTCTGAGTTGTACAGATTAGTTGCAGCTAGAGATGCTGAACTGCATCTTAGTGGTAGATGAAGTAAGTAGCTTTCTATGTACTGAAGTTATCTGGACAAAATCACTTTCTTATGCCTTCATTTGTATTCTAAACAGAAAGAAATAGCCATTGAAGATAAGCATGAGACGGTCCCCTTCTAAATATGTATGTTGGAATAATTGTTTCTTACTTTTGTTTTTCTTGCCACAAAAGCATTTCTGCAAATGAAAGCATAGGGAGGAATCTGAAATATAAAATAGATAAATGTGGAATGAGGTGGGGCATCTGAGAACCCCAATTTCCAATTTCTAGCTCTATGACCTCTTAATCAGCAGTGGTTCCCAAACTTTAGCTTGTGCAAGAATCACCTGGGATTCCATAAAAGATGCAAGTTACTGGGTCTAACCCCTGGAGAATCTGATTAGAAGGTCTGAGTGGAACCTGAGAGTCTAAATTTTAACATGCACCCCGGGGGTTTTGGAGACTGTGAGGCTGGCCAGGCATTCGTGCCTGTAATCCCAGGACTTTGGGAGACAAAGACAGGTGGATCATCTGAGGTCAGGAGTTCAAGACCAGCCTTACCAATATGGTGAAACCCCGTCTCTACTGAAAATACAAAAATTAGCTAGGTGTGGTGGTGTGCACCTGTAGTCCCAGCTTCTTAAGAGGCTGAGACAGGAGAAATGCTTGAACCTGGGAGATGGAGGTTGCAGTGAGCCAAGATCGCACCACTGTACCCCAGCCTGGGTGACAGAGCAAGACTCTATCTCAGAAAAAATAAAAAAGGCTGTGAGTCCCAAGGCCTGTATTGTCATCTCTGTGGTGGTCTCAGTAGAGCCCAAAGTGAAAACTGCCATGCAAGGGCATCCAAAGTTAGGCTGATTCTTTGAGTTAGCAATAAAGTGATGGAGGCCCAACAGTCTCAACCCACTTTACTTGACTTTCCAGTAATTTCCTATGCTCTCAAATCAGAGGACACAACTAGATTTTATCAGGCTGGGATAAAGAATTCTAAGAACCTGTTTATTTTAAAGCAGCATTAGTGATATGTACAGAGACTAAAATTCCATCTGACACTGATTTCCCAAATTATATCAACCGAAGGAAGTGGGGCACCTTCTAGGTCATGTGGCGCTGGTCAGGGCACCAGCTGAAACCCTAAAAATAGCTGAATCATGTCTGAGGCCCAATCAGAGAATTCCTTCCAGACATTTGTCTTCAATGGATTTCCATGAATGCACAGCTGCCCGGGGCCAAGCAAAACCGCCCCACAGTGATGAAACAAAGAGTCTTACATTTCAGAGACGCTGGTCATGGGTGCCCCAACATTTGACTTGCTATTTTCTTGTCCAAGAAATTGAACATTGGCAAAACCTCTAGGTCCCGAATAGGGAAGTTATGCAGGGTAGGAAATGCATTTGTTGGCGTCTTGGGTGTAGGAACGCATCACACTTGAGTGGGCACCCTATCTCTAAGATTAGACGCTGGAGATACCACAGAGCAGGAACCAATGTATCTGGTTTTGTTTGTCCAGATTCTATCACATTTTGTTTTGTTTTTATGGTGGTTGGTAATGCCAGGTAATTCCCTTAGGGCAGGAAAAACCTGGGGTTTTCAGAAGACATCATGAGGATACTTAAATATGTTGACAGAGGTCACAGCATGGTGGTTTTGTGAACATAACATCTAGAACTATGCATTGGCTTAAACAGCAACAACTAAACTATAGTATTGGTATTGGTATTTCTCTAGAATCTGAAATGTCAGAGAACTTGAGAACCCACTAAAAAGACATTATATAATGTATTAGTCAGGGTTCTCTAGAGGGACAGAACTAATGGAACATATGTATATATATACATATACATATATATACACATATACATATATATGTGTGTGTGTGTATATATATATATATATGTGTGTGTGTGTGTGTGTGTGTGTGTGTGTGTGTGTGGGAGCTTATTAAGTATTAACTCATAGAATCACAAGGTCCCACAATAGGCCATCTGCAAGCTGAGGAGCAAGGAGAGCCAGTCCAAGTTCCAAAACTGAAGAACCTGGAGTCCAGTGTTCCAGGGCAGGAAGCATCCAGTATGGGAGAAAGATGTAGGCTGGGAGGCAAGGCCCGTCTCTCTTTTCACATTTTTCTGCCTGCTTATATTCTAGCCAAGTTGGCAACTGATTAGATTGTGCCCACCAAGATTAAGGGTGGGTCTGCCTTTGCCAACCCACTGATTTAAATGTTCGTCTCCTTTGGTGACACCCTCACAGACACACCCAGGATCGATACTTTGTATCCTTCAATCCAATCAAGTTGACAATCAGTATTAACCGTCATATATAACTTGCTCTTTTTTATAAGGATTGTGGAAAATTTCTGTCTAAAATTTGCAAAGCCCTCCAACTTTGTGGGAAATAGCTGGATGGGAAAGATATGATTATCAAGTATTAACCTAATTTTTAAGTGAATAGGGTAGAATATTAAGATTAAAGTGAGCATTAATTTTCAAAATAGTCACCCTAGAAGGTTATGCCTATAGCTCAATGCAACTGCTATTTCTCAAAATATTTCTAGAGAATTATTTTTGAATTGCATTTAAAATTGAGTTAGGAGCCACCCCAGAAAAGCAGTCTTATTACAATATACTTTAACCTTTTTAAAGCTCATATATCTTTTTGAAATATTAAAGGAAAAAACAAGACCCTCAGCTACTCCCTATCCCAAACCTCATATCACTTATATCATATAAGAAGGCTTAGAATTTTTTTTTTTTTTTTTTTTTTTTTTTGAGACGGAATCTCACTCTGTCTCCCAGACTGGAGTGCAATGGTGTAATCTCGGCTCACTGCAACTTCCCCCTCCCTGATTCAAGCGATTCTCCTGCCTCAGCCTCCGGAGTAGCTGGGACTACAGGTGCCCGCCACCACGCCCGGCTAATTTTTTTTGTGTGTAATTTTAGTAGAGACGTGGCTTCACCGTGTTAGCCAGGATGGTCTGGTGCCCAGCCTTCAGACAGATTCTTAAGGACTTTTTATATTGCTATTCTGAAATGGACAATAGCTTTTGTATACTTAAAATCCAATAGATTAATTTTAAAAAATTAAATTAAATTTTAAAAATTAATTAAAAATTAACTTAAAAAATTAATCTTAATACTCATATCTATGAGTTACAGTTTTTAAACATAAAGCTTGTTCGGGCCCGGCGCAGTGGCTCACGCCTGTAATCCCAGCACTTTGGGAGGCTGAGGCGGGTGGATCAGCAGGTCAGGAGATTGAGACCATCCTAGCTAACACGGTGAAATCCCATCTCTACTAAAAATACAAAAAATTAGCCAGGCGTGGTGACAGGTGCCTGTAGTGTGAGCTACTCAGGAGGCTGAGGCAGGAGAATGGCATGAACCCGGGAGGTGGAGCTTGCAGTGAACTGAGATTGCGCCACTGCACTCCAGCCTGGGCGACAGAGCAAGACTCTGTCTCAAATAAATAAATAAATAAATATTGTTCTTGTGTTACATGTCATTGTAGATTAGAATCACATGTACTTGGCCAGGCATGGTGGCTTGTGTCTGTAATCCCAGCCCTTTGGGAGGCTGAAGTGGGCAGATCACCTGAGGTCAGGAGTTCGAGACCAACCTGGCCAACATGGTGAAACCCCGTCTCTAATAACAATACAAAAATTAGATGGGCGTGGTGACAGGTGCCTGTAGTCCCAGCTACTCTGGAGGCTGAGGCAGGAGAATCGCTTGAACCCGGGAGGCGGAGGTTGAAGTGAGCCCAGATCTTGCCGCTGCACTCCAGCCTGGGTGACAAGAGTGAGACTCTGTCTCAAAAAAATAAAAAAGAATCACCTGTACTTAGAGAGCAACATCTGATCCCAAGTTTAGTAGTGACACAGTGTATAAATCTGGGGACTTGAGAGACAGGCCATGGGAGGACATTTGTACTTAGAGAACATCAGTATATAAGCAAGTTGTTATACAAGTAAGTGTGTGTGTATGCAATCGCGCGCGCGTGTGTGTGTGTGTGTGTGTGTGTGTGTGTTTTGGGTTGGTGAGTGAGTCAGGCAAAGCATATATTGAAACTTACTTCAAAGACACTTTTGAAGGCTGACCACTATTATGTAAACAATGAAAAGAATTTGACTGATCAAAGAGAGAAGTTTGTAAATGACCTCTGCCATGCATGCATCTTGAATATTTGTTTTCACTTACACAAAGTCTGTATCCTGTCAAAGTCATGGTTAAAATATTTGAAGTTTGAACAGGCATGGGTAATTGTGGGAGATAACTTGTGGGGGATAATTTATGATAGGAAAATCATAAATTCACATGAGGAAGAGGAAACTACCTCATCTGTCCTATCCTAGGAAAGTCTGATGATGATGATGGTAATGATGACAGTGACGATAAAAATGATGTTGTTGGTGATATTGATGATAGTGGTAATGGTGATGATGGCTGTGGTAGTATTGATGATGATGGTGTTAATCATGTTTCTGCTGGCTATGGTTGTGGTTGTCAAATTGTTCCTTACAGGGGCTGATTCTTCAGATTTTTATAGCAACTTTGTCCCAGTTGGCTCCACTGAACCAAACAGGACTTCCTGAAGTTTCATATTATCTCAGAAGCAAAAACACAGAAAAAGAGTCATCTTTGTTTTAAAAGAGTGGAAGAAAATGTACCAAAGTGAGAGACCATCTATCTTATCAGAAATAGTATTTTTATTCCATAGCGAACCTGGGATCTGAGCCTTAATTCCCAGGCAGCTCTCCAGCCATACGAATTCACTGTGACATTCAGTGGTGTTCTGAAGCTTTGTTGTATTCTGGTAAAGGTTACAAAAATATCCATTTTGAAGTGCCAATGTGAGTTTCTCTAGAAATACAATTTTTAGCAGCATCAGGATTAATATGAACATTTCAGAAGTTAAACTGATTGTTTAAAAAAAAAAAAAAGAGTAAGCCAAGCATGATGGCTCATGCCTGTAATTGCAGCACTTTGGAAGGCACAGGTGGGTGAATTGCTTGAGTCCAGAAGTTTGAGAACAGCCTGGCCAACATGGGGAAACTCCATCTCTACAAAAAATACAAATATTAGCCAGGCATGATGGTGTGTGCCTGTAGTCCCAGCTACTCAGGATGTGAGGTGGGAGGATCTCTTGAGCCCGGGAGGTGCAGGTTGCAGTGAGCCACGATCGTGCTGCTGCATTCCAGCTTGAGTGATGGAGCGAGACCCTGCCTCAACAACAACAACAACAAAAAAAAAAAAAAAAAAGAGAGAGAGAGAGAAAAGAAAGAGTAAACAGCAAGATATTATACAATTCTGAGGAACTCGGGTTCAAATCTCATCTTCCCACTCTCATGCTTTATGAAATTAAACAAGTTAACCTCTCTGAGCCTCAGTTTCTTCATCTGTGAAATGAGAATAATCTATTTGCCACATGAGTTAGAGGGATTCAATCTGTCGCTTCTTGACAGCCACCTGGGTCAGAGCAAGTGTTCCCTCGGTGGCAATGACCTAATCTCTCCTCCTCCCACAAAGGCACAGTCATCATTCCTTTGTGCCAGTCTGTGAGCTGAACACTCCTAGAGATGCAAAAAAAAGTCGCAGACAGGTTATAGTCTTCCAAACACCTGCATAGATTTATGTGGGCCCCTTAAAGAGATAATGATTTGTAGCAATAGAATTTTAGCCAGCTGGGCATTTATTGTTTAAGTGTGTCAAGTAGCAGAGTGTTTTGAATGTCAATGATTAGCTTACTTCCACCCAGAGTTTAGACACTTACTTCATGTGTTTGTTTGGAGATCAAGGCCTGCGATACCAAAAAAGGAAATGGAACATAGTTCTCTCACGTGCTCAATCTAGAGAATTAGTTGGAGCTAGGGTCTGTCTAGTCTTTTTAAATGAGCTGTTGTATATACCTTTGCTTTTTAAAAAAGAAAAAGAGAAAGAAAAATCTACATAGCTACAACAGCAAGTGTTATTCAAATGAAATTAAGCATTTTTAAGCACTTTATGAACGGTATGGAACTCTACAAATGTCTGGCAAGCTTCCACCCACACATTTGATTACCTTTCTTATTTTAGTGTGGGTTATAATCAAAGGTTTTAGGATTGTAAGAACGTAAGTCCCCCACCTGCACTGCGGATGCTTGAGAGACAACAGGGTATGTGTGCCTGGGAGTGCACAGACTCCAGGGCCTATGGGAAGAGGTCAAAAGGGAGATGTGGCACTTATGGGCTGCCATTAGCTTAAAATGTTTGAAATAGTTTTGTTTTGTTTTGTTTTTGTTTGTTTGTTTGTTTGTCTGAGATGGAGATTCATTCTGTTGCCCAGGCTGAAATGCAGTGGTGTGATTTTGGCTCACTGCAACTTCCACCTCCCGGCTTCAAGTGATTTTCATGCCTCAGCCTCCAGAGTAGCTGGGACTATAGGTGCTCACCACCAAGCCTGGCTCATTTTTGTATTTTTAGTAGAGATGGGATTTCACCATGTTGGCAAGCCTGGTCTCGAATTCCTAACCTCGAGTGATCCACCCGCCTTAGCCTCTCAATGTGCTGGGATTACAGGCATAAGCCACCACGCTCAGCCTAGTATTTTATTTTTAAATGCTATTTTTTTCCAAGTAGGTACTGAATTTGTTTCTGATGTGCAATATCGTGCCTTTTATGGTAGAAAATTTACAAAAATGCGTTATGGAGAAGGGAAAACCTAAATGTAACCTCTGTGTCCCTGGTATTTCCGAACTGTGGCCTACAACTGAAATCATACTGTCTTTGCACTCCAAAGACATTAATGCATGAGCCTTCCCTGGTGTAGTTACTAGAATGTGGCCCACAGTGCATCCCCATCCATTGCCTTACAGCTGTTCTCAGGTTTCTCAAGGTGCTACAATATATGTTATCAGGGACAAGTTTGGGGGTTTGCTTAGTTTTCACTTCTTGGCCTGCAGCCTTTGCTGCCCCTTATAACAGTGCTGCTCTTTGAGGCCATGCATCTCTGTCATCACAAGCAACCCTTCCCAGCCTCCAGGAGGGATACAGTCTCTTCAACTTCCCTTAGTACATCGGTATGTAATCTATAGTACATCTTTGCTCAGGCTCGTAGTAGGATTTTACAGAAGCCTTGGTCATAAACTAACTTAATTCCCAACTGCTTTTAGAATTGGATGCCCTTAGAGTTTCAGGCTCAGACCCAACCTCTGCACCCTGGCCTAGTTTCCATAGATGTCCCCCAGTGCAAGGGCCCCCAGTGATCCCCAACACTTCAGAGCCCAAGCCCTGTTCAGTCTCCAAAAAAGGAAAAAGAGCCTGCTCTTCCTGCTCCAAAACCCCTGGACCAACTCCTCTCTTCCTTGGATTAATTGATCATTGTTCCTTCTCTTTTGATGCCCTTCTCCCAACCAGGTACAATCTGACCCTCAGAGCTCAAGCATGACAATCATAGCAGTCATGAGAACGTCCCAATGTCCGGTATATTTCATCTTTGATAACCACTCATATGGGCAATGGCAGCAGTGCAAGCTGCGTGAGCTTGGTCCAGCCATTTGCTCTCACATTCCTTCCTCCAGCCTGGAGGGAACAGATGTTCAGGGAAGCTTGTCCTTCCCAACTAAGCTGCTGATTGCTCCCAATTTTTCAAAAACTACTGTTTGTACAACAAAGTACACATACCTCTCACGAGCAAAAATAATAATCTGCAAAGATTTGGGGAAAACCTTTTTCTATCTCTGCAGACTCAGGGTGAAGCATCTGCCCTTGGTTTCCTTTCCTGTGTTCCAAGTTTCCCTAGAACAAGGGGCAGTTGTTTGCCTTATGATTTATCTTCCAAAAGGTCCTGCCAAACAGTCCCTCCTACCACAGGGGGACGCGCAACCCCCAAAATACTGTTTACATCTCCTAGTGTGGCAGTGTTTTACACATCAAAAGATATATTCCAGTGTCAATTGAGCGCCCTGTTATATTACATTAATGTTAAGATTTTAAGTAAATCTTTGTTCAACTTTTCAACTCAAACATACTATTCCAGAGTACAGCTCCTACCTTGTCTCAATCATATACACCTGCTGTGGCAGTTGTAGTAATGGATATTCCCCCATTTAAGACTACTTTACAGCCGGGCGCAGTGGCTCACGCCTGTAATCCCAGCTCTTTGGGAGGCTGAGGCAGGTGGGTCACCTGAGCTCAGGAGTTCAAGACCAGCCTGGACAACATGGTGAAACCCCATCTCTAGTAAACATACAAAATTAGCTGGGCATGGTGGTGCATGCCTGTAATGCCAGCTACTCAGAAGGCTGAGGCAGGAAAATCACTTGAACCCAGGAGTTGGAGGTTGCAGCGAGCCGAGACTGCGCCATTGCACTCCAGCTTGGACAACAAGAGTGAAACTCCATCTCAAGAAAAAAAAAAAAAAGATTATCTTACAGCACTATAGGGTGGGCGGCCATCCTGGGAGTTGGGCAAGGGGAACGTGGAAAGATTTACAAAGCATTAATATTCTTAAGGAAGATAATCTATTGGTTGATTTGCTAATGCCAGCAAGCCCATTCCTCCTCCCTCACCTCCCCGTGACTAAGAGCAACAAACAACAACTGTCTTTCCTTCCTTTATTGGCATAATTCTACATGAGCAATTGTATTAGCTGTTTAGCTAATGTGGTTGGCGTAACAAATAAAGCCTATTAAAACAAAAAACAATATCGTAGATCACTTGCAAGTGTAGATTGGCTTAATTGTTGTTTTCAGCAATCCCAGATTGACAAAGGGGGTTATAATTTAAGTTGTGCTGATGGCTTTTGTATTAGACAAAAGCTAGTGTTGATTTTAGTAGTTATTATTCTCCCCTGCAGTTTAAATTGCTTTTTTTACTAGGAGCAAAAGAGCAGTAGGAGAAAAACAATTCTAACCTTACATAAATGCAGTTCTACAAATAGATTATTTTCGCAGATTCTGGAACCACTGAGGGAGGCATAGTCACAGATCTAAGGAATTCTAGAATTCTGGAGATGTGGCCATAAATATAACAATCTAGTTTCCTTATTTGGTGCTTTTTAAACTGTCATACCCGTGCCCTGATTATGCAAAGAGGTACCGGGGACAAGAAACTATAAGATAAGATCCCCCAGAGTGACACTGGTACAGAACCTAACACAAGGTAAGGCCCTTGGGAAATATTTGTTGAATTAATGAACCCCCTAGCTAATCAGTTTTACTGGATGTTAAGTAATTTAAAATTTTTTTTTCCTATTAAAACAAACCTGCACAAAGAGTGAGCCTTAGTGTATCCAGATTTTTAAAAATCAGGAGGTGGAGGAACTCCAAGATGGAATGCAGAAAGTAACAAAACAAATTTCACTGTATTGCAATCTCACTGTATTGTGATTTAACCATATTATGATCTAACTGTACTGTATGAAACAACCTCAGTGAAGGATGTTGGGGGAAAGGTGCCGGCCTTAGTAACTTTGGAAATGAGTGGAGTCTGTGAGACTAAAGGCAAAAGAAGCTGCACCTAAGCATTGCACTCTGGTTGATAAAGTAGTTACCTGTGGGGTATGAGTTAATAATTCAGATACTGCTGTACATGTATTCTGGAAATGAACAATTTAAGTAAATGAATGACAGATGGTGGGAGTTAGATTTATCATTGCTGAATGAGAGTTTAGCAAAGAGAGAAGGCTAGAAGAATCCATGTGTTAATGCAGGGGTTCCCAAGTCCTGGATCACAAAGTCTCTTGGCCTGTTAGGAACCAGGCTGCACATCAGAAGGCCAGCAGCAGGTGAGCAGGCAAGGCTTGATCTGTACAGCCACACCCCATCTCTCGCATTACTGCCTGAGCTCCACCTCCTGTCAGATCAGCCGTAGCATTAGATTCTCATAGGAGCATGAAGCCTGTTGTGAACTGCACATGCAAGGGGTCTAGGATGCGCACTCCTTTTGAGACTCTAATGCCTGGGCCACGTGCGGCGGCTCACACCTGTAATCCCAGCACTATGGGAGGCCGGGGCGAGTGGATCACCTGAGGTCAGGAGTTTGAGACCAGCCTGGCCAACATGGTGAAAACCTGTCTTTTATAAAAATACAAAAATTAGCCAGGCATGGTGGCGGGTGCCTGTAATCTCAGCTACTCGGGAGGCTAAGGCAGAAGAATCACTTGAACCTGGGAGGCGGAGATTGCAGTGAGCCAAGGACGCACCAGTGCACTCCAGCCTGGGCAACAGAGTGAGACTCTCTCTTAAAAAAAAAAAAAAAAAAAAGCCTGATGATCTGTCACTGTTTCCCGTCACCCCTAGATGGGACCATCTAGTTGCAAGAAAACAAGCTCAGGGTTCCCACTGATTCTACATTACAGTGAGTTGTATGATTACTTCATAATGTAATAATAATAGAAATAAAGTGCTCAATAGATGTAATGTGCTTGAATCATCCTGAAAGCATCCCCGCATCCTCCCACCCCGTTCGTGGAAAAACTGTCTTCCATGAAACCGATCCCTGGTGCCAAAAAAGTTGGGGACAGCTGTTTTAATGGATTTCATTTGGAAACATTGTATGAAGATTAATTTAATATAGATACAAATGTATATGTACGGATGGAAATATTTTTAGATATGTTTCCTTGCTCCATCAGCTAAGAAGGACTAGAAGAAACAATTATCACACATACCTAGCAAGTGGATATTGGTTTCTAATGCCATTCACCAGTAAAAAAACACACAGGACTACTTGGAGAAATTGACTGATTCTAGGACTGAGGCTAGAAATACTCAAGATCAGCCTGGAGTTTCTTATAGTGCCAGAAAGTAAGAAAGTGCTTGAAAAAAAAGAACCACAGAGTCCCACAATAATAGGAGTATGTCAAAGACATGAAGGAGCCAACTGAAGGAGCTCTTAATGGCCAAAACTCGAAAAATTGGAGCAATGAAATAAAGTAAAGCAGAATTGGATTATAACCTAAAGTATAAAATAAGTATTCATAAGTCTATGCCAATAGAAATGATTGAATAAATAAATGAGGAAAAGGGGCAAATTTCCTGTGCAGAGAAATTCCAGCTGATTTATGTACTCCTCTCTCAAGTTGGAGTATAACACCTAACTTCTTAAGTGTCGGTTGGACTTAGTGACTTCCTTCAAAACTATACAGTATGAAAGGGGAAGGAAAAGGTAACTTTACCTGGAAAAAGCTGACACATGCTACCTCAGCCAGGAGATCAAGTTCAACATCAACAGTGATAAGTCATATTGATGGTATGTACATTTATTTATGTATTTATTTGTTTGTTTGTTTTTGGTAAGAGACAGGGTCTCACTCTATTGTCCAGGCTGGAGTTCAGCGGCAGAATCATAGCTCACTGCATTCTCAACCTCCCGGGCTCAAGCGATCCTCCCACCCCAGCCTCCCCAGTAGCTGGGACTACAGGTGTGCCACCACTCCCAGCTAATTTATCTAAAAATTGTTTGTAGAGATAAGGTTTCACTATATTTCTCAGGCTGGCATACTCTTGATATGATGTGCTGAGAGATGTACTTCGTCTGACCTCTTCCTCCTAAAAACCCACAACCCCAGTCTAACCATGAAAAAAATAGCAGTCAAATCCCAACTGAGAGACATCGTACAAAATACCTCACCATTCTTCAAAGTTATCCAAAATAAGGAAAGTCTGAGTATCTGTTACAGCCATAAGGAGGAGTATTTGAAAACTTGGCTGTTAAATATAATGTGATATCGTGGCCAGGTGCGGTGGCTCATGCCTGTAATCCCAGTACTTTGGGAGGCTGAGGCAGGAGGGTCACTTGAGCCCAGGAGTTCAAGACCAGCCTGGCCAACATAGTGAGACTCCTGTCTCTCTCTCTCTCTCTCTCTCCATATACATATGTATACACACACATATATACACACTCATCTATACAATATATTATAAAATATAACAATATACTATATGTATATAATATTCATATATGTATATATGATATAAAAATTGTATATGGTATATGTGTATTATATATGTTATATTTAGTATTACTATACATATATGTATACACTATATATATGTATAATGTGGTATCCTGAACCAGAAGAAGAATATTAGGTAAAAATAAAGGAAATCTGAATAAACTATAAACTTTAGTTAATATTATATCAATATTGATACATTAATTATAACAAACATATTATACTAATGTAAGATGCTAATAATAGGGTGACCTGAGTACAGGGTATATGGCAACTTTCTACCCTATCCTTGTGATTTTTCTATAAATCTAAAACTATTATAAAATAAAAAGTGTTTAAAGCTGGGCACAGTGCCTCACACCTGTAATCTCAACACTATGGGAGGCCGAGGCAGGAGGATCACTTGAGCCCAGGAATTTGAGACCAGCCTGGGCAATGTGGCAAAACCCCATCTCTATTCTTAAAAAAAAAAAAAAAAAAAAAAAAAAAAAAAAAAGTGTTTGAATCTCTAGATAGGGCATGGGTAAATGCTAAATATATATGAATCTTTAAAGATAATAGGATGAAGGCAAGCTGGGTGAGAACTGCCCCAGAATGTTAGGATATGCCTTGACTCTTCAGTGGTGGCAACGTTTATGGTTCATAGAACAGCTTCTTAAACTTTGGACTTTGCCTGAGCTAACTCCAAGGAAACTTCAAGGATTTATGATCCTTTTGTTGTTTAAGGCGTGGAATAAAGCGAAAGACTTGGAGTTCTGTAATGATTAACCAAGATGTTTACATTATCCAGGTTTAGAAAGAACTTCATGTATAAAGAATTAAATCAATCACTTAACAGTAAGACTTACTAAAATATTTTGTTTTTATAATTCATGAAAGTGATAAGTAAAGCTACTTTATTCTAGCAGTATTTTCTTGCTCACTTTTAAAGTCCTTTGGAAGTTTATAATGACTGCATATATTTATTCAAATAATTCACTCAACCTCATTTCCCTCTTTTCACTTTTCTTTGCAAATCTAATATCCCAGGTAATTCTTGGGGATGAAAAATCTTATCCATTTAGTTTATATTTAATATAGATACTTAAAAGCCTTTTAAAATGTATTATACTTACTTTTCTTTATATAAGGCCCATCGTAGCTATTGTGTTATAACTTGTGTTTTAATCCTAAGTAAATCATACTTAGTTTTGAAAAAAAGTCTCATCAGACTAAATACATGTTCTATTTTGTTTAATAACATTATAGACATTATAAGTGAACTTTTTTCTCTCCTTCCTTCCTCCCTCCCTCCCTTCTCCGATCCTGCCTCTCTTCCTTCCTATTAAAATGCTTATTGAGCATCTGCTTTGGTTGGGATTTAGGAAAATCAATATAAATAACATATGGTTGGTATCAAGGAGCTCACAGTCTAGCACAAGAAGCAGATGAATGGGCAGATAATTACACCTCATATTATGATGAGGTTTAGGCTAGAGAAGTGCCAAGATAGGCATGATGAAACACAGGACAGAAAGCTGTTACTCAGACAAGGAGTCCTTTCTGTCCAGTCCCCTCCCCTCACAGAAAATGTGGCTGTCACTTTCAAGAGGTTGCCTCTTCTGCCCTGAGGTGCATCTGAAATGTGATCACTTCAATCAATTTCCAAATGCATCATATGTAATGGAATCAACCTTCTTTCTTACTATGTTCCAACTTCTCTTTGCAACATCTTCTACGAGTAAAAACTAAGATGTTTTGACAAATCCTTGTGAGGGTAATGAAATTCTTTCTGTTCTCCAGGTCCTTTCCACATTAAATACATAAAGCAAAGTGGTTTAGAAAACTGATCAGGTTTGATGGCGTCATGTACTATTTAGCTAAATATTTGAATAGAAAGCCCGATTCTTTTAAAGGTTTAGAAAGCTAATGAAATAATTTTGAATATTTCTATAAAACTGTCTTCTCTGATAATATTTTGGCTTTTTAAAGTTGTTGGTGATTAGGGACGCCTGGTTTTCACAACAATCCAAAGTGATAAATAGCTATCAAGCCATAATCTGTTAGTGCTGGTCTCAATGACTGTCTCAGAAAAAGAATGTCCCCATTGTAATGTTGCAAGGGGCAAAGTGGACGCATTTCAGAGGGTCTTAGTGTCACATTTACTTCAAAATGTGCTGAATATCATGGTCTCGTGTTATATTACTGTGTAAGGCAGTGCCTGCATCAATACACAAAACCTTATTATGTAGAATAGATAAGCACTACCAACAAATACTAACGCTGACATATGAGCTGTTAAACTGTCTCTCAGCTCAGTCTTCCAGCCATCAAACTCTGCAGTAGACTTTCTAAGGATTTCATGTAGAAAATGTTTTATTAAAATTCTTATTTATTACTTAATTCAGGACAGAGATAGTTTTAATTTGTGAACATTGGAAGAAAAAAATATGTTATTTATGTGTAAATTAGAAATACCCCACCATGCTTTATTGAGTGTTTAAATCGTATCCTGCAGAGAGTCTGCTAATGCTGAATCTTAGTGGAAGATATTTATGCAAGTGCCAGGCCGACATCTGAACTCTCCTTTTGTGAGAGCCAACCATTTCTGAAAAGAAAGAGACTACTGCTTACACAAAGCACTTAGTATATTACCTGGCTTGAATAAACTGTGGGTGAAAGTCTGGGTGCAGTTTTGGTTTGTCAACAATAGTTTCACTAAATAAGGAAAGTCCTCAAGGCAGTTCTTTGATTCAACAGCACACTGGCAGATCATGCCTCAAATCAAATGTAGATAAGGAGAGCTCTGCGGAGGAGCTGTAACTGGCACCACCCAGGGTGAGCGCACCCTCCCCGGCATGTGGAGGAAAAACCTGATGCTGTTTCATACTGAGTAAGGTGCTGTTACCAGAAGAAGAAACAGACAGGATTTGGGGCTTCACCGAGGTCCGTGATTCAATAGAAGACACTTCGTCAGTTACAGGGCTGGGCTTCATTCATCTCCCAGAACACTGTTCTGCAGAAGTGTGGTGGGTAGTAGGCTGAGGCAGGAATTACCTCCCGGGAAAGGCTATCCAGAACGCATGGCCAAGTGGCTGCCCAGGTCTCCAGAGCATTTGCTATTCTTCTTCCTTAACTTACCTCCTTTTCTCTTTTCTCCCCTTCAGTTTGTTGGGAGTAACCATTACTCATCCTTTATGATTCTAATCAGACACCACCTGTGCCAGGAAATATTTCTTGTGACCAGCCTGGCCAACATGGCGAAACCCTGTCTCTACTAAAAAATACAAAAATATTGCCAGGCGCGGTGGTTCAGGCCTGTAATCCCAGAACTTTGGGAGGCTGAGGCGGGTGGATCACTTGAAGTCAGGAGTTCGAGACCATCCTGACCAACATGGTGAAACTCCGTCTCTATTAAAAATACAAAAATTAGCTGGGCGTGGTGCCAGGCGCCTGTAATCCCAGCTACTTGGGAGACTGAGGCAGAAGAATTGCTTGAACCTGGGAGGCGGAGATTGCAGTGTGCTGAGATTGTGCCATTGCACTCCAGCCTGGTCGACAGAGCAAGACTCGGTCACAAAAAAAAAAAAAAAAAAAAAAACCTGGGCGTGATGACGCATGCCTGTAATCCCAGCTATTTGGGAGGCTGAGGCAGGAAACCTGCTTGAGCTTGAACCCTGGAGGTTGAGGCTGCAGTGAGTTGAGATTGTGCCACCGTACTCCAGCCTGGGTGACAGATGTGCCAGGATAACTTAGTTGCCCCCATGGTCCCACCACACGCTGTAGCAGTTACCACCTGCAGGGTGGGTGGGCGCCCCTTGAATTCTCTTTATGATGTTATTACTCCAGCAGTGCATGGCGATCGCAGTCACTACTTGAACATTTGTCCAGACAAAAACTTTAAAGAGAAGCGAGAATGTGATAATGAAGGGTGATGGGGAATTGGTCGGGAGGAGAATGATTTGCAAGACAGAATGCAGCCTGCTCTGAAATCACCAGTGTGGATTTCAGCACAAGAGGAAAAAGATGAAGGCAAATGTAGTCACTCCCAGACTGGAAGAGAAGAGGAACAGAGTGAGGACAGGAACAACTCTTCCTCTTGGAAGCAAAAGAGGAGTTATGACAAAATAAATCTCAACAGGGAGAAGGCTGGAGTGCCGGAAATATGTGTGCATGTGTACATATGTGTGGATACATGTGTATATAGACAGCATATACATGACACTGAAAGTGTAAACAATTGTGCCAGCCATTCTTGGCATGTTTCCCTTTGCTTTCGAGAGGAATTTTCTGGGTATGCCATGACTGGCGTTAATTCAAATGAGATAATCCCAGCAGAAATACTTACCAGGTCACTCCAAAACCCAGATAACATTCCAAGTTTTAAGGTAATTATTTCTGTCCTTCTCTCAGAGGTGATTAGGCCACACTACTACTTCCCAACCTTATCAAAAAAGAGATCCACGAGAAGTCTGTTACTCATGATACTGGCACTGTTAATAGATTCAGAAGGATCCTACTCAAGAAGCTATAAGGATGACTAATTTTTGTTCAAATATGATAAACTGGGTCACAGAGTTCTAGCAAGACTGCCTGGTATCTCTAATCGGGGCCAAGCGTGGTGGATCATGCCTGTAATCCCAGCTCTTTGGGAGTCTGAGGTGGGAGGATTGCTTGAGCCCAGGAGTTCTAGACCAGCCTGTGCAACATAGTGAGACACTGCCTCTATTAAAAAAATAAAAAGAATAAAAAATAAAATCTTCTAAATCTAATATTAGGGAAACCAACGTAAAGATAGCTATGTAAGAATGTGGCTCCTGATTAAAAAGAACATTACCTAGTCAAATTACTTGTGAGTTATTACTGTCACAATTTTCCCTATCATAGGTCAGAAGTCAGGAAACTTACTCTAGAAAGGGCCAGACAGTAAATATTTTCAGCTTTGCACACCGCACTGTCTCTGTCACCATGACTTAACTGTGCCATTGTCGTGTGAAAGCAGCCACAGGTAATACACAAACAAATTTGTATGGCTGTGTTTCAATAAAATTGTGGGAGTATAAGAAAGGGTTTCTAGCTCTTTGGGGTTTTTTAGTATCCTGTCTGCATTTTAGGCTGCAATAACATATACAGGGTAAAGGATTTTGATCTAGGTAGGATCAGGATTTGAATGCTTGCTCTGCCCCTAATTAGCTTTGTGACACTGGGTGATGTCATTTAACTTTCTATGCCTTGATTTCCTTATCAATAATATAGGTTAACACTGGTAGTTATGTCATTGGGTTGTTGTGGGAATTAAATACAATAGGTGTCAAGCACAGAGCATGGTAACTGCTTAATAATGTCATCTGTGGGCAGGCACGTTCGCTGACACTCATAATCCCAGCATTGTGGGAGGCTAAGGAGGGAGAATTGCTAGAGGCCAGGAGTTCCAGATCAGCCTAGGCAGGATAGCAAGACCCCCATATCTACAAAAAGTAAAAAAATTAGCCAGGCTTGGTTGCATGCGACTGTGGCCCCAGCTACTCAGGAGGCTCAGGTGGGAGGACTGCTTGAGCCCAGGAGTTTGAGGCTGTGGTGAGCTATGATTGCAGCACTGCACTGTAGCCTGAGTAACAGAACAAACCCTATAAAAATAATTAAATAGCCGGGTACAGTGGCTCATGTCTGTAATCCCAGCATTTTGGGAGGCCGAGGCGAGCGAATCACTTGAAGCCAGGAGTTCGAGACCAACCTGGGCAACATGGTGAAACCGTGTCTCTACTAAAAATACAAAAATTAGCTGGGTGTCGTGGTACGTACCTGTAATTCCAGCTGCTTGAGAGGCTGAGGCATGAGAATTGCTTGAACCCAGGAGGAAGAGCTTGCACGGAGCCTAGATCGCACCACTGTACTCCAGCCTGGGCGACAGAGCAAGATTCCGTCTCAAAAAAAAAAAATAAAATAAAATAAAATAAATAAATGTTATCTGTGACATGCATTTACAATGTCCTCAAAAATGCCACATTCATCACCAAGAAAGCCAAGCACTGCCTCACCTGCCTGTGAACTCAGCAATTTTAAATTCTACAGAGTGATTCCCAACCATTATAAATGTTGGCTGCCTATAAGTTCTATACACGGACTAGCTCCTTCAGGGGCTCACCTAATGATTACTTTTAAGGTTAAAAATTAAGGTAACCAGGCCGGGCAAGGTGGCTCACGCTTATAATCCCAGTACTTTGGGAGGCCAAGGCGGGTGGATCATTTGAGGTCAGGAGTGTGAGACCAGCCTGGCCAACATGCTGAAACCCCATGTCTACTAAAAATACAAAAATTAGCCGGCTGTGGTGGCAGGCACCTGTAATCCCAGCTACTTGGGAGGCTGAGGCAGGAGAATTGCTTGAACCCGGGAGGTAGAGGTTGCAGTGAGCCAAGATCGTGCCACTGTATTCCAGCCTGGGCAATAGAGTGAGACTCCAACTCAAAAAAAAAAAAAAAAAAAAAATTATCATAAATGCCTTTAAGCAGTCCTGCATAGCAAAAAGACATGAGACCTTTTTACATTTTTAAAATTAATGTAATGGTGTCATTTAATTGCACTTGCTCACAATTTCGTGTTCTCTTCCAGGGAACAAGGCTCTTTTGTCTTTGATTTTCCAATCAAACCAGAACAATTTGCATTCTGGTTTGCCTCTTCTCCAAAGAATCACAACTCCTCGCCAGCAAGGGAGAAAAACTGGGCAGAGAATGAATTTAATGAGTTGACAGAAGTAGGCTTCAGAAAGTGGGTAATAACAAACTACTTCGAGCTAAAGGAGCATGTTCTAACCCAATGCAAGGAAGCTAAGAACCTTGACAAAAGGTTAGAGAAATTGCTAACTAGAATAACCAGTTTAGAGAAGAACATAAATGACCTGATGGAGCTGAAAAACACAGCACGAGAGAGAGCTGGTGAGGCATACCCATGTATCAATAGCCAAATCGATCAAGCAGAAGAAAGGATATCAAAGATTGAAGATCAACGTAATGGAATAAAGCATGAATACAAGATTAGAGAAAAAAGAATGAAAAGGAATGAACAAAGCCTCCAAGAAATATGGGACTCTGTGAAAAGACCAAACCTACGTTTGATTGGTGTACCTGAAAGTGACGGGGAGAATGGAACCAAGTTGGAAAACACTCTTCAGGATATTATCCAGGAGAACTTCCCCAACGTAGCAAGACAGGCCAGCATTCAAATTCAGGAAATACAGAGAACACCACAAAGATACTCCTCGAGAAGAGCAACCCCAATACAGCAAGCGCTTAGTAAACGTCTTCTGAAGGAATACTCGTAACCGGATAGAATGGAGACGAGGAACCAATTTAAAATAAAAGTACCTGCCTGTGATTCCCAGCGTGTTTCCCAAGGCCATGGTTTCCCATTCTATATCCAGACCCTTCCAGGGACAGGACTATTCTCAGAGCAAAGAGTCATTTTCTCTAGCTTCTTTGCAGTGATGAATAAAAGCCACTGTGGAACTCATTCTATTCTCTCAGTAGTGAAGAAATGTCACTAGAAATGTAAGACATGTAACTGGCTAGATTTTTCTATAAACCCGACTAAAATTTTCTCTCATGCCCCTATTCAGTGGAAGAGATTTAAACCCAGCCAATTCCAGTTTTCTTCTTTCTTGCTTGCTCTGTCATTGTGTCTATAGCATTGTGGGAGCTGGGGTTCATCTAGTCCCTGGCTATTACATCTCCAAGCCACATCCCTGAGAGACGCATCATCTGGCCTGGCCCTGGTCACCAGGTGCACAGTCCATGTGTGCTGTGCTCCATTGCCATCTGGGCAATTCTCTCTGATGCATTGCCCTTTCTGCTCTGTCCCTCCTCCCCCCAGGCACCCAGAATCGACTCTGTCCTCTATGTTCCACCATCTTCCCTTCCATGGAGCATTAGGCATGGCTGTCTTAGGTGATTTAGAACATCCTAAATATGCAAACGAAACTCGTTAATATTCCAAAATTATTCTGCTGCATAGATTATTCAAATTTAGATCAACTGGCCTGGCGCTGTGGCCCATGCCTGTAATCCCAGCACTTTGGGAGGCTGAGGTGGGTGGATCACTTGAGGTCAGGAGTTCAAGACCAGCCTGGGCAACATGGCAAAACCCCTTCTCTACCAAAAATACAAAAATCAGCTGGTTATGGTGGTGCATGCCTGGAATCTCAGATACTCAGGAGGCTGAGGCAGGAGAATAGCTTGAATGCAGGAGGCAGAAGTTGCAGTAAACTGAGATCACGCCACCACATTCCAGCCTGGGTGACGGAGCGAAACTCCATCTCAAAAAATACACATAATTAGTTAATTAAGATTAACTGGACAAGGGGAATGTACACCTGTGTACAAGCAGCCTATGCGACTGCCAGACACCATTTTGGGCCAAAGGGTAAAAGACATTGGGAAATAGATTGGGCTTGCCATATAAAACAAACAAACAAATAACCAAAACAAAAGAACTTGAAGCAATTAAAGCTATCCAAAAATAAAAGTCGCTGCCTCTTTAGCTAGTGGTTTACTGGGCAGAAAATATTCAGCTGCAGTTCAATGCTTGCTTAGGCAGATGTTAGAGAAGAAACTTATGGGTAAGGGTTGGAATAAATTGTCTTTAATACTTTCTAAAATATAGAAGTTCTGCGATTTCTTAGGAAGGGTGTGTGTGTATACAGAGGGAAAGAGAAAGATGAATTGGCTCACACAAACATGGAGGCTTAGTAAACTCAAAATCTTCAGAGGAGGCTAGCAGGCTGGAGACGCAGGGAAGAATTGCTGCTGAAGTTCAAAGGCAGAACTCCCATCTTGACTTGGGAGAGGTCAGTCTCTTATTCCATTCTGGCCTTTAACTGACTGGATGAGCCCTACCCACATTACAGAGGGTAATCTGCTATATTCAAAGTCCAACAATTTAAATGTTGATCTAGGCCAGGCGCGGTGGCTTACGCCTGTAATCCCAGCACTTTGCGAGCCCAAGGTGGGTGGATCCCTTGAGGTCAGGAGTTTGAGACCAGCCTGGCCAACGTGATGAAACCCCACCTCTACTAAAAATACAAAAAATTAGCTGAGCATGGTGGCGGGCGCCTGTAGTCCCAGCTACTTGGGAGGCTGAGGCAGGAGAATGGCGTGAACCCAGGAGGCGAAGCTTGCAGTGAGCTGAGATCTTGCCACTGCACTCCAGCCTGGGTGACAGAGCAAGTCGCCATCTCAAAAAAAAAAAAAAAAAAAAAATCAGCCAGGTGTGCTGGCGAGCACCTATAATCCCAGCTACTTGGGAGGCTGAGGCAGGAGAATTGCTTGAACCTGGGAGGCGGAGGTTGCAGTGAGCAGAGATCACACCACTTTACTTCAGCCTGGGCGACAGAAGGAGACTCTGTCTCAAAAAGAAAAAAAAAATGTTGATCTTATCCAGAAAAACACTTCACAGAAGAAACATCCAGGATGACGTTTGACCAGATATCCAGGTGCCCCACAGTCCAGCCAAACTGACGCATAAAATTAACCATCACTCTGTGGTTCGCCACCATAACTCATTCCAGTTCCTACTTAGTTTTCCATGTCCTATCCACCCAGTAACGTTCAATAAGTCTGATCAAGAAAACAGCTTTTGAGATTCTGAGATAAAAGGTGCTGTATCATTACCCAGGCTTTCTGCTTCCTTCTTCTCCACTCTCCCCGCTCCCATTTTCTTTCCTTCTTTTTTTCCCTCCACCTCCCCTTTTGCTGGGCAGAGAAAGAGGTTAGAGAAGGAAAGATAAGTTTCAACAGCAATAGGTTTGCAGCAGTGATATGGTAGCATGTTGCAACACTATTATGCCTGAGGCAAGTGTATCTAAAAGACAAGCTTTCTTAGATGCATGTTAACTATATAATAAATCAGCACTTCTGGATCTTAGAACTTTGATGTCTTTATAGAGATTTCTCTTCTCCCTTCTCAGGTAGGTAATTTTAAAAGTGAAGCCAAGTCTGATGTATTAAAGTTTGGCTCCCAATTTCCTATAGGTAAAGTTTAAAAACCTTTTACATATGATTACTTACATCATTGCTTTATTGCAAAAGGGACTACTAGATCTCAGGCAATCATCCTGTTCTCTTCTGAGCCCTTCAGCTAAGAGTAGCTTTGCCAGTTAAGATGTGGACAAGAACCAGGGTTCTCGTCTCCACATGGAAAGTTACAGGCCTGGAATGACAAGTGCAGAAAGAGGGATACCTTTTGGAACACCTAGGACAAGGCTGCCCTCATAATGATTATATTTTAGAATGAATGCATTAGCTGAAAGGGCAGAAGAAAATTCTTTAATTTCAAATCAAACTAAAAGTGCAATTGCTAACTGTTAAATGAGTAAGTTTTGATATGTTGCTTGATAAAACAAGGTTGATTTAATTTAACAAAAAAAAAACTTTCAAAATAAATTTTTGTTTTAAATCGCCAAACCCCATAAACAACTCATCTGTCCACCAATTGGCAAATGGATAAACAAATTTGGTTCATCCGCATAAAGAAAATACCATGTAACAATGAAAAGGAGCTAGGCGCGGTGGCTCACGCCTGTAATCCCAGTACTTTGGGAGGCCGAGGCAGGTGGATCACCCGAGGTCAGGAGTTCAAGACCATCCTGGCCAACTCGGTGAACGCTGTCTCTACTAAAAATGCAAAAATTAGCAGGACATGGTGGCGGGCGCCTGTAATCCCAACTAATGAGGAGGCTGAGGCAGGAGAATCACTTGAACCTGGGAGGCGGAGGTTGCAGTGAGCCGAGATCGTACCATTGCACTCCAGCCTGGGTGACAAGAGCAAAACTCTTTCTCAAAAAAATTAAAATTAAGACAATAAAAAGAAACAAATCACGACTACTTGTAACAACTGGATAAATTTCAAAAGCATTATGCTAGGTGAAAGAAGCCAGACTTAAAACACTACCTACTATACAACTCTACTTATATAACTTTTTGGAAAAAGTAAAACTATAGGAACAGAAATCAGACCAGCAATTGCTAGGGAACTGTGATGGCAGGATGGGGTAGCCTATAAGGTGTATGAGAGATTTTGTAGGGGTTATGAGAATATTCTGTATGTTGATTGTGGTGGTGGTTACATGACTGCTTAAGTTTGTCAAAATTTATAAAATAGTAACATCTAAAAGGGTATATTTACTGATTATGAATTATGCCTCAATAAAGGTGAGCTCTGAAAACATGATGTAGGATGATGCAAATGTCCGCAAAGAGAGACAATGATTTCTAGCAAATGGTTTCAGCAGGGAAAAGATGGCAATTATGAATTACCAACCCCTCATGCTCTCCTGGAGCTCAATTCAACAAGGAAGGGCACTGAGCAACTGGTTGGAGAAGTAGGAGGAAGGGAAGTGACAGAGCACAACCCTGTTCTCTGTGCAATTCTAGACACTTCTGCTGAGATTTGCTTGTGCTTCAGTTTCTTCATCAAATACTTACCCTATCTTGTTTTTTTTTTTTTTGGAGACGGAGTCTCACTCTGTCACCCAGGCTGGAGTACGATGCTGTGATCTCCGCTCACTGGAACCTCTGCCTCCCGGGTTCAAGCGATTCTCCTGCCTCAGCCTCCCTAGTAGCTGGGACTGCAGGCATGCTCCAGCACACCTGGCTAACTTTTGTATTTTTAGTAGAGACATGGTTTTGCCATGTTGGCCAGCCTGGTCTCGAACCCCTGAGCTTAAGTGATCCACCCGCCTCAGCCTCCAAAAGTGCTGGGATTACAGGCGTGAGCCACCATGCCTGGCCTCACTTGCCCTATATGAAGATTGAAAACATACACAACAATTTAAAGCTTCTTGGTGCATGAAGGTGTTGGACAGGTGATTCCCCCAGAAGAGAAGCCATGTTCTGTCTGGAACTTTCTTCATGGGTGTATTAAGTGGAGTTAGTTGTGTTTCCTTCTTTCTGTTTCTGGGCGGTGCCTTTTGGTGGTACATAAGAAAAAAGAAAAAATATATAAATATATAAAAAAATATATATATATATTTTAAAGGAGTCTTCTATTTGCCTTGAAGAGCTAACCAAAAAGGGGGGAGGGTGCCAGCATAAGTCAGCAAAGGAGTTTTAGGGCAGTGACGTGCCACTAAAAGTGCCAGCCAGTGTTTCATTTGGACTCAAAGCCAGCGAGAGGTAGCAGAAACAGCATGATTGAATCCTAATTGTCAGCAGAAGGGGAGGAGTAGTGAAATAGAAGCCCTGACGGTGAGAAAAGAAAGTTAAAAGAAAAAGACGGCCAGGAACTGTGGCTCACGCCTGTAATCCCAGCACTTTGGAAGGCCGAGGCAGGCAGATCATTTGAGGTCAGGAGTTCGAGAACAGCCTGGCCAACATAGTGAAACCCCGTCTCTACTAAAAATCCAAAAATTAGCCAGGCATGGTGGTGCACGCCTGTAATCGCAGCTACTCGGGAGGATGAGGCAGGAGAATTGCTTGAGCCAGGCAGGCGGAGGTTGCAGTGAGCAGAGATCATGGCACCGCACTCCAGCCTGGGCGACAGAGCAGACTCTATCAGAAAAAAAAAAGAGAGAGAGAAGAGAATGTAGGTCTTAATAGATTCAAATAGGCATCTCAAATTGCATCCACCAGTGACTTGAACTACTGAGCTACCTCCAAAGTATACTGTGTCATTTAAACATCTCGTTTCCTAGTGCCATATGCCCTAATTTGCTAGGGCCTTAAATCCGTTTTCTTCTCTGCAACATACAGTCATTAATGCATACTCTGCATTCTCCCCACAGGGGAATGTGGGAAAGCCATTTGTGCAGCCCTGACATACTGCTGACTTGCACTGGAATTGCAAGTCAGATGTTACCTCAAGATCCTCTGAAAAATACACGGCATCATTACTGCTAGCTTGCTTATCAGCTCAGTCTTGCATTGTGAATAAGCTGCAGATCTCTGGCTTTTGCAAGCTGTGTGCTTTTTCTCTTCCCTCACCTGAGACCACTCATTGTGCACACCTGTGTTAATCGGACAACGAGCATTTGAGCCCTGTGCTAGATGCTGCAAGAGATAGGGAAAGATTATCAGAGCTACCTATAGAGAATAACCCCAGGCAAAGAAATCAGTTGGAGCCAAGGAGAGTTCCACTGTTATCAGTAAGTCTAGCTTCCCAGGAATAGTTTGCTTGTCCTGCCTCTCCTCTCCTGGGATGCTTCCCCATAACTTGACTCTTCAGGAGTATCTTTTGAGCCCACCAGTAACCTTCGGTGTAGGGAGATAAAAAAGAATATATACTCTTCATAATAGCTAAAACTTACTTCCTATGTTCATATGGTGCTAGGTGCTTTCCATGTACTATTTTATTTACTATTAAAAACAGTCCTGGCCTGGTGCAGTGGTTCACTCCTGTAATCCTAGCATTTTGGGAGGCTGAGGTGGGTGGATCACCTGAGGTCAGGAGTTTGAGACCAGCGTGGCCAACATGGCAAAACTCCGTCTCTACTAATCATATAAAAATTAGCCGGGCATGGTGGCACACACCTGTAGTCCCCGCTACTTGGTAGGCTGAGGCAGGAGAATCACTTGAACCTGGGAGGCAGTGGTTGCAGTGAGCCGAAATTGCATCACTGCACTCCAGCCTGGACAGTGGAGCGAGACTCTGTCTCAAAATATAAAAAAATAAAAAATAAAAACAGTCCTATAAGGAAGGTGCTATTAGCACTTCCATTTTCCCAGTAAGAACACAGAGACCTAGAGAAGTGAACGTATTTGTTGAAGGGCATTCAGCTACTTAGAGGGCAGAGCTGATATTTAGCCTGTGCATTGACAAGACTAGAGTTCTTATCCATTCAGCAAAGACTACTCCATCCTTGTAAAGTAAAGCCGTTTTTTTTTTGTTTTTTTTTGTTTTTCTGAAGTCATGGACATCTCTAAACATGGCCTTTTATCTTTCAAAATATGAAGGATTTATGATTAGGGACTATAAGATCCTGTGCAAAAGGGATATAGCATCAGTTTGGCCTAGATTCAAATCCTGGCTCAACAACTTAATGGTTGTGTAAACACAAGTGAGTTGCTTGTTCTTCCAGCTCTATCAACTGTAAAATTAGAATAACAATGCTTATCTCGTAGAATCATTTAAGAGTTCGATTGTGGTAGTATGTGTGAAATTAACTCAACAAATGATACTTTTTCTGCCAAGAATAATACCATTCCCTAAAAGTCAAATTATTTTCTACTCCCAGCCATTGTACATAAACATGCCTGGACATGTGTAAAGCAACGTGTGTTTTTCAAACTTTTAAAGGTTGCAGAATGCCTAAAACCCTGGTGTGTGTATTGAGTTGTGCATTGGACGTGAAGGAAGGAACAAAATTGGTATTGTATTGTCTTCTGCATGACTGCCATCTTTTCAAAAAGACTACCTAGAATGAAGACATCAAGACTGATTTGGGGCAAGACTCTCCCTTTCCCATACACAGACCTGCAAATCCTGCCTTTGTATAAAATCTTGATTCATTTGAAGCTGGAATTCTATTTGTTTACAGCTGTATATCTCATGAAAGACATCAATGAATTGGAAATCATCACAGGTTTAAAGAAACTTGGAGTCAGATTAATTTGCCTATGTCATTAGGGAGCATTTAAGTTTTAGTTACATGCAATGTAGGAATCTCTTCCATTATATCTCAATTAATTATCTGAACTCAAATATTTATTTATTAGTAGAGTTGGGAGCTCACTTGCTGTGTTCCTTCAATAGTAACGAACAGTTCCTTCAATTTTTAAACACATTGAGCCTTTCTGTAACCTACCCTTACTAGTTCTAGCTTTTGTGTAAACTAAGTCTCACTTCCGCATGTGTAGATGAAAATGCAAGGTCCATCTCTATCTCCAGCCATCTTTTCTGGGTGAAACAGCTTCCAGTTCCTTACTGCTTCCTATCAACAGCGTCCAGTCTCCTGGCTATATCCATTACCTCATCCCTCAGCTCGACACCCGACATTATAAGGAGGCTAAGATTGTATTCACTTATTTTAGGAACCCATCACCTTGTTGTTGGCTTACCACTGAGCCTGTAATGATAGAAACTGCATCAGGAAAAAAATGAGGTCCACTGACTCAGAAAAGTGGTGATGAGAGCCTGGTGTGTGTGGTGAATTTGATTAGGACAGAGGACCCAGACTGTATTGACACCCTGAAGGTCAGGAATGCTGTCAGTGGGAGGATGAACCTGTGAGACTCATACAGTCTACAAAATCCAGAAAGCTAGTGGATCAATTCGCAATGACTAATAACCGGCTGCTTCAGCCAGAAATGGCTCCAATTGATCACAAATATTTATTTTCCCTTCTATCACACAAAGTTAAAATGAAATTCTTGGTCTATGCCTCCATGAAATCTGTCGATGTTCTATATACTGCATCATTTTCACCCACCAACATGATCATCCATTGAACCCCTTTCCTGCAACTTCATATGGAAATAACCAACTTCCATAGTTATCTCAGATGTCCTCGTGTGCACAGACAGCAATACAAGTGATCCGAGTGGGAAATGAACTTGGCAAAGGGACCAAGTTGAACTCAATGTCTGGACAAAGATTGACAGGGAAACATCAAAGACTGACACATGGCATATAGTGCGGCTCACCTCTACAGGTTAAGAGGCACACAATATGAGGTGTAAATCAGGACTTCTGACCTCTGGGCTCTTATTGTTGAGACAAGAGCAAGAGAGAAACCTGTAAAATGGTTGTGAACAATAAAAGAAGGTAGAGAAGTAAACATTAAAGAATCAACGTAGGCTGGGCGCGGTGGCTCACGCCTGTAATCCCAGCACTTTGGGAGGCCGAGGCGGGTGGATCACTTGAGGTCAGGAGTTCAAGACCAGCCTGACCAACACGGAGAAACCCCATCTCTACTAAAAATAGAAAATTAGCCAGGTGTGGTGGCACATGCCTATAATCCCTGCTACTCTGGAGTCTGAGGTAGGAGAATGGTTTGAACCCGGGAGGAGGAGGTTGCGGTGAACCTATATTGCACCACTGCACTCCAGCCTGGGCAACAAGAGTGAAACTCCGTCTAAAAAAAAAAAAAAAAAGAATTAATGTAAATGGTAAAAACATTCAGAATGCATTGGACCAAGGAGGAAAGGACACAGGGACAAAGGAGGGGAAGAAATGACCTAAGATGAACTTTGAAGGATGAATAAAATTAAGTGAGATGCTGTGTGTGTGTGTGTGTGTGTGTGTGTGTGTAAAGAACTCTAAAGGTAGAACTGACTAAAATAGAAAACGTGGAACAAATACCCATCGGTGAGGGTAAATACATTCCATCAATGGTGATGGGTTTAAGGGGGTGTTGTCTAGAATGTACTGAAGCTTAGAGAAGAACAAGAGAGATTTGAGGAAATCCTGCAGAAGCGATTAGAGAATATGAATTGCTTCCCTGGACCCCAAAGGGGAAGCAGGATTACCCCCTGAAGGTTGAAAAACACAGCATTTGGATTAAGTAAAATACACTGATACTTTGCAAAGTAGGTGGAAACCTTATAGAACTTCTTAAGCTATTTATTTTGTTTTTATTACTATGATTCTTTTTCTTTTCTTTTTTTTTTTTTTTTTTTGGTTTTTTTGGTTTTTGTTGTTTTTTTTTTTGTCTCCATCTCCCAGGCTGGAGTGCAGTGGTGCAATCTCGGCTCACTGCAACCCCCACCTCCCGGGTTCAAGCAATTCTTCTGTCTCGGCCTCCCAAGTAGCTGTGACTACAGGCACGCACCACCACGCCCAGCTAATTTTTGTATTTTTAGTACGGACGGGGTTTCTCCACATTGGTAAGGCTGGTCTCAAACTCCTGACCTTAGTTGATCCACCCGCCTCAGCCTCCCAAAGTGCTGGGATTACAGGTGTGAGCCACCGTGCGTGGCCTTTTTTTCTTTTTTATTAGGCTGTAAGTTCTAAAAGCTTCTTAACCTTAAAACACGTGGACTACATATTTATTTTTCCAAAAAGCATAAATATAAACTCATGGTTCATACACACCTGGTCGGTCTCTTAATAAAGAGAAACCAGGAATGTGTCCACACCCTGACTCGTGTCAGCATCACAAAGATTAGCAATACCTTTTTTTTTTTTTTTTGAGACGAAGTCTCACTCTGTCGCCCAGACTGGAGTGCAGTGGCGTGATCTCCGCTCACTGCAAACTCTGCCTCCCGGGTTCACACCATTCTCCTGCCTCAGCCTCCCGAGTAGCTGGGACTACAGGCGCCCACCACGATGCCCAGCTAATTTTTTGTATTTTTAGTAGAGACAGGGTTTCACTGTGTTAGCCAGGATGGTCTTGATCTCCTGACTTCGTGATCCGCCTGCCTTGGCCTCCCAAAGTGCTGGGATTACAGGCGTGAGCCACCGTGCCTGGCTTAGCAATACCTTTTCTTAAATTACCCGTGGAGTTTACTAACCCCATTGACAAGACCTCATTGAGTCATTCTTGAGTTACGTCTTAAGCTGGAGATTCCATAGAACATAGATTGCATTTCTGAAAAGAAAGTTTTTCTAATGGCCTAGTACCCAAAAAGCGTCACTTGATCCTTCAAAAGTGTCCAGTTTTCTTCGAAGTAATGTGTGTATCAATACAAACTGACCGTATTGTCTCTATTTTTATATATATATATATTTTTTGAGATGGAGTCTCACTCTGTCGCCCACTGCAAGCTCCATCTCCTGGGTTCACGCCATTCTCCTGCCTCAGCCTCCGAAGTAGCTGGGACTACAGGCGCCCGCCACCACGCCCGGCTAATTTTTTGTATTTTTAGTAGAGACGGGGTTTCACCGTGTTAGCCAGGATGGTCTCGATCTCCTGACCTGGTGATTCGTCCACCTCGGCCTCCCAAAGTGCTGGGATTACAGGCGTGAGCCACCGCGCCTGGCCCCCTTATTGTCTCTCTTGATTGCCTTGTAAATCCATTGTACTTTCTAATCTGTACATTTCTACACTAGTGAGACAGAGTCACGCTCTGTCGCCCAGCCCGGAGTGCAGTGGCACGATCTCAGCTCACTGCAACCTCCGCCTCCCGGGTTCAAGCAATTATCCTGCCTCAGCCTCCCAAGTAGCTGGGATTACAGGTGTGAATCACCATAGCCGGCTGATTTTGTATTTTTAGTAGAGACGGGGTTTTACCATGTTAGCCAGGCTGGTCTCGAACTCCTGACCTCAGGTAATCCAGAAGCTTCTGCCTCCCGAAGTGCTGGGATTACAGGTGTGAGCCACTGTGCCTGGCCTAGAAAAGTCTTAAACAATAGAATTTGGGATAAGTGTTGAAAAGATTGTTTTACTGTAGATTTGGCTAAAAATAAGTGCACTATTAATATGCTGTCCTTTTAGATGGTTTATTCTTGTATGTAGTAGCACATCAGAGTATCTTAATTTTGGTTACTTGCTTTCCATTTCTAAACCACTAACTTTCCCTTTCAACAGCAAGAGCCCAAGGGCTGTTGCAATTTATTACTAATAAAGAGTTTCAATGTGACCCCTGAGTCTATTCCACCAAAAAAGTGGATTCCACTTTTTGAAACTTTTGTTTTATAAAATGAGGGGTTTTATGTTGATGTTGATGTTTGGGCTTTTTGATGTTGATGATACCAACATTTTATGCAGAAAATATTTAAATTCCAATAGAACTGCAAAGCACAATTTTTACCATGATTCCTTTCTTCTGATAGAAAACCGGAGATTAAAAACCCCAGAGCCCTTAATACCTCATTTAACTGGCAACACATTTAAATTCTTTACAAAAGCGTTAACAGAAAACTTGTGTGCGGGTGGTAGAGGCTGGCAGGGAAGCACACGCTGGCATGAAGAACGGTGTCTTTGGTCGCTATGGCTTAGGGATTAAGGAAATGCCAAAAAGGCCTTCAGGAAAAGTATATTTGTTTTGTATGTGGAGCAGCCAGAAGAAGATTTGGCACAAGTCATAAAAGGGCAAGACATTTTCTGGTATCCTGGAGAGCCTAATTTCAGCCAGGTGACTGAACTTGCTGTATGGCCTTGGTGCAAAGTGAACGGTTTCTTTGCTTTGTGCTTTTTCCAAGCTCTTACCTATAGGCTCAAAACAATAACATGGAAATGCATAAGGGAATGGCGCTCAGCAGAGCACCTCCAGCACGGTTGCTTTTGGAGCTGCGAGGATATTAGAGCTAATGACTCAGAACGGTTTTGAACTCTCGGAGGGGTTCATGTTTCCATGGCTTGGCCTGCACTGGGCACAGATAATGAAACATTGGCTGAAATAAGCATTATGATGATAGGGCGGAGAAGTCCCACGTCTCTCCTAGCAATTGCCCTTACAGTGGGATGGTGACAGAATGCTTTACTGGTGGTGGCTCTGACATGGATTTTAATGGTCTAGAAATGATTAAATTGGATATATTCCAAAGGGAAAAGACCATGGAGAAAATTAAGGATTTTTTCTCTTATTTTATCCTTTCTGTTTCTTTCTTTCCTTCCTCTCTTACCTTACCTTTCTTTCTCTCTTTCTCTTCTTTTTTCTTTTCTGCTCTTGAGGAGGTACTATTCCATACTATTATACTTTATTTAGACCTGGAAGGGACCTTAGCAGTAGTTTCCTTTTTTTTTTTTCTTTTTTCTTTTCTTTTTTTTTTTTGAGACAGAGTTTCACTCTTGTTACCCAGGCTGGAGTGCAGTGGCCCGATCTCGGCTCACCTCAACCTCCGCCTCCCGGGTTCAAGCGATTCTCCTGCCTCAGCCTCCTGAATAGCTGGGATTACAGGCATGAGCCATCACGCCCAGCTAATTTTGTATTTTTAGTAGAGGTGGGGTTTCTCCACATTGGTCAGGCTGGTCTCGAACTCCCAACCTCAGGTGATCCACCAGCCTTGGCCTCCCAAAGTGCTGGGGTTACAGGCGTGAGCCACCGCGCCCGGCCAGCAGTTGTTTTCTTAAAGCTTTCCGTTTTACAGACAGCCGTGTGGTATAGTCAAGAGACCTAGAATAAAAAGGCCTAGATTTTAGTCTAAGTTTCACCACCTACTAGGTGCATATATCTTGGGTAAATACACAGTCTTTGTGAGCCCGTTTTTTTTTTTTTTTTTTTTTCTTCATCTGTAAAATAAGAATGCTGGCCAGGGAAAGAATTCAGCCCTCCTGACTCTCAGCCCAGTGCTCCTTGGCCACTTTGCTCCAGTATTCCACTGGCATCTTCCTACTTACCTCCACAATCCTCCAGCCATGTGTCCTCCTTGCAGACCCCTAACCTTCTCCCCGGCACTGTCTGTGTCCCCTCCAAACCCATCCCTGTGATGCCAGAGAATAGCTACTCACATACTAGAAAAAGCACTGGAATTCAGTTCTTCCAAGTTCACAGCCAGCAATATTTTGATCCTCTAGGAGTGTGAAATTAAATGACAGACCAGATACCCTTGCCCATTTTCTGCCTCTTTCCCATGTGTCATACTCCAAGGGGTCAACCCTGATCTTTGGAATCTCAGCTCCAATGTCCATTGATAGGGAAAACTGCCTTGACTCCCTAGAATATAAAGCCCCCTGCTCTATGACCTTATAGTGCACTGGCCTTTCAGAGCACCTGTCACAATGTGTCATCAGAAATGCATGGGTGGCCGGGTGCAGCAACTCACGCCTGTAATCCTAGCACTTTGGGAGGCTGAGGCCAGAGGATCACCTGAGGTCAGGAGATCGAGACCAGCCTGGCCAACATGGTGAAACCCCGTCTCTACTAAAAATACAAAAATTAGCTGGGCGTGGAGGCACACGCCTGTGATTCCAGCTACTTGGGAGGCTGAGGCAGGAGAATGGCTTGAACCTGGGAGGCGGAGGTTGAGGTGAGCCATGATGGCGCCATTACACTCCAGCCTGGGAGACAGAGTGAGACTCCATCTCAAAACAAAACAAAACAAAACAAAACAAAACAAAAACAAAAAAGAAATGCATGGGGGCATCTGGTTGTGTCCCTACCTCTCGCTATGCTGTCCTATTCAGAAAGTCAGGAAGCATATCTGTTGGGCTTGTTGCCGCATCTTCGGGGCTTTGCTCAGAGCCTGGCACAAGGTGTTTCCTGGATCAAAGGCTGCTGGTGAGCGAAGGAATGGATTTAACTTTCTAATGAATGCCCTAGCACCATCATTTATTGAGAGCATATGATAGGCCAGGTTCTGAATTGGGCACTTTACATAACTTAGCTTATGTAACTTCCAAAACAACCCTCTAAGGAAGGTGTCACTAACTGCATTTTATATAAAAGGAAACTGAAGCTAATGGCAGCACCAAGAAAAATCATCCAGCCAGGTGTTGTGGCTCATGCCTGTAATCCCCACACTTTGGGAGGCCGAGGCTAGCAGATCACTTAAGCCCAGGAGTTCAAGGCCAGCTTCTGCAACATAATGAAATCTCACCTCTTCCAAAAAAAATTTAAAAACTATCCACATGTTGTGTTTCATGCCTGTAGTCCTAGCTCCTTGGGAGGCTGAGGTGGGAGATTCATGGAGCCCAGGAGGTTGGGGTTGCAGTGAACCATGATTGTACCACTGCACTCCAACCTGGGCAACAGAGAAAGATGAGAGAGAGAGAGAGAGGAGGGGAGAAGGGGAGAAGGGGGAAAGAGAGAAGGAGAGAAGGGGAGGGAGAGAAAGGAAAGGAAAGAAAGGAGAGAGAGAAAGAAAGGAAGAGAGAGAAAGGGAGAATGGGAGGAGGAGAGAAGGAGAGGATAGAAGGGGAGAAGGGGGAGAAGGAGAGAAGGAGAGAGAAGGAAAGAAAGAAAGAAAGAAAGAAAGAAAGAAGAAAGAAAGAAAGAAAGAAAGAGAAAGAGAGGGAGGGAGGGAAGGAAGGAAGGAAGGAAAGAAAGAAGGAAGGAGAGCAAGAAAGAAAGAAAGAAGGAAAGAAAGAAAAGAAAGGAAAAGCATCCAACTCAGCTTCCAGAGTTGACAGGAGGTGACAGTGATGACACCCTTGCCTAATTCCTTCCAAGTCCTGCTGAAATCAAATTCAAGTGTTCTCCTTATCTGGTAACTTAGCTATCTCAGTGGGAATTTAATATATATAAATTGATCACACAATTGCTATTTACCAAGGCTCTATTAGCTGTGGGAAATATCAATGAATATAAGACACAGCCATCTGGAATGGATCCCGTCTAAGCTGATTGACCATGGGAGGTACGGGGATTTTTTTTCTTTGCTCCCCCACTTCCACCTCACCCAAACCTAGCTCCTTGGAAACCAAGAACTGTGCCCTTCTGGCTCTCTTAAGATACTGGTGCCCATCTGTCAAGCACAGATTTCGCCGTGTTAGAGCCCCAAAGATGTGCATCTCGTAGCACAATAGCATTGTAATGCCTGTTCTTTAACTGAATTGCAAACAAAGCAACACTCTGCCTTGATATGAAAAGTCACATTTATTTTCATTTTGGACACTAGCTCTGTGGGATCTTGCAAGTGAATGTTGCTGTCATCCCCACTAGGACTTAGTCAGCTGAGCTGGAAGAGATTTTGTGTTTGTTTTATTTACTTATTTAAAAGAAAGGAGATTAGTGAATACATGTCTATTTGAGAGCAAATTCCATTTTGATCAAAACACCAGCTCCATGCCCTGGCGATGAGTCCTCTTTCATGCGTCTTGTGATGCTGACCTAGGGTTGAGAATATTAGATAATGAAAGTCATTTAAAGGAGAATCCCAAGATAAAACTCTACCATTCCCTCATCTCACAAATGCACATTTTTCTTTTCCTTTTATGCTCTTGTGCTACATCTTTTTGGAAGCTGTTTTCTCATTCAAACAACCCCTACTGGGCAAGCCTGTCTGCAAGAGCTGCAGGTGTCCCCGCAGCCCAGCTTACAAAGCCTGCTTGTTAATCAGCCCCATCACATGTCTTTTGACCGCCTTCCTACCCAGCTTTCTGCATATCTCTCTCCCAGCCAACCACTACTACTACTTCTAAAAGAGAAAAAAAACCAACAGCCAGTCAAAAGAGCTATTATCCTAAAGATTCCTTAACAAGGCCTGTGGCTCTCCAGGAAATTAGTCCAAGTTTTGCTCCCCTCCTCCTTCCTCTACATGGCGCCCCCTCCTCCCATTCATTGGTGGCTGCAAAACTTGTTGACCCTGCTACATTCTGTGACCACTGGACATGCTACCAAGTGTCTCTCCGGAAGCCTCTCAGCCACCATTATTATATGGTGTGGCCATACGATAATGTATGGCCATTACTGTATGGCTTCCCCATCAGAACCAGTTAGGAATATAAATACACAAGGAGATCATCCTCTGACTAAACAAAGTCCAACAGTGGTGACACTGTGCAGTGCCTTTAGAGAGTTTCAACAGGGGATCTGGAAGACAAATAGGTCACTTTCTTCCAATCTTCTATGTTTGATAACTGACTGTTTGACTCTATTAGTCCTCCCCGCCTCAATTTCCTGAGATGGAAAATGAGAATGTTAATTCTATGCACCGTGACTGGGGGAGAAGTAATTTGCTAATAAGAGCCAGTGTTTGTAGAAGGCTCTGGGGTTGGCATAGGTAGGTCATAACTAATCTATGTCAATCACGTACCGTGGATCTGAAATTGAAGGAAGGCTGCACGTATCCACAGGCCCTAAAGGGGAGGTTTATTTGCTCTGCACTATCACCTCGTCCCACTCCACCCCACGCGGAAATCAGACATCTGTCTCATGACCGAATTAGTGCTCTCAGAAACTCAAAAAGAGGAAGCAAATTATGTCTTTTGGGGGGTTTTACCGTCTGGTGTACTATGCAGAGAAATAAGTTTTCCCAGAGTTACTTGTGTTGTATCAAAATGGGATTTCCTCAATGCTTTTTATTAGCAAAATGCTCTAAGAGTCCAAAGGATTGTCTTAAAATACTTTCATGGCCTGTAATCCCAGCACTTTGAGAGGTGAAGTGGGTGGATCGCCTGAGCTCATGAGTTCGAGACCACCCTGGTCAACATGGTGAAACCCTGTCTCTACTAAAATACACAAAATTAGCTGGGTGTGTGGCATGTGTCTGTAGTTCCAGCTACTCAGGAGGCTGAGGCACAAGAATCGATTGAGCCCCAGAGGCGGAGGTTGCAGTGAGCCGAGATCGCACCACTGCACTCCAGCTTGGGCTACAGAGTGAGACCCTGTCTCAAAAAGAAAAAAAAAATCCTTTTATGGCTATATTTATTATAAGAACCATAAGAAAAAAAAAGGGAAAGAGAGAAGGCCACTCTATTTCAAGGATGAATAGGTCAAAGAAACACCATTTTTCAACAGGTTTATAAAACTATTAAAAATGGCAAATGACACATTCTTTTTAGATAAATAGAAACTTTCCTTTTCCTGCCACTGAACAAGCAGGCCTCAGGAAAACTTGATTTAGAGCATCGGTTTACTTTTGCAAGTAAAACGCCCTAAGAGATGGTCCATGTCATGACATTTTCACAGCTGGATTTTGGCACATTTAGGTCTCAGAGGTAACATCACACAGAAGCCTTCTTGTAGAAGTCAACAAAAACCACCCAGAAGTCAGGACGGACTGAAGTCTACTGACCTAGTAAAACCGAAAATACACAGCTACCTCCGGAAGGACAGAGGGAAAAGCAACATTCAGGGATGGGACTGTTGAGCCACAAGAAATTATGTGACAATTTTTCATCCATGGTTTATCAAGCAGCAATAGGCCTGAACTTTAAACAGTTTACTGACAGAAACATATGTGGCCTCTCTCTCTATAATTATAGTTTAATTATATTAACTACAATTGTGACTAGTTGTAATTATGTGTGTGTGCGCATGTGTATATAACATGATAAAATTCATTTTAACCATTTAAGTGCACAGTACATTGGTGCATTCATTAGTACATGCACATTTTCGTGCAACCATCACCTGAATACTTATCATCTTCCCAAACTGCAGTTCTGTACCCACTAAACATGAGCTCCCCACTCACCTCTCCTCCAGCCTCTGGCTACCAACATTCTGTCTCCATACATTTGTCTACTCTAGGTCCTTCCTATACGTGGAATTAAACAGTATGTATCCTTTTGTGACTGACTTATTTCACTTGGCATAATATTCTTAAGGTTCATCCATGTTGTAGCATATTAAGCATGAATAATATACCTTTCCCTCCCTTCCTTCCTTCCTCCCTCCCTCTCTCCCTTCCCTTCTCCTTCCTTCCTTCCCTTCCTCCCCTCCCCTCCCCTCCCCTCTTCTCCCCTCCTCCTCCCTTCCTCTCCCCTCCTCCTCTCCCCTCCTCCTCTCCCCTCCTCCTCTCCCCTCCTCCTCTCCCCTCCTCCCCTCTTCTCTTCTCTTCTTTTCTTTTCTTTTCTTTCCACGGTCACCCCTGTTGCCCAGGCTGGAGTACAGTGTTGTGATCATGGCTCACTGCAGCTGGGCTCAAGCGATCCTCCCACCTCAGCCTCCCAAGTAGCTGGGACTATAGGTGAGCACCACCACTCCAGGCTAATTTTTGTATTTTTTTGTAGATACGGGGTTTCGCCATGTTACCCAGGATGGGCGCAAGTGATCTTCCCACCTCAGATTCCCAAGGTGCTGGGATTACAGGCATAAGTCACGGCGCCTTGCCACATTCTCTCTTCATATAAACAGTGTTACTGAAATGTAATTTACATATAAATTTCAACCATTTTGAGTCTACAATACTTTTTAGTAAGTTTGTCAAGTTCAGTAATCATTGTCACAATCCAGTTTTAGGACATTTTTATTCTGCAGCAGGAACCTTTGTGTTCATCTCCAGCCCCATATCCCTTTACCACCCCCAGCCCTAGGAAACCACTACTCTACTTTCTAGATTTGTCTTTTCTGGATATTTCATATAGAAGGAATAATACCATAAGTAGCCTTTTGTGTCTGGCTTCTTTTTCTTTCTTTCTTTTTTTTTTCTCTTTTTTCGAGACGAAGTTTCACGCTTGTTGCCCAGGCTACAGTACAATGGCATGATCTCAGCTCACCATGACCTCCGCCTCCCGGGTTCAAGTGGTTCTCCTGCCTCAGCCTCCCGAGTAGCTGGGATTACAGACATGAGCCACCGCCCCCGGCTAATTTTGTATTTTTAGTGGAGATGGAATTTCTCCATGTTGGTCAGGCTGGTCTCAAACTCCCTACCTCAGGTGATCCTCCCGCCTTGGCCTCCCAAAGTGCTGGGATTACAGGCTTGAGCCACCATGCCTGGCCATGTCTGGCTTCTTTCACTTAGCATAAGGCTTTTGAGGTTTATCCATTCTGTAGCACGGATCAGTATTTCATTATTTTTTATTTCTGAATAGTATTCCATTGTATGGGTCCATCACATATTGTTTATTCATTCACTAATTGATGGACATTTGGGTTGCTTCCATTCTTTCGCTATTATAAATCATGCGGCATGAATATTTGTGTGCAAGTCTTTGTGTGGACGTGTTTTCATTTATCTTAGGTAGATACCCAGGAGTGGGGCTGCTGGGTCAGACCACAAATTTATGTTTAATCTTTATGAAACTGTCAAACTGTTTTTCCAAAATGGCTGTACCATGGAGAGGTTTTCTTTGGGGTAACTGAACAGATTCTTCAGATGGATTAGTTTTTCCCTTTGGGACCCCTCCTAATGTGAAATACTTTGCTTTTTTAGACTCTGACCTCAGCTCAGTCAGAAAGCCAAGCAGTGGGAGTCATGAATTAATTCCTTAAATATTTCTCATTTTCATATTCTTAACTCATTGCTGAGTTCATATTAAAACCAAACAACCTTGAAAGCTCAGAAGAATAGTGTTGTGAAGGTGAAGGATCAGGGCCAGGTGCCGTGGCTCATGCCTGTAATCCCAGAACTTTGGGAGACCAAGGTGGGGAGATAACTGAGGTCAGGAGTTCGAGACCAGTCTGGCCAACATGGCAAAACCCCCGTCTCCACTAAAAATAAAATATAAAAATTAGCTGGGAGTGGTGGCAGGAGCCTGTAATCCCAGCTACTCAGGAGGCTGAAGCAGGAGAATCACTTGAACCTGGGAGGCAGAGGTTGCAGTGAGCCAAGATCAAGCCACTGCACTCCAGCCTGGGCGACAGAGTGAGACTCCATCTCAAAAAAAATTAAAATTAAAATTAAAAAAAAAAGGAAGTGAAGGATCAGACCTGGATGATCCCTAATGTTTCCCCCATCCATTAATGCATCTCTAGAAGTGTCTCTAGAAGTGTTTGTGGACCAAGAGTAGTCTCTTGATGGGCTTTGAGCTATGTCTCACTCCACACTATCTGAAAGTAGAGGTGGAGTTTCTAATCATTCATGTGCCCGTTCAGCTAAGGAACAAGCCCTTTCTCCTGACCATAGACCCTAACATTTGAGGAGGAGGGAGCTGTAGATGAAAGGATGACCATTCTCCTTGTAGGCCAATCAAAGCTCCCACAGAAAGAATAAAGGGATATCCCACTTTCCTACTGTGGTGAACTGCCTGGCATTCCACCCATAGCAGCCATTAACATGTCTCCTGTATGCCACTTCCTTATGAGCTGATTTTTGGAAAAATATTAACTTTCTAACTAAGAGCATTAGTGTATATCAATCATTGGCATACTTTAATTTTTTTTTTTTTTTTTTTTTTGAGACGGAGTCTTGCTCTGTCGCCCAGGCTGGAGTGCAGTGGTGCAATCTCGGGTCACTGCAAGCTCTGCCTCCCAGGTTCACGCCGTTCTCCTGCCTCAGCTTGCCAAGCGGCAGGGACTACAGGCGCCTGCTACCACGCCCGGCTAATTTTTTGTATTTTTAGTAGAGACGGGGTTTCGCCGTGTTAGCCAGGATGGTCTCGATCTCCTGACCTTGTGATCTGCCCGCTTTGGCCTTCCAAAGTGCTGGTATTGCAGGCATGAGCCACTGCGCCCGGCCGGCATACTTTAATTTTAGTACCTTCACTCCTTTGCTAGGTTTTTGGTTTTTTGTTTTTTGTTTTTAAACAAGGTCACACTCTATTTTCCAGGCTGGAGCACAGTGGCGCAATCTCAGCTCCCTGCAACCTCCACCTTCTCAGCTCTCTGCAGCCTCCACCTCCCTGGCTCAAGTGATCCTCCCACCTCAGCCTACCAAGTAGCTGGGACCACAGGCAGTGCCACCACGCCTGGCTAATTTTTTTTGTATTTTTGGTAGAGATGGGTTTTCACCATGTTGCCCAGGCTGGTCTCGAACTCCTGGACTCAAGCAATCCACCTGCTTCAGCCTCCCAAAGCACTGAAATTATAGGCACGTACCACTACGCCCAGCCCCCTTTATTAGTTTTTTAGGGCTACCATAACAATGTACCAAAAACTGCGTGGCTTAAAACAAGAGAAATTGTCTTATAGTTCTGGGGACTAGAAGTCCCAAATCAATGTGTCAGCAAGGCCAGGCTCTCTTTGCCGACCCTAGAGGAGAAGCCTTCCTTGCCTCTCCTAGCTTTTGGTGTTTGCTGGCAGTTCTTGGTGCTACTTGGCTTGTACCTGCATCACTCCCCTCACATGGCTGTCTTCATGTCTCTCTACAGATGAACACCAGTCATTGGATTAGGGCCCATCCTAATGACCTCATTTCAACTTGATTACATCTGTAAAGACCCTACGTCTAAGAAGGTCACATTCTGTAGCACTGGGGGTTAGGACTTCAACATTTATTTTCTGGGGGGTTAGGTAGGGGGAACCACGCAACTTAGCCCATAACAGTAACATTTTGAAAAAACGACGTTTGCAAAAACTTAATGTATCTGTCACTGAATGCACACCCACATATAGTTATATATTGATATGGGTTGGCCGTGTTCCCATCCAAATCTCATCTTGAATTGTAGCTCCCATAATTTCCACATGTTGTAGGAGGGACCCAGTGGGAGGTAATTGAATTATGGGGGTGGGTCTTTTTCATGCTCTTCTCATGATAGTGAGTAAGTCTAATGAGATCTGATGGCTTTTTTTTTTTTTTTTTCAGACAGTCTTGCTCTGTCACCAAGCTGGAATGCAGTGGCACCTTCGCGGCTCACTGCAACCTCTACCTCCCAGGTTCAAGCGATTCTCCTGTCTCAGCCTCCTGAGTAGCTGGGATTACAGGCACCCACCACAATCCAGGCTAATTTTTGTATTTTTAGCAGAGATGGGGTTTCACCATGTTGGCCAGGCTGGTCTCGAACTCCTGACCTCAGGTGATCCACCTGCTTCAGCCTCCCAAAGTGCTGGGATTACAGGCATGAGCCACCGGGCCTGGGCCTGACGGTTTTATAAAGGGGAGTTTCCTACACGAGCTCTCTTTGCCTGCTGCCATGTAAGATGTGACTTCACTCCTCATTTGCCTTCTGCCATGATTGTGAGGCCTCCCCAGCCCCATGCAGAACTGTGAGTCCCTGAAACCTCTCCTTTATAAATCACCCAGTCTCAGGTACGTCTTTATTAGCATGTGAGAACAGACTAATACATATAGAAAAGGGGAAAAAAGTGTTTTTCTTCTTCACCACTGACATCTGTGCTCTGTGGTGCTTGAGCACAAAAGAAAGATCATAACAACCTTGAACCTTTGGCTCTCAGTCCTGTGTGGTTTGATATTCTGACCATCTGTAGTTATTACTTAAATAATATCTTTCAGTTTGGGCAAAAAAAATCTATTCAGTGCTTGGAATATGATACTATAAATTATTTAGAATGTTTTATCTTGCATAGTGCTGCCTAGAATTAATGTCTGAGAAGAATGGGATGTTGGATATGTTTTTCTTAAAAAAGGTGGGACATGAGGATGTGATTCCATAATCAAAGGACAGGGATTAACTGATAAGATATGTGAATTTCCACACCTCAGAGAAGAAAGAGATAGCTTTGGGGTGGCAAATGATAGAGCCGATTATCACTCTGAGAGGAAAGAGAGGAGTGGGGCTGTGTGCGTTTGCTAGACCAAGCTCTAACTGGCTTGCTGAGAATGTTATCTCCTAGCAGGACAGAAGGAAGCTAGAAGGGCTCATCACAGCAAGTTTTTGAAAGATCTTTTTCCTTCCCTCCCTATGCAGTCCTCTCCATGGTGGTTTTGGGACCCAAATTGCCACTAGGGCAGGCTTAGCTTTCAAGCCTGGAGCAGATGCCCAGGACGTCCAGGGCACCAACCTCTCCCATCTGCAATTACCCTCCTCCCCTTATGAAATACTCCCTTTTGTTTTGTTTTGTTTTGCTTTTCTTTTTGGAGTCAGTGTCTCACCCTTGCCCAGGGTGCAGTGCAGAGGCGCAATCATAGCTCACTGCAGCCTCAACATCCCAGGCTCAAACAACTCTCCTGCCTCAGCTTCCTGAATAGCTAGACTACAGGCACACGCTACCTGTATGTGCCTGGCTAATTTTTTAATTTAATAGAGACAGGGTCTCACCGTGTTGACCAGGCTGGTCTTGAACTCCTGAGTTCAAGCAACCCTCCCACCTTGACCTCCCAAAGTCCTGGGATTCCAGACATGAGCCACTGCACCTGGCCAAAATACCCCTTTTTTCTATCAGCATCCGTATCAAGCCTATCTTATCCATTCCATTTGTCCTCCCATCTAATTCCTTTCTTCCATGGGGTCCTTTAGAACCTCCTGCTACTATAAACAAAGTCACTAAGAGCTTAAGCTTGTCTCAGACACTCCCTGGCTCATGCAATTAACTGGAACCTGGAATTTCCGTGATAACATCTCTTGCCTTTTTGTCCTCCACAAGAGATCTCTCTTTAGACTGCTCTGCATTTTAAAAGGTCTGGAAGGGAAGGGGTCATGCTTCTTGTTTTTCTTATGGCCTCTTCTGTATTCCTGGGTCCCCCAATTCTTGGCCTCTTCCTATCACTTTTGCGCCTTCTTCACAATACTCCTGCAACCCCTTCATTTGTTCTGGGGGCTCCAAACACCACTTCTGGCAGGATGACTTCATTCACCAAACGGTGGCTACACACTTCCAACCCAACAGACCACAGACTGAATTCTGTGACTTTCCCGTTTGTAATAATGATACCATCATTCTACCGGTCTCTAGGGGCTAAAACTCTACTGGTCACCTTTGATTCCTTCCTCTCTGTCAGTAATAGCACCTACTCCTGTGTTTCTGCGAGGCTTACATGAGAAAAGCCAGGTACATCACTGATCACACAGGGCGTGATGCTGAGTAAGTGCTCCATAATGTAAGGCTTTATTCGTTAATAGATTATTGCTCACAGTGAATCCACGAAGTAACCAATCCCCATTTCTCCCTCTTCATGTCTCTCAAAACCACACACACCATCCATTCTTTCTGTTTCCCTTGCCATGTTCCTTATCAAAACACATCAACTGCCATCTGGACCAGGGATAGGAACGCTAAGCCAGACTCCTTGTCTCCAATCTCTTCTCCCACTTCCTAATCCATCTGGGATACAAGATCCAGAGAAAGCTAATGAAAAACCACCTTAGTGATGTCATTCTGCTGCTCGGAAATGTCAACACTTTCTTGATGGCTCACCTGGAAACGAAGTTCTTCTCTTCTAGTGCCACACTCCATTTCCAGGCCTGTCTCCAAAAACCATGATCCAGCCAGTCTAGAATGCAAAACCTCTGAAAAGTCTTCCGCCTCTCCCACGTCCATTCATTTGCAGATAACATTGTCTCAGTCTGGAAAGTCCCCATCCTCCACAGATTGAAATCGTTCTCATCTTCTAAAGCTCCCCTCCTCTATAGAGCCACTTTCTGTGTTTCTTCTGTCTGTTTCTCCCTTGAACCCCCACTGCCCCGACTTATCTTCCTCTCATAGAGCTTATTTTTTTTTTTTTTTGCTCTTACTCGTCTTTCTTTTCCCAGTAGGACCTCATGCAGTGCTTATAAGTAGAAGTCACTCAATACATATTCGTTGAGAAAACTGAATATCGTTCTCGCTTTTAGGTGAGATGCATGTCTCTATTATTTGAGATGTATGCTCTGGCTGAGGAGATAATATGTGTGGGATTTCTTTGGCTCAATCTTCATACTATCTGACCCCTCTCCAATACCCCAGCTTGTATTTTTGCAGTATAATTTAATGGCACATCCTTCCTAATCCTGCCATTTTGCCTAATTCCAAACTACCTTACTTTACTCACCCCGAAGCACTCCCAGCCTTGACCTCTTGTCCCAGTTTCCTAAAATATAACTGCTCTTGTACGGAATGGTGCCGCTGGACTAAAACTCTGACGAGGAATTGCTGTTCTTCAAGGTCTGGTCTGTATCAGGGAGCCCACGCCCTGCAGTTAAAAGTGTCATAAAAATGGACTGATAAGTAGCTAGAAGCAGAATGCTGTGTCTACACAAATTACACTGCATTGCAGGGTACAGTTTGGAAGTTCAAGCAAGAATTCTTTATGAAAATGAATGAGCTTACCGTAGCTTGACTGAGGATATCATATACTTAACAGTCACTGGTAGAGCACTGCCTAAGAGTGTGGGTATTTTATGTGCATCCCAGTGACTCCTTTGAAGTGTTTCTTGATTCTTTTCATTAGGCAAGATGAAGTCGTCTCTATGGCCATGTTGCTGGCTTTTAAAAAGATGCACATTATATGTCAGCAACTACAGTATAATGCATTTACTTTGTGTGAGCACAGCAAACCACTTAAGAACACACTTTATTTTGTAGACACACTGAATTTACCCTTCAAGTACTGCCCCATGCCACAGAACTACAAGTCTTGCCACATTATGGCTTTCTCTTATAATTATGCTCTTTAGCCTGTTCATGTATTAAGAATAAATTAGGGGCCGGGCGCGGTGGCTCACACCTGTAATCCTAGCACTTTGGGAGGCCGAGGCAGGCAGATAACTTGAGGTCAGGAGTTCAAGACCAGCCTGGCCCAACATGGTGAAATGCTGTCTCTACTAAAAATAGAAAAATTAGCAGGGCATGGTGGTGGCCGCCTGCAATCCCAGCTACTCAGGAGGCTGAGGCAGGAGAATGGCTTGAACCCGGGGAGTGGAGGCTGCAGTGAGACAAGATCTTGCCACTTCACTCCAGCCTGATTGAAAGATGAAACTCCATCCCAGGAAAAAAAAAAAAAAGAATAAGTTAGGTAAAGAGAAGAAAATAAAGTGCAAAAGTAAGTGCTTCTTTTATGTGTTCAGCACAGCCTTTATTCTGTGAGGTCAATGTCTCTCTTACAGAGGAAAGAAGTGAAACATTTAGCCTGAATCCTGAGAACCAGGAACTTCTCAAACATCTTAGTTTGCCCTCTCCCAGTGTAAATGAATTGCACACTTTCTGAAGTCACTTTTGTATTTCTCCATTGCAGACCACTTTGTACCTACCTGTTTAATCAACATCTTCCCCTCTTGAGTCTTGGTAGGGTCTGGATCTTTCAGCTCTGTTGGATGCTCATGAAGTGTAACCAAAGTTTCCCTTCCTTTTTTTTTTTTTTTTTTTTTTGAGACAGGGTCTTGCTCTGATACCCAAGCTGGAGTGTAGTGGTGCGATCTCAGCTCACTGCAACCTCCACCTCCCTGGCTCATGTGAGTCTCCTGCCTCAGCCTCCTGAGTAGCCGGGATTACAGGCGCCCACCACCACACTCGACTAATTTTTGTATTTTTAGTAGAGATGAGGTTATACCACATTGCCCAGGCTGTTCTTGAACTCCTGGCCTCAGGTGATCTGCCAGCCTCGGCCTCCCAAAATGCTGGGATTACAGGTGTGAGCCACCGCGCACGGCCAGTATTTGTTCAAATGATTTCTCTCCACTTAGGGGAGAGAGAAAAATAGGGCTGGACTACCTGCACTTGGCAAGGGCAGAGTGGCAGAGTAGACTTGCCTACCAGCGAAGCCAGACAGCCTTTGGTTCCAATCTTAGTACTACCACTTTTCAGCTGAGGAACCCCAGCAAATTGTGAGGCCCCCGAGCCTCAGTTTTCTTATCTGTAGAATGGGGATAATGATGCTCTCCTCATAGGATTGCTTAGCGCTGGGTAGGTCCTTAAGGAATGTCCATTGCACTCCCATCCCTCTACAGCTTCCCCCAGATTCTGTCCTCTTAGGAGGCATGGGTGTCACTGGAACATGAGGAAGAATTCCCTGGATCCTTTTTTCCCTTTCCTCACACAGAAGCCAAACCTCAAATACACATCTTCCCTCTCTGTCCACACCCACAGCAGCAAAGAGGAGAGCCAGGGATCTGGGGGTGGGGGTGGGGGCCCATCTTCCTCCTCTCAGTGGGTGGGGGCTCGCAGGCTGACTGGCAGAGGACCTTCACTGGAGTCAAAATAAACTGCCTTCCTGGGGAGGGGATAGAGGGCGAGAGAAGCCGCAGGTATTGTTTTGTGGGGGAGGGGGGTCCTCTTCCTATTCCATTTCACTGAATTCTTCCCACCCGGCATGGCCCTGGGAGGTGACCATAGCCCTGGCTCCCCGAGTAAACACCCAGGTCAAGCTACAGGACTGACTGGGTCTTAAGCTATTATACTCCCAGTGAAAAGATTTTTTTAGCCCGAGGACTATCTCGAACTCGTTCTATCTCAGTGAATGACTCACTGGAAACGGTGTAAACACAGGTGTATTACTGGCCTGCGGAAGACTTGGATGTCCCAGCATGGTAGAAGGCCAGGTCCCTGCAGTGCAACGCTTGCATTCTACATCCAGAAAACTAAAGTTCAAAGAGGTTAAGCAATTTGCCAGAATCCTGCAGTCCAGGGACTGAGCGGAACCTGGAATCCGCCACCGGGACTTCCAGCCCTGCTCCCTCCGGCGCCACCCTCTTCCCAGAGGTAGGGAGAGCTGAGGCTCGCTGTGCTCACGTGGCTTTCAGAGCCCGCCTCGGACCCTGACCTGTATTCCACTCCCGACCCCACACTTCCTCGTTTCCCCTTCCTTCTCCCTCTCTTCCCAGGGTCCCGCAGGGCCGGCTGGATGAAGTGATGCCGGGCACCTATACACGCATGATGGCAAAAGGAGGATTGCAACGCCAGAGCTCGCCCCTCCAGAGCTGTGCAGGGTCCCCACCGAGGAGGGGGTGCAAACGGGTGCTGGGCTCGGGGGTCAGCCCGCGCCAAGTCTGGGGCTGGGGGCGGAGCCTGCCGGTCCGGGGCGGGAGGGTGGGCAAGAGAGGGAGTCCCGGGGCCTGGAGACTTTGGAGGAGTCGGGGCCCTGGGGGTAGGAGACCGCCGGGTGGGAGCGGCAGGCGCAAGCCGGGCGGCGGGGCGCGCGGGCCAGGCGGGGCCGGGCGGCGGCAGGGACTGCGGAGGTGCGGCGTGAGCTGGGGCGGGCGGCGTCACCGGAGGCGGAGGGGGCGGAGCCGCGCTCACAGCTGCCACCCGGCCGCCGGGCCCAGGCAGAAGCCACCCGCCCGCGGCCGGGCACGCACCGCGCGCAGACCTTCTGCGAACAATGCTCCGGCCGGGCGGCTGGCGGCTCGGAGACCGACGGAGGGGCCGGGGGAGCGCAGCCCAGAGGTGAGCCCGCGACGCGCTCTCCAAATTCGGCCTCTTTTTGTCTGGCGAGCGTGGTCGCAGAGGGGAGCTTTGGAGGGGCGCTGCGATCGCCGAGCGGGCTACCCCCGGGGTGACAGGCGACCGCTCGGGAAGTGGGCAGTGCCGGGGCCGCGTGAGCCCCGGGTGGTGCCCGAGGTGCAGGGAGGCGCCCGGCCGGGAGGACCGAGGAGCTGGAGGGTGTTTTTGATTCATTCGAGAATCGCGCTCTTTAAAACGGGGAAACTTTCCTACGAGTTCCAGGAGGGAGGACCGACTGTTAGGATGGTTTCTCTGGTCTTGCTGCTCTGTCTGCGGCCGGAGGCTGAAGCGCTTTGAGGACTGCTTTCCACCGCTAGAGTATTGTCAAGGGGGAGAGACGGAAGGCCGCCTGGCTGCTGGGACCAGGACCCGGGGGGATGGTTTGGGGGTGCAGGGTATGCAGCAGCGGGGCTCCAGAGGCAACGAGATGATGCCCTTTTCCCCGAGCCCTGGCTGAGCCCTCTGAAACGCATGCTGTGAGCACGTTATTAACCTTTGCTGGTATCCGGGGACACACACACTTAGAACATAGAATCCTCTGCTGGGCATGGAGGCGGCCGGGCATTCGCAGCGGAGAGCGCCAGCTCACGGTGTGTGCGTTTCTCTCAGGTAAGCTCTCCCTGCACATGGTTTTGCAGAGCCGATAGCAAAGCCCAATGGTCTAGGGGCGAGGAGTTTTGGCGATGCATTCAGTGCGGAGTCAGGCTCAGAAGGCTTTCCTGATCACTGGCCTGAACTATTCTTAACAACTCCTCTCCCCTTCCCTTTCTGAGAAGAAAATTTGACAGAAAGCCCTAGGGAATTCCGCAGTTATTTTTCTCTCCTGAGGTCTGGTTGGTTTCGACTGTAGTGGGTGCAAAACCACATTCCTCCCTCTGAGATTTTCTTTCCTCCAGCACTGGAGGAAGAAAAAAGAAAAGGAAAAGTTGGGTGAATATCGTAATTTACCCTCTGCGTGAGTAGGGAGGCAGGGGGCTAGTGGGTGGTAAAGTTGTCACTTTCTCCTTTCTGCCTGGTCAGCCCTGGCCAGTGGAGTGTGCTGAAGTTCAGACACTTTCCACACATATTTCTTTCCTTTTACTGGCGTTGCATTAATTTAACTGTAACATACAGAAAAAAATTTTAGGTGAATGTTTTCTGCAATTCTGTCACTTCAGAATAAGGCATAAGCAACTTCTGATGTAAGTCTGAGGGGGTATTTTGGGCCAAAATATTTAATCTTAAAGATCTGGCCACCTTGATTCTTCAGATTCTTTTTTGAAATGGGGTGGGAGTGTATCTGACAGCTTCAGTCTTGCAAACTGTAGCCACAAATCTAGTGCAGAAGTTTGCAGAGGCAAAGACATTTTTTTCATGACTTGGATCAGAAAGAATGCTGAGCTCTTTTTTCTAATCTGACACTGCAGCCTCCTACTGAAATGGGGAGGATTTGCATAATTCTGGGGGCTGCCTCCCCTCAGAAGTAAGGAATGTGGGCTGCGAAGTGCCTTCCCCATGCTGTGGAGAGCTGGCACTGCTGCACCAGGCAAGGCGAGGCAAGGCTTTGTGGGTGCCACTTGTGTTTCTCACCATCTTTTACTTAAAACAAATAGGAGATAATTCCAGGCACAGAAGTGCAACGGGAAAAGAGGTTTTTTTTTTTTTTTTTTTTTTTTGGCTGCATGCGGTGGTAAATTCTGTTTGCTGCGACTGAGAAACCAGTTTTAACAGGATGCAGTGAGTCAATGACAGTGGGAAGCCCAGGGCTTCATTTGTTCTTTTCTTATTCAATGACTTCCCTTTAAAAATCTTTGCGTCCATCCGTCCCTGGCAGTCGTGTGATGAAAGTTGCCTCTCTAAACATCCAAGGATTTCTGAGCTGAGAATGGGAGCAAAGAGTGCTCGTAAACTGATGAGACATTCTCAAGGAAACTTCCCCCACGCTAGCAATCCAGATCCTTCCACACTCCCTTTGCACAGGGCTGTGCAAAGGTTGGGGAATCTTAGAAAGTAGGGCCTCTGATACCAATGTCACCCCTTCCGCAAAAACAAGTTTGTGTTCTTACTTGCCTGTTGAGGAGGCAATAAGTCGCCAAGCAGAACTGCTGCTTTGTGAATCTGTGATAGACCCTGAGGAAGTGGTTGGGCACCCACCTCCTCAGATAGCCCAGTGTCAGGAGGAGCTGTGGGAACTTGCAGAGCCCACACAGAGCTGGTTTCCAAACTGTCTTCCTCCATCCCGCGGAGCAGGCATGGGAGCATCTGCCTGCAGTGGAGGTGGGCTGGACAGTGTCCTTTCTGTGGCCTAGAAGGTGTAGACAGTCTTCACCCATCAGCGTCCCAGGAAGGGACCTACTGCCTATTCCTGAAGGCTGGAATACTTCCTCTGCTTTTTCCCCCTCCCAAAACTTAGCAGCAAGGCTACAGTTCTCTGTGGCCTGAGATTATAAGAGAAAGACAAAACCTGGCTATTTCCTCCGCTTGTTGAAGCCCAGTGACCTCTTCTGGAGAACTTGGCAAAGAAGGAACCTGCTACTTGGGTGTATTTGGAGGAGGAGAAGAACCTAGCTAACAGTCTTCTTAAAGAAAAGGACCTGTGAGACCCTAACAATAACTGCTAAAAGATACTTTTCTTTTATTTCAGAGGATTTATTTAGCTTAAAGATGCAGTGGGCTTTATTCTTAACTTTTTTTTTGTTTTTTTAGACAGGGTCTCACTCTAGTCACCCAGGCTGGAGTGCAGTGGTGTGATCATGGCTCACTGCAGCCTTGACCTCCTGGGCTCAGGCAGTCCTCCTACCTCAGCCTCCCAAGTAGCTGGGACCACAGGCATGCATGGCTACACCTGGATAGTTTTTTTAAATAATTATTATCTTTGTAAAGACAGAGTGTCTCTGTGTTACCCAGGCTGGTCTCAAACTCCTGGGCTCAAGCGATCGTCCTGCCTCGGCCTCCCAAAGTGCTGGGATTACAGGCGTGAGCCACCGCGCCTGGCCTCAACCCATTTTTCACTTTGGAGGGAAAAGAGGCACACGTAGCTTCAGCACTTGTTGAATGAACACCCCTGTCTATGAGTGTGGAGATAAAAGAGAGCACTTCCCACAAACACTCTGGAATGATTTTTGGGGTACCCGGCTCATTCCACCTGGTTAGTCCTGTTGACAGTTTAGAGATTATCAAACTTAAGGCAGATCCTTATGGGAGGAAAGTGGAGAGAAAACCCTAAGGCAAAATGGTCCCTATTTAATGAGAACCTATTCACCCTTATGTTCTTAAGGAAGATTTTGCTCTTGAACATTCTCCTTATGGGAAGTCAGTTTATTTTAAATAGGCTAAGAAGAGCCAGGAGCAATGCGCAAATCACCACTGCAGGGAGGAGCCGCCTGCAAAGTTGGCTTCTGTTTCTAGAATGGGCAAACTCTCCCGTGTCTATGGGCTGGTCCAAGTTCTTGTGTTTGCCATAGTTTCCCCACCTGTAAAATTGGGACAACAGCTACCTGATGGAATGATTTCAAGGTAATTGGTTAATGGCTGCAACTCTTTGAGCTCCTTCTCAGTGGTGAATTTACAAGGGACCATGGTGCAAACTGTTACTTGCAGTTTTACTCTAAGAAGCAATGAATTTTTTGAGCAAGCCAATTGCCTTCTCTCCAGAGCCATCACTTGGAAATAGCTCTTCGTTAATCTCTTCTCTCTCTTATCATCTATCCAGCCACCTTTGACCATGAATTTGTCTTACTACTGGTTTGCCCCTTTGGCCTATAACACCCAGCATTGTGGACCTCAGCAGCACACGGTCAAGTAATGTATATTAAGCAAGGGATATTTCTCAAGATGCCAGACTCTGCATAAGGTCTAGAGGACAGGCCAGCACCCCACTTCTCCCGTTTCCCAACCATTCCTTTCTCCACCTGGTTGGAAGTGTGGATTACAATGCACCTTTCAGGGCCTAAAGCTGCCTCCCCTCTCACACAGTTCTTGGTCAAACATTATTTTCCAAAAGCCATTGTTTTTATTTGCTGTACTGCTTGACAGTTCTTGTTTCTGTGGGTCAGCGTCCCAGACTCTAGGCCCCGGTGTCAGGGAATACATGGATGACGTACCAGCTTCTCATCTTAAACCCTACGTGATTTCTTCCCATAACTGCCCAAAACCTCCCAGGATTTTAGGGGACTCCCCACCCAGGATTTTAGGGGACCGAAATGTCTTTTATTTACTCCTTTAAAGCAACAAGGCTATGTTTAGTTTTTACAGCTTCTGATAAGGCCACACCACCAGAGAATGTTTAAGAGCCTTGTGACAAATGGGCGAGGGTCCCAAAATAAATGGGATCCTAATCTTTACCTTTTTCTCCTCCTTCTCCCTGATCAAATAGTGAGACTCTAATTGATAATGCACCCATTGTCTGGCATGGCAAATCTCTAATCAGGAAACTGTCCTGCCTTTCTAGGAAGCCGCTCTGTGACCCACCTCTGAATCCCACAAAACTGCACCAGAGAGCCGGGCGCAAGATGAACCAGCACCCTGTCGGCTCAAGATGCACCAGACCCTCTGCCTGAACCCCGAGAGCCTGAAAATGTCTGCGTGCAGTGACTTTGTGGAGCACATCTGGAAACCCGGGTCCTGCAAGAACTGCTTCTGCCTGCGGAGCGACCACCAGCTGGTGGCCGGCCCTCCCCAGCCCAGAGCGGGCAGCCTGCCCCCTCCACCGCGCCTGCCTCCCAGGCCTGAGAACTGCCGCCTGGAAGATGAAGGTGTGAACAGCTCACCTTACTCCAAGCCCACAATTGCCGTGAAGCCCACCATGATGAGCTCCGAGGCCTCTGATGTGTGGACAGAGGCCAACCTGAGTGCCGAAGTCTCGCAGGTGAGGCTGACTAACACTCGTGGTATTTTTACAGGGGCTGCTCCTGTTTGAACACTTGGTGACTGGCTGGCAGCCAGGGAGGGCTGTTCCAGCAAGAAACCTGCAGGATAGCTTCCTGTCAGTTTGCCCTGAGATGGCTCCTGCCTGGGATTCGCTGTAGCTGCTCTCCTTTCTCTCTGTCCCTTTAGGCTAAGAATCATTAATCCAGTCCCCCAGAATTTCCTCCTGTGATTTGCAGACTGTGTAGGGCAGACAAAAAATGAAGCTTTTTTAAAAAAAAGTTTTAAATTTTCTTAGTTGATCATTTTAAATATATATACAAGTAGCAATAATTGCAAAGTGAATTGCATGCACCCAATACCCTTCAATATGAACTTCAGCAACCATCAACTCCTGACCAATCTTATTTCACCTCCCTCACACTGACCCCCTTCCCTATGATTTTAAAGCAAACCCAGATATCACATCATTTCAATAAATACCTTTCAAAGATAAAGTCTTTCTGAAAAACATAACCACAATACCATTATCACACTTAATTTTTTTTTTTTTTTTTTTTTTTTTTGAGATGGAGTCTCTCTCTGTCGTCCAGGCTGGAGTGTAGTGGTGCGATCTCAGCTCACTGCAATCTCTGACTCCCTGGTTCAAGCGATTCTCCTGCCTCAGCCTCCTGAGTAGCTGGGATTACAGGCACCCACCACCATGCCCAGCTAATTTTTGTATTTTTAGTAGAGATGGGTTTCACCACGTTGGCCAGGATGGTCTCGATCTCTTGACCTTGTGATCTGCCCACCTCGGCCTTCCAAAGTGCTGAGATTATAGGCGTGAGGCACCGCTAATTTTTCTTTTCTGTCACTCAGGCTGGATCTCAGCTCACTGCACCTTCTGCCTCCAGGGTTCAAGCAATTCTCCTGCCTCACCCTCCCAAGAAGCTGGGGCTATAGGTACATACTGCCATGCCCAACTAATCTTTGTATTTTTAGTAGAGACGAGGTTTCACCATGTTGGCTAGTCTGGTCTCTAACTCCTGACCTCAAGTGATCCACCTGCCTCAGCCTCCCAAAGTGCTGAGATTATAGGCGTGAGCCACCGCGCCTGGCCTATTTTTTTAGTTTTTAATTTTTATTTTATTTATTTATTTTTTTTTGAGACAGTCTCAGTGTTGCTCAGGCTGGAGTGCAGTGTTGCGATCTCGGCTAACTGCAATCTCCACCTCCCAGGCTCAAGTGATCCTCCTGTCTCAGCCTCCTAGGAATCTAAGACTAGAGGTACATGCCACCATGCTTGGCTTATTTGGCGTTTTTTTGTTTTTGTTTTTGTTTTTTGGTGGAGATAGGATCTTGCTGTCTTGCCCAGGCTGGTCTTAAGTTCCTGGTCTCAAACTCCTAGGCTCAAGTGGTCCATCTGCCTCAGCCTCCCATAGTGCTGGGATTATAGGCATAAGCCACCATGCCTGGCCCCACACTTCAGAATATTAGCAGTAATTCCTTAATATTATCTAATACCCAGCCAGTACTCCTGTTTCCAATTTTGAAGCTTGGATTTTACCAGCTTTCTTCTAGGGTCACTAAAAACAGTTACAACCTAGAGGCTAGACCATTCTGCTCATTCCACAGGTAACCTTTACAAACTCAGAGGGCACATAGCCCGGGTCTGCTGGCATCTGCTGTCTTTAGACACATTTAGGAAGCTATGTGGCTAAGACATATCCTAGGAACTGCTTGCTACCTGTTTGACCTCTTTGCCTGTTCTAGTTTTCTTGACCAATATGGTGAGTAGGTCAGGAAGGCTGTGTGAGCATATATGAAAACTAAGGTCAATTCTAAATCAGGGGAGTCTTCATTGAGGAGAGGCATTTCCTTTGGTTGCAGTGAACTTGATGTCCCCTTCCGGGCTGCTCTGTTTTTTCCTAAGCTGCTTACACCCATTCTCCAGGCCATTCTCAATACCTTCAACCTTCACCAACCTGAGCCAGGGACTCTTTAAGCTCAGAATCACCTGGGAAAGAAGCCAGAGGCAGGCCCTGCTTTGAGGCTGCTTCTAAAAGTGGGGGTAAAGGAGGACTTTAGACCAGAAGGAGGAGGAAACGGTGACTTCAGGGATGGTAATGACCAGTCCACATCTCTGTCTCATAGCCCAACGAGTCCAACCACTCGCACAGGCTCAGGCTGAGGTCACTGCTGTAGGCGGGAGAAAGATGACCTCTGGCATAGTTGGAAGCAAAGCACAGAAAGAAGCGAGGAAGCCCAGGTCCAGTTCAGAAGCCACCCCTCACCCTGATCCAGCTCAGAAAACACCCCTCACTCTGATCCAGTTCAGAAGCCACCCCTCACCCTGATCCAGTTCAGAAACCACCCCTCACTCTGATCCGGTTCAGAAGCCACCCCTCACCCTGATCCAGTTCAGAAACTACCCCTCACTCTGATCTGGTTCAGAAACCACCCCTCACCCTGATCCGGTTCAGAAACCACCCCTCACCCTCCTGTTCTGCCCACACCCACCCACCCAATGTGTTTCTTTTTTCTTTATTATTATTATTATTAATTATCATTATTTTTGGTACAGGGTCTGGCATTGTCGCCCAGGCTGGAGTGTGGTGGTGTGATTTGGGTCACTGCAACCTCCGCCTCCTGGGCTCAAGACATCCTTCCACCTCAACCTCCCAAGTAGCTGGGACTGTAGGTACACACCACCACGCCCACCAAGTTTTTGTATTTTTTTGTAGAGATGGGATTTGGCCATGTTGCCCAGGCTCGTCTTGAACTCCTGGGCTCAAGCAATCTGCCCTCCTCGGCCCACCATAGTGCTGGGATTACAGGTATGAGCCACGGCATCTGGCTCCAGTGTGTTCAGTGTGTTTTAAAAACACTTAAGACTTCGATTTCTTCAGGCATGCACTGTGATTGGGTTATCAAAAAACCCACAAACTCAAAGCAAAAATTAAACAAAACCCCAAGCTCCATTTTCCAATCCAGTGGAACAACTTGTGTCACCCAGCAGCTGGTTGCAAGGGAGGAAGAAGGCACAGTGTTCTTTTTCAGAGTTATATTTTTCTTTTCCTACTTCACAGACTTAAGCCAAAAGCATTACAGTCCATGGGTAGGAAGGGCAGCTCAGTGTCTGGGAAGACAAATGGCTCAGCGGGTGCCCCAGCAATGATCACAGGGCCGTGGGGAGATGAGAAGGTGGGCGTGCACTGAGTCCCCGGCCCCAGCGCCCCTGCACTGCACTACAGAAGACATTCTACAGTATCGTTGCCCTTCCCTCTCACTTTTCCTCTCTCTCTTTTTTCTATGACAAGTTCTAATATAAGTCTTTTTGCGTTGGGCTTGTGTGTAGGTCATCTGGAGACGAGCCCCTGGCAAGCTCCCCCTCCCGAAGCAGGAGGATGCCCCCGTCGTCTACCTGGGCAGCTTCCGAGGTGTACAGAAGCCTGCTGGTCCCTCTACCTCCCCTGATGGCAATTCTCGCTGTCCCCCAGCTTACACCATGGTCGGCCTGCACAACCTTGAGCCCCGCGGCGAGAGGAACATTGCCTTCCACCCGGTGAGCTTCCCGGAGGAGAAGGCTGTGCACAAAGAAAAACCCTCATTTCCTTACCAAGACCGGCCCTCCACCCAGGAGAGCTTCCGCCAGAAACTGGCTGCCTTTGCTGGGACCACATCTGGCTGTCACCAGGGCCCTGGGCCCCTGCGGGAATCCCTGCCCTCGGAGGATGACAGTGATCAAAGGTGCTCGCCCTCCGGGGACAGCGAGGGTGGAGAGTACTGCTCCATCCTGGACTGCTGCCCTGGGAGCCCTGTTGCCAAGGCTGCCTCCCAGACTGCAGGTTCCCGGGGCAGGCATGGTGGCAGGGACTGCTCACCCACGTGCTGGGAGCAGGGGAAGTGTTCCGGGCCCGCAGAGCAGGAGAAGCGGGGCCCGAGCTTCCCCAAGGAGTGCTGTAGCCAGGGCCCCACTGCCCACCCATCCTGCCTGGGCCCCAAGAAACTGTCCCTCACCTCGGAGGCTGCCATTTCTTCCGACGGCCTCTCTTGTGGCAGCGGCAGCGGCAGCGGCAGCGGCGCCAGTAGCCCCTTCGTCCCCCACCTCGAGAGTGATTACTGCTCCCTCATGAAGGAACCTGCCCCAGAGAAGCAGCAGGACCCTGGCTGCCCAGGGGTGACCCCTAGCAGATGCCTTGGGCTGACGGGGGAGCCCCAGCCCCCGGCCCACCCCCGGGAGGCTACACAGCCTGAACCCATCTATGCTGAGAGCACCAAGAGGAAGAAGGCAGCTCCGGTGCCTTCCAAGTCACAGGCCAAGATAGAACATGCAGCTGCTGCCCAGGGCCAAGGCCAGGTATGCACAGGTAATGCCTGGGCCCAGAAAGCAGCATCTGGCTGGGGCCGGGACAGCCCAGACCCAACTCCCCAGGTGTCAGCCACCATCACAGTCATGGCGGCCCACCCGGAAGAGGACCATCGGACGATCTACCTGAGCAGCCCTGACTCTGCAGTGGGGGTGCAGTGGCCACGAGGGCCTGTGAGCCAGAACTCCGAGGTAGGTGAAGAGGAGACTTCGGCTGGGCAGGGGCTGAGCTCCAGGGAAAGCCATGCTCACAGTGCCAGCGAGAGCAAGCCCAAGGAGAGGCCCGCCATTCCCCCCAAGTTGTCCAAGAGTAGCCCTGTAGGGTCCCCGGTGTCACCGTCTGCTGGAGGGCCCCCAGTGTCACCGCTGGCTGACCTTAGTGATGGGAGCTCTGGCGGCAGCAGCATTGGGCCCCAGCCTCCATCCCAAGGTCCTGCTGACCCCGCTCCTTCCTGCCGGACCAACGGTGTCGCTATCAGTGACCCATCCAGGTGTCCCCAGCCTGCCGCCTCGTCAGCCTCGGAACAGAGGCGGCCCAGGTTCCAGGCAGGCACCTGGAGTCGTCAGTGCCGGATAGAGGAAGAAGAGGAGGTGGAGCAGGAATTGCTGAGTCACAGCTGGGGAAGAGAGACCAAAAATGGCCCCACGGACCATTCAAACTCCACGACCTGGCACCGTCTCCACCCCACAGATGGCTCCTCTGGGCAGAACAGCAAAGTTGGGACCGGGATGAGCAAATCCGCCTCTTTTGCCTTTGAGTTCCCCAAGGACAGAAGTGGGATTGAGACATTCTCACCTCCTCCTCCGCCTCCAAAGTCGCGGTGAGTACCATTGTCTGCCTGGGACTCTGTCTGCAGGGCAAAGGGCTCTTCCAGAAGAAACCTTTGCCCTCATCAAAGCTTTCAGGCCCAGGTCCCAGAATCTGCCCAAAGGCCCTTGTGCCTTTATGTAAATTTCCCAGGGTCCCAGTGCAGCCCTCGGAGAGCAGGAGTTGTGGCCCTCTTTGTACCCAGCAAACAAACCTACTTGTGGTCCCTGCTTGGGATTGGTGATTTAAAATCAATCTTTCACCAAGCTGTTGCCATTTGTTGGTGCCTGTATTTTTATAATCTGGTCCTCTTTTTATTCCCCAGTTCTCTGAAGTGTCTTCAGTAGGCTTTTTTCCAGGAAGTCCTGAATATTTTCCGTTAATTTAAACATGCAAAAGAGGGCAAAAGGAGGTTATGCTACAAGATTTAGGGAGGGCTGGGTATGATGGCTCATGCCTGTAATCCTAACACTTTGGGAGGCCGAAGCAGGAGGATTACTTGAGCCCAGGTGTTTGAGACCAGCCTAGGTAACATAAGGAGATCCTGTCTCTATTTTCTTTAAATAATAACATTTTTAAAGTTAAAGTTAAAAAAAATTTTTTTAAAGATTTGGGGAGGCAAACAGTTAATGCCAAATAAATGCGTGCTCAATAAACTGTTACCACAATGGTGATTAGGTCTTGGGGCCAAAAGCAGAAAAGAGGAAGTTTTACATGTGGTTAGGAACCCTCAGATGTGGGTTTTTAAAGAAAAAAATGGGGCTGGGCGTGGTGGCTCACGCCTGTAATCTCAGCACTTTGGGAGGCCGAGGCGGGCGGATCACGATCAGGAGATCGAGACCATCCTGGCTAACACAGTGAAACCCCGTCTCTACTAAAAATACAAAAATTAGCCAGGCGTGGTGGCGGGCGCCTGTAGTCCCAGCTACTGGGGAGGCTGAGGCAGGAGAATGGCGTGAACCCGGGAGGTGGAGCTTGCAGTGAGCCGAGATGGTGCCACTGCACTCCAGCCTGGGCGACAGAGTGAGACTGTCTCAAAAAAACAAAAAAAAAAACAAAGAAAAAAATGTAGTTTTGTGTTAGCATGCTGAAACTCAGTTTTCCCTACTGCTTCCCTGCTATCTCCTATCAGTTTAAAGTACCTTTTAAAGACTCGAGAAAAATAAATTTTTTTTTTTTTTAGTTATTGAGCTGTGCATGGGTTTTAAATGCTGGGGAAAAAAAATTTCTCTCGATTAGAGCGAAACTGATTTCTGTTAGGAAAAGGAGAAACCTACTGTTTTTCAAAAAATTACAGCGTTTCTGAACAGACTTTCTCGAGTCATGTCATTTCAAGTGGTTCTGTTTCAGCTGATGTGCCTCTGGGCTGATGTCAGAAACAAGGAAATTGACCACAGAGAGAAGCAGTCAGGACGCTTGACTTTGAACATCACGGCGTCTCAGGCACTGATGTGATCTAACGTGGGTTTTTTTCTCATGACCACTACTTTGTTCTGGTATTGCACTGGCCGCCCACCATGGAGAACAGACATCTTCCAGATCCTGAGGTGATTGCAGACTCTTTGGCAGCCGCGTGTAGTCCCCGAATGAATGAGAGATTCAGCAGCTAAGATGAGCTTCCATTTATATGGCACTCACTATGGGCCAGGGATGGATTTAAAAGAATTAGACATAACAACTCATTTCATCCTCAGAACAGCCCTAAGAGGTAGGAATTGCCAGCCCCAATTTACAGATGACAAAGCAGAGATAGAAAGCTAGGGTAACCAGCCTAAGGTTCCTGCTGTACCTGCAAGACTCCTAAGTCTACGCTCCTCCTGAACCTACAGGACATCAAGGAGCATGGAAATTGAGCAGGGCGTGAGAGTAAAACATCCAAATTGTATCTGCCTGCCTCAGTCCTGGGTAAATTAGTGGAAAGCACAGGTATTGGCATTAGAAAACCAAGTTCCTATTCCCTCTCTCTCACAAATGGAGTGACCTTGTATAAGCCACTCACTGTGACTGAGTCTCCAGTCCCTTCTCTAAAAGAGTTGGTCTCTAAACTGAGAGTCTGGAGTCTCTTCTCTAAAATGAGATGATAATAGTACTTTGATAACACCCTGCTATTGTAAACCTCTAATGAGACAAACAATGGAATCCAATGCAGAGGTTAGTGATGATGTAGGCAGAAGCCACCCAGGCTGCTGATTGTGCAATGACACCCACACCCTATGGGAACTAGCATGGCTCAATCCCAGGAACGCCACTCTGAGCCTTGGAGAAGTAACTAAAATTTACTCCTTTAAGAATCTCGGGGCTTGGAGAAATCCCAGTAACCATAGCAACATGACTCAGGTAGGGTTTTAATTAGCATCTGGGTTGAGATCAGAGTTTTTTCGGCCCAGTTTGTTATGATAAAACCCTTAGATTGCATATAGCTCAAGCTTGATGGGAATCTTGGAGGTTCAAGGTTTCAGCTCTTAAAAAATAAACAAGTTAGAGGAGAAAAAAGAATTAAAAAGAAGGGCCGGACTTAGTGGCTCATGCCTGTAATCATAGCACTTTGGGAGGCCAAGGCAGGCAGACTGCTTGAGCCCAGGACTTTGAGACCAACCTGGGCAACATGGTGAAACCCAGTCTCCACCAAAAAAGATATGAAAATCAGCCAGGGATGGTGGCACATGCCTGTCATCCCAGCTTCTCTGGGGGCTGAGGTGGGAGGATGGCTTGAGCCCAGAAAGTGGAGGTTGCAGTGAGCTATGATTGTGCCACTGTACTCCTGCCTGAGCAACAGAGCAAGACCCTGTCTCAAAAAAAAAAAAATCTAGAAAATAAAATTAGCTTAAGAGAACACAGAAAAACAAGAGCATCTTATTTTATTCAAAATAAACTAGAATATATTTTCATTTGGGGAAGCATTTTCATTTCTCAAGCATTACTGACATTATCTTTCGGATCTCCCTGTGAGAAGATAAGAGGGCAGGCCTGGGAACATATGCTGACTTTTAATTCTGGAACTCAGTACCTCCGCTGGGGATAGTGCCAGGAACCCCAGAGTCTTCCAACCTAGTAGGTCAGGGTGTTGGCAAATCAGAGTGTTAGTGAGAATGCAGCCAGCAGTTGATCCGGCACCAATTCCAGTACACACTGGTAATTATGGCAGGCTGATGTCAGTTTTCCAAAATGGAAGAACGTGAAAGGTCTTCAAGCAACATACAAGGTCAACCTGATTTCTTCACATGGGCCCATTTGTGAAATAGATCCTATTTCTAATGATCAGCTTCATTATGTGCGTTACCTACGCTCACACCTCTAGAAAAAGGACTTGCTTCATACAGGACACTGTTTCTTTCCACTTACATGGTGTGAGAGAGACAGATCGTCTGCTTCCTTAGGTCATTATGGAAGAACGGGGAATGATTTTCTCTTTTGCCTGTTGTTCTGTTTATCGCCCTATTTTACAAAACTGATTCTGACCTGGAGGGAAAAAAATAGATGTTAAGAATGACTTGGCTTTCCTGTGGTCCTGTTTTGAATGTTTGGCAGTAGCTTATCTGTCTTTTTGAGATATTGTCCTCTGTAAACTCCCATTCGTGTTCCTGAGAAACCTCTTGCTGGAGTGCCCTGCAGGAGAAAGGCTCTCCATGCTCATTTTATGCCCAGAACAGTTCTTCTTTGGAGGAGGTTAAGTGCCTGCCCAACCCTCCAACCCAGGCGGGTACGGCAAGGCCTGGATACTTCCTTCCCTGTTGCCGTCAAGGCAAGCTTTTATACCCACAAAGTCACACTTACTAAGAATGATGGATCTCACAGAGTCTCTGGGTCACCCCTGTCCCAATATAAGGCAGAATTATAAGATGAGGATCAACAAATACTGCTGGTTAGGAAACAAAAATACTTCAGGAAAGAAGGGTGAACTCATAGTTTAAATGTCATGCTTAAGACTTAATGGCAATTTGGCCAGGCATGGTGGCTGACACCTATAATCCCAGCACTTAGGGAGGCCAAGGCGGGTGGATCACTTGGGGTAAGGAGTTCAAGACCAGCCTGGCCAACATTAACGAGAACAGCAGAGCTGGGGAAACAATTAAGATGAGAAAGAACCAAATTGCTTTCTGCCTTTTGCTTTTTCACAGATGCAAACCCGGTTTTAAATGACTTAATGACTTTTGGGTGACTAGGTCAGCTGAAAGAGAATCATCTGGTTAGTGCAGATAAGCGTTTCACCAAGAAACCTCAAGTTAGGAGAAGAGGCCTGAGCCCAGGTGGAATTGAGGATGACAGGTGACTAAGAAATAAGACCGATTCATGTGGTTTCAGTGTCTAAATGGTCTGGCCCTAGGTGAGACTAATCAAAAGAAAAATTTCCCCAAGAAAGTGGGTGACGTCTTTGTTTTTTGTGTGTTTCGTTTTGAGACAGAATCTCACTCTGCCGCCCAGGCTGGAGTGCAGTGGTGCCATCTCACTGCAGCCTCCACTTGTCAGACTCAGGTGATCCTCTCACCCCAGCCTCCTGAGTAGCTGGGACTACAGGCACGTGCCACCATGCCCCCGCTAATTTTTATATTTTTGTAGAGACGGAGTTTCACCATGTTTCCCAGGCTGGTCTCGAACTCCTGGGCTCAAATGATCCACCTGCCTCAGCCTCCCAAAGTGTTGGGATTGCAGGCATGAGCCACCACGCCCAGCTGATGTCTTTGTTTGAAAGTTATCACTCATGGTCGGGCGCGGTGGCTCACACCTGTAATCCTAGCACTTTGGTAGGCCAAGGCGGGTGGATCACGAGGTCAGGAGATCGAGACCATCCTGGCTAACACGGTGAAACCCCTCTCTACTAAAAATACAAAAAATTAGCCAGGCGTGATGGCGGGCGCCAGTAGTCCCAGCTACTCGGGAGGCTGAGGCAGGAGAATGACGTGAACCCGGGAGGCGGAGCTTGCAGGGAGCCGAGATCGCACCACTGAGCTCCAGCCTGGGCGACAGAGCGAGACTCCACCTCAAAAAAAAAAGAAAGTTTTCGCTCAATTGAATTTCAATTTTAACCCACAACTTGCTAAATTCACCCCTTTTTCTGTGGGGCTGCTGGGGAGCAGAGGTTAAATCTATTCTTGGGCTTTTGCTCACTCTTTTTTTTTTTTTTTTTTTTGAGACAGAATCTCTGTCGCTCAGGCTGGAGTACAGTGGTGGTACCTTGCCTTACTGCAACCTCCGCCTCCCGGGTTCAAGCGATTTTCCTGCCTCAGCCTCCCAAGTAACTGGGATTACAGGTGCGCCACCACGCATGGCTAATTTTTATATTTTAGTAGAGATGGGGTTTCACCGTGTTGCTCAGGCTGATCTCGAACTCCTTACTTCAAGTAATCCACCTGCCAAAGTGTTGGGATTACAGGTGTGAGCTACAGCCCCCGGTCTTTTGCTCACTCTTAATTCTCCTCCTGAGCTGCTTCTCAGTAGACAGGTAGTGACAGTGTCATGAGTGGAGTTCGTTTCTGTCCACAGAAGTGGCCACATCAGTAACCAGAGGAACTGACATGACTTCACTGTGTGGGCTCTCCTGTAACATGATCTCTGGGCATGAACCGGGAGGATGGGCATAGGATGAGTGAGATGGGTGTTTGTCTCCAGTGTCCACATCGAATCTGATTAGAGCTTCCAATGTGTTCTTCTAGAGGCCCTTTCTGCTATAATGGATGACAGACAGTTGGGTGGCAACATTTTACTAGGAAATCCCATACTCTTGATGCATAACGGCCTTTTCTGGGCGGCATTTTGAAAATCACAGTTTGTATTAGGAAGCACTGTATTTAGAGAATCTTCATGGACTGTGTTTAGCCATTTTGACAAAACTTAAATAAGTAGGCTGGAGGTCAAGTTGGTCAGGGGAGAATGAATACTGGCCGTATTTCAGTGGCCCCCACAGATACACAGAGTTTGGCAAACAGAACAAAGCATATGTACCAACAATGCATGTTTATATTCTGTGCCATGCCAGGGGCAAATTCATAGTTGGCCTGTTTCCATAAGTGTGGGGATGGAACCTTGAAACACAGGACATCTCATAATGCTGTAAGCAGGGACCATTGAAATTGATTCCTAGAGTCTTGTTCTACAACTTCTTTAAAAATTACTGATTTGACAGCAGTATGTATTCAACATTTAAGACTTTCTGTCTAATTTTGAGCATACATTCTTGACTAAGGCTAGCAATTAGAGATTCTTTCTTTAATTTATCAGATATCTATTAATTGTCTACTTTTGAGTGGGCTCTGTGCAAGGCGCTAAAAAGCCAGTTACTGGGGTTCTGTTCCTTAAGGATCCTGAGAATTGAGTTGCTAAGAATTAAATCAGCAGGCGTGCAATATGACTGTCAAAGCTTGACCCCTGCTTTGATTCCCTTTGTTGAGACAGGTTCTTATAGGACCTGGATTCTCACCACATCCTCTGTTCTGTTTAGGGAACACAAAGGTAAGCTCAGCTCTGTGTCCAGGAGTACCTTATAGTCCTCTCCCTTAACTGTGTCTGTTTCAACTTGATCCAAGATCAGGATTAGTACAAGCTTGTAAAAAAAAAAAAAAAAAAGTTTATTTTTTACAAAATAGACCAGATGCACTTTGAAGGTAAAGTGCATGCTTAACCATCTGCAATTCCTAAGGTTGAGCTCAATGCATCACATGTAGTAGATGTTCAAGAAATGTTTGTTAAATGGGCAGTTGTAAACAGAGACAGTGCCGTGTTTATTTCGTTTTCCAGAAAGGCACCTGACTCCTTGCTTTGCACATAACAGGTGCTCAAGAAATGTTGAAGAAAAAAGCAAATTGCTTTGAATGCAGTGTATCCTAAAACCAGATTTCCAGGTTGCCCCAGTACTCTGTACAGGCCTCCATTTTGGCTGTTAACACAGTGTATCTTTTGTTACATTAAAATGGGTCCACGTTTGCATCTCCTCCGAAATTATAAACTCCTGGGAGTGCAGGGATGTGTCTCATACATTCTTCCTTGACTTTTCCACAGCATACCTTAGCACAGAGTTGGATATGTAGTAGATGTTCAATGGAGAATTACTGAATTTTCTTAAAAAAAAAAAAAAGCAAGCCAGAGTGAACTACAAATGTAATAGTTCCTGGCCTGATATTTCACTGGGGACCCATCATGATTCTGCAACTATTCTCGCTCAACAGAACATTACCACCTTGAGTTAAAGAGGCTAAGAAGCTAAGGTTAATCATTATTAATGATTCAAGGTGGGCAAACACCATGTGGGCACAATGCATCCTTTCATGGATTAATTACTCTCCAATGATTGTACATTTCATTCCTGCTACCGGTCTCTATTACCCTGCTTTTTTTTTTTTTTTTCAACCTGAGCAGGTGTGTAGAGCCAGCACTCTCTTGCCAAAATAATATTTTCTCAGGTAGTAATCATCTAAACACTTTTTTTTTTCCACCAGAGAGTTACAAGGAATTCTAAGGTGTGGTTTTGCTTGTCTGAGAATAGCTTTTCCATGCTTTGTCAGGTGCATTGGAAAATACAAGCTTAGGCAGTGTGGTCAGTCCCCCTCTGTCCCTGACGTCGTCAGAGGGACTTTGTTCCTAGAATGGCCAGCCTACATTTGATCTGCATAATTGGTTGTGAAACTCACCAATTGGTAGGAAATTTTCTGTTAGTGGCCCAAGGAATTTTTTGTTGTTGTTTTGGGATTGTTAATGCCCTCATTAAAGATCTTACGTTTCCTTCTATCAGGGTTGATAGACCAACTACAAAGAATATCCTGTGTCTCTTTCTGCAGTAATAAATTTCAGAGTTTAAAGATCAGAGTCTGCATCCTCTGTGCTTGCATTGCTCATTATTTCTTTCTATTGACTTTTGGGCAGAGCCCTAAAAATGTTGGGCGTTAGGAGTGTTTATACTATTCCCATACAACTCTGTAAAATTCCCTGCTTTAATTAGCTTCAGTCTGATGCACTGGACGGCTTCTCTGTGCTTCTCTGACAGGCAGACTTATATAAACAGCTGTTCTTTGTTGGATCATGAGAGGAGCTTCCAGGCCGAAGGCTACTTTAAAAAGTCGTTCATTTTTGTTCTCAGATATTTTCTCTCCAGTATACCTATCACTGTTGAATGTTCCCCCCAACTTCCCAGTAGTTTGGTTTTTAGCCATTTCATACCAATTTATACTTGTGCTATGATAACTTTTCTAAAGTCTAAAACCTAAACAAATAGCTGGTGGTGATATTACTTTATGTTCCTGAGGTGTAGAAAGCTCTTCAGAATAGCTTCTGCTCTTTGTGAGCTCCATATGGCAGTCAAAATTAATGAAATTAAAAAACACTATATACGGCCAGGCGTGATGGCTCACGCCTGTAATCCCAGCATTTTGGGAGGCTGAGGCAGGTGGATCACGAGGTCAGGAGATTGAGACCATCCTGGCTAACGTGGTGAAACCCCGTCTCTACTAAAAATACAAAAAATTAGCTGGGCATGGTGGCACGCACCTGTAATCCCAGGTATTCGGGAGGCTGAGGCAGGAGAATTGCTTGAACTCAGGAGGCGGAGCTTGCAGTGAGCTGAGATCACGCCACTGCACTCCAGCCTGGGTGACAGAGCGAGACTCCATCTCAAAAAACAAAAAACAAAACCACCAGATACATACAAGAACAGTTGAGATAAATTGACATAGTAGTAAGTAATATGACCTTATGACCTTGAAGGTCACGAAGAAAAGGAGGGAGAGTCCAATTTTAAAAGCAGTCAGCGTGGTGGCATCACTTAACGCGATTCTTTTTTTTTTTTTTTTTTTTTTTTTTTTTTTTTTTTTTTTGAGATGGAGTCTTGCTCCTTTCACCTAGGCTGGAGTGCAGTGGCACGACCTCAGCTCACTGCAACCTCTGCCTCCCGGGTTCAAGCGATTCCCCTGCCTCATCCTCCCGAGTAGCTGGGATTACAGGCGCCTGCCACCATGCCTGGCTGATTTTTGTATTATTAGTAGAGATGGGGTTCACCATGTTGGCCAGACTGGTCTTGAACTCCTGACCTCATGTGATCCACCCGTAATTCTTATATTATGTACAGATCAAAAGGATGGTAAGATTTTATGACTGCATATTGTTGAACCATGAGAACACTTGGGTTGCATCCTCCATGCCAATTCTGATCATTTGGAGCCCATGCATCAGGAATGCTGGCCATCATCTATTTGTGGTGTCTGCAGGTTGTAGGGAGGTGGGGGTGCAGATACATGTCATGTGCTGGCTATTTGCTGATTCAGCCATAAAATCTAAAATTTGTCTTCTAAAATGCATGATGTAGCTGGGCACGGTGGCTCATACCTGTAATCCTAGCCATTTTGGGAAGCAGGAGAATCACTTGCACCCAGGAGTTCAAGACCAGCCTGGGCAACATAGCGAGACACTACCTCAAAAAAAATTACAAAAATGAGTAGGGCATGGTGGCACATACCTGTAGTTACAGCTACTTGGGAGGCTGATGTGGGAGGATTGCTTGAGCCAGGAGGTCAAGGCTGCAGTCAGCCATGGTAACACCACTGCACTCCATCCTGGGTGACAAGGTCAGATCTTGTCTCAAAAAAAAAGATAAAAATAAAGTGCAAAATCTCAAGTGGTTAATACCCATTTTTGTTAGTAATTCAAGAGTTTAAGAGTTCCCAGCTGGGCTCAGTGGCTTACATCTGTAATCCCAGCACTTTAGAAGGCAGAGGCAGGAGGATCATCTGAGGTCAGGAGTTCAAGACCAGCCTGGCCAACATGGTCAAACCCTGTCTCTACTAAAAGTAAAAAAATTAGCCAGACATTGTGGCAGACGCATGTAATCTTAGCTACTCAGGAGGCTGAGGCAGAAGAATTGCTTGAACCCGGGAGTTGGAGGTTGCAGTGAGCCAAGATCATGCCATTGCACTCTAGCCTGGATGACAAGAGTGAAACTCCGTCTCAAAAAAAAAAAAAAAAAGAATTCCCATGCCTTTGGGTGGTAGGGGGACTCTGTCTAGCCACTTCTGTTTGGCAGATGACGGCCATTCTCTTTGAATAGAGACTCTAATTTTAGACCGAAATGCCAAAATGTCTTGTTTCTTCTTAGTGAGTGATTATGAACGTCCCATGAATTTTAACCATTTGTGGAACTCTGCATTTTAGTAAATAACAGTTACTATTAAGTTTATTACCCATTATTTAAAGGATTATTTTCCTTTATAGACCTTCAATTTACTGTTTCTATCCTTAAATCTTATTAAGCAATGTGTTTTCACTTAGCCTTATTTTGTTTGTTTGTTTGTTTGTTTGTTTTGAGACAGGGTCTCACTCTGTCACCCAGGCTGTAGTGCAAGCACGATCTCAGCTCACTGCAATCTCCACCTCTTGGGTTCAAGAGATTCTCCTGCCTCAGCCTCCCAAGTAGCTGGGATTACAGGGGCATACCACCATGTCCAGCTAATTTTTGTATATATATATGTGTGTGTATATATATATATATAGGGTTTCACCACATTGGCCAGGCTGGTCCCAAACTCCTGACCTCAGGTGATCCACCCTCCTTGGCCTCCCAAAGTGCTGGGATTACAGGTGTGAGTCACTGCACTCAGCCCACTTAGCCTTATTCTCTTTGGCTTGTTGCATATATTTATTTATTTATTTATTTTTGAGTTGGAGTTTCACTGTTGTTGCCCAGGCTGGAGTGCAATGGCGCGATGTCAGCTCACCACAACCTCCAACTCCTGGGCTTAAGTGATTCTCCTGCCTCAGCCTCCCGAGTAGCTGGAATTACAGGCACCTGCCACCATGCCGGGCTAATTTTTTGTATTTTTAGTAGAGACGGGGTTTCTCCATGTCGGTCAGGTGGTCTCGAACTCCTGACCTCAGGTGATCCACCTGCTTTGGCCTCCCACAGTGTTGGGATTACAGGTGTGAGCCACCATGTCCAGCCGTTGTATTGATTTTCAGTGCCCAGGATTGGGGAGTGAGGTGGCAGATGCAGGAGCTGTGTCAGAATCTTTGGGAGGGATAGTTTAACAATGAAAATTCAGTGATGTAACATAATTTAAATTGGGAAGATGAAAACAAAACTATTGTTTTCCTAACACATACTACTTATAGTTTTTCTGAATCTTCTCCACTGGTGAAAAGACAGACCATCATTTTTATAGAGATGCTTGATTGAAAACAGGTCATGTCTCCCTAGGAGAAAATAGAAGAAAACCAGGACAGAGATATTTGCTGACCTGTCATATTTCCTTGGTATCCTTTCTTCAAATCTTTCAAAATATCTTCTCTATATTCATGTCATCTTCAAGACGTGAAACAAGGAAATTGTCTGTACAGACAATTTCCAGACCCTTGATCCCAAACACTCTCAATGCTTGTCTGTGTTTCCTACAAAAAGCAGAAACCTGAGAAAGATAAGGAGTACTTTGCATGTAGAATAGAGAAGATCCTTACAGTTCAGGGTCTGAGATTCCATCTTGACATTCATTTGATCGCTAAATATTGAAGACTTCTTTTAGGTGGAGCCGTGACCATACATTGGTAGGAAAAGTACAGATTGCTTACGAGATGATTTTGGCACACTTGTTGACTGTATGGAGAAAACAAAAAAAAAAACAACATTGAAATCCTGCCATATAGTGTCATATAGTGTATGTAAAAGTGGACTGCAGATGGAATAATGATCCAAATGAGAAAAATAAGACCAAAAAGCAAATTTAAAAACATTCACAGCATTTTTAAGACCCTAGAAGAATAAGCCATAAAATGATGGCTTTGACTTCATCAAATTAAGGATTTCTGTTGAACTGAGGATGCCATCAGCAGTTAATAGATGGGTGAGAAATTAAAGCAGTGTATCAAAGACTGACAAGGCATTAACATGTAAGGTGCTCTTGTAATTCAAGCAGAACAATATGTGGAAACCAGTAGAAAAACAGGCAAAAACATGGATAGGCAGTTAACAGGAGGGAAAAGCTAAATGCAGGGCAAGAATTTGAAGAGCTACTTAACTTCATTAATAATCAGAGAAGCATAAAACAGTAAAATAGCACATTATGTCCATCAGATTGATGACAATTACAAAGTGGGATAATTCCAAATTTCAGCAAAAATACAGGAAAATGGCTATTAAACAGCTGTTAAATTAAGTATGAGACTACATCTTGTCCCCACAACCTTCATTCCTGAGTATATATTCACACAGGTCAGTAAGGGGACATAAACAAGGAAGTTTGTCATAACATTATAGTAGCAGGGAGTTAGAGCAAGTCCAGGTATTCATCTCTAGAGAAATAGGTAAGTAAAATGTTATGATTATGAAATAAACTATTTAATAGCAGTCAGAAGCAATGAACTAGAAATATGTCCAGAAACATGGGTGAACCTCATACTGGTATTGACTGAAATAACTAAGAGAATGAAATCTATAGCACAATATACTTAATATAAATTAAATATAAACAGTTTCATAAAATAACACTATGTCTGTTTTTAAGGAAAGCTGCATTCTTAACCTTTTATGTAGTTTTTAAAAAATAGACATACACATAAAATATGTATATATGTTACATATAACATAAAATTCACCATCGTAACCATTTTAAAGTATAAAGTTTAATAGTAGTTTCCATTTGTTGTATATTAAATCAGTCTCCAGGGAAGTCTTTTCATTTTACAAAACTGAAACTCTCCACCTTTAAACAACTTCCTGTTTCTCCCTTCCCTTAGCCTCTGGGAACCACCATTACTTTCTGTCTCTGAATTTGACTACTCTAGGTACCTCATATAAATGGAATCATCCAGTACTTGTCTTTTTGTCATTTGCTTGTTTCACTTAGCATAATGTTCTCAAGTTTCATCCATCTTGTAGCATGTGTCAGAATTTCCTTCCTTTTAAAAGTTGAGTGATAGTCCATTGCATGTATATACCGTTGTACTATTGTGAAATACATATTTGGTCTTTTTCCAGTGTCCTGGCAAACAACTCCTAAAATTTTTGGTATCTTCAAAGTTGTGAAAATTAAAAAGTTCCTCTTCAAAGTTTCCTTTTTATTAAGGAATAAGTCATAAGTGTTAGAAGTAATAGTTTCTCTTAAAGACTAGCTTTTTGCAATAACTCTTTGTTAAACCTTATATAGTCATTAAGTGTAAAAGGATAAGTATATTATATATAAGTATATATATATATACACACGCACACATATATATATCTATATATCTATATCTATATATATATATCTTTATACTTTAACTACAATATTAGTTTTGGCTTGCTCAGGCATGTCTCAGCATGCCCAGGCATGTCCCAGCTCACAGCTTATGTCTCTTCCTTATTTGGAAATGTTATTGCTTCTATAAGCCTTTACATAAGCGACTTCCTCTTTTCCTTTGTTCTGCACAGTCTTTACCTATTTAGGAAAGTTTTGGATTGTTAGCCAATCAGGCTAAGCTTAGACTGTGAGGTCCAGCTCCAGCCAGTAGAGATAGGACAGAGCAATAGGGACTTTACATGTAAGGGATAAATATTCCTGTGTCTCTTCGTTCAGTGTGCTCTTGTGGCAGGATTGCTGATGGGCAGTACCCTTTCTGCAGAAAGTACTGAGAAAAGTTTTTATCTGACTACTGATTCTTCTTTGTGGCACCGAGGAATAAGCATTTATTTCCAACAGTTTGGGGGCTCATCCAGGATCACCCATTCTCCTCTGGGGCAGGGTCTCTGATCTTTCTCCTAGGGGAGGTGCCCCACTGCCTTGTTGCAGTGGCCTCAGGGGTTGGGAATCAGAACTCACCTGTTGTAATGAATAAACCCAGACTCTCAGCAACACGGGAAAGGATGGACAGGCTTGCACTGCTGTGGCAACCAGGTAAACTCTGTGCACAGACCAAGTAAGAAACGTCACAGGGGTGTGACAAAGTACTTCCTTGGTGGTCCAGATACTCTGGAAGTTGAAAGTGTGTGTGAATGGTCTCAAGCCATGCGGTGTTGCTTGTGTGGATGGTGACAAGTCCTGCTGGACGGAGTGGGTGGGTGCTACCTGTGGTTCCATGGCCACCTCATACAGCTTAGGGCAGATCCTGACGTGGGTTTATATCAGCATGCCAATGCTAAGAGGAGCCTAAATTTCCATTAGGGAAGCAGCCAGGTAGGACGAAGTGAGTGAAGAGTGTAAGAAAGCTCCAGGGGTGGGGGAAGAGGAGTTAAGATCCTCCCCAGGGAAAATGAAACCTCAAGTGCGTGAGGTTAGGAATTTAAGCAAGCTAGGGAAAAACAGGATAGACAAGAAGTCTCTAGAATTAAGAAGTTGAGTCTACCCAGCATTCAGTATGGGAAATGTTTCTAGTAAATTGGGAGCGAAGAAAGATGCAAGTGATCAGATTCCCCCTAATAATCCTTTAGGGTTTATGTTAAAGATTGGTAAGATAATGAAACAACTAAATTCAAAAAGAAGCAGTAGATGATTAAGTATTGTTGCTTCATTTGAACTAAAGAGCCAATCCTCCAGCCAGCAGTTGTTTGGCCAAAATTTGGGTCAGATGAAGATTGAGTCTGTCAACTTTTAAAAATGTATGTTAATGACAAGCCTGTAATTGAAGGACTTATTAAAGATGGGCTGCTCGAACCTTGTATGTCCCCATCCAATACTCCAATTTTCCTGCATCACAAGAAGAAATAGATTGATTATGCTCTATGCTGGTGGCAAGGGCCTGTTCTTCTTTACCCTCTGAAAACAGGTGAAGGGGGACAGGAGAACAAGGAAGAGTCAGAGATTGCCTCATCTGATAAGAAATGGGACCCTCTAGACCACCTTCCCCCATTTCTTAATAACCCACTGCCACCTCCCCAGGCAGCTGCTGCTGCCCTGTACCCCCTTCCGGACCCGATCCCAGACCTGACTGCTGCTCCAGGCCCTTCCATGTTATTTCCTCCCACCATATAACCCAGATTCTTGGGAATTCCAGGAATCTGGGCATTCTAAATATCCTTCCTTAAAGAAAGGACTTCAGCAGGAGATAGAGCAATGTAAAAAGGATATTCAGAATCTTCCCTTTCCTCCCCTACTAAGAGGTCAACTTCAACGTTCTTTCCTTTAAGGGAAGTTCCTCAGTGAGGGGGACATTGACTTTGTAAATGCTCCCCTAACTGGGTCTGAGGTCCGAAGTCTGAAAAAGGAACTCAAGCTACTGTTAGATGATCCTTATGAGATGTCAGATCAAATTGATCACTTTTTAGGCCCTCAGTTATATACTTGGGCTGAATTAATTTCCATCCTGGATATCCTCTTTTCAGGGGAAGAAAGAAATATGATCCACAGAGCCGCTATGGCAATTTGGGAATGTGAACATCCTCCAGGTCAAAATATTCTGGCAGCAGATTACAAATTCCCTGCTCAGGAACCGCAGTAGGATAAAAATAATGCCACCCACTGAGATAATATGAAAGATTTAAGGGAAATAATAATCAAGGGGATTCAGCAATCAGCACCCTGAACCCAAAATCTTTCCAAGGCATTTAACATACAACAAGAAAAGGATGAAGGACCTATGAGATTCTTGGACTAAGAGAACAGATGAGAAAATATGCAGATTTAGACCAAGAAAGCCCCCTTGGGCAAGGAATGTTAAAACTGCACTTTGTTACTAAGAGTTGGCCAGACATTGCTAAGAAGTTACAAAAATTAGAGAACTGGAAGAATAAGTCAATAGAGGAGTTGTTAGGAGAAGCTCAGAAGGTATATTTGAGGAGAGATGAGGAAAGACAAAGGCAGAAAGTGAAAATCTTTTGGCAGAATTCACCAGGACAGATGATGTAGGGGGCTAAGTCTAGACCCACACCTGTAGGATTTTCTAGAGGAGGCAAGAGGAGAAATTTTGGTAATTCAGGAATGCAGAGAGAATGAAGGCAAGGTCAGTATTTTAGAGGAGAAGGTAAAAGTAAGTGCCATAGGGGCTGTGGATATGAAAATAAAGAGAAGAAGAAAAGGGGCCCTGGGCTTGGAAGACAGGGAGGGCAAGACAGATGTTACAGATGTGGGAGGCCAGGTCATTTTAAGAACGAATGTCCTGAATTGGAAAAAGCAGAGGAAGCTCTCCCATTTGTGACTACTTCTGAAGAAGAATAGAGGGGTCAGGGGCTCTGTCTTTTCTATTTCGAGTCCCACCAAGAGCCCTTGATAAATTTAGAGGTGGGACCCAAACATGAATTAATCACCTTTTTGATTGACTCAGGAGCTGCTCACTCATCTGTTGGTTTTCCTCCAGCTGATTTAGCTCGTTCCTCAGAGGAATTGACAGTTTCCAGGGTCAAAGGAGAAGGATTTAAGGCAAAAATTTTAGAAAATATGGAAGTTAAATATCAAGATCAATCGACTTGTATACAATTTTTATTAATTCCTGAAGCAGGAACCAATTTGTTAGTAAGGGATTTAATGATAAATTAGGTATAGGTTTGCAAGTTGGTCCAAAAGGTTTTCTAACCTCTTTAAATTTGTTAACTGCGATAGATGAAAAATACATACATCCAGATGTCTGGTCAAGGAAACTGAGGAAAGCTACGAATTCCTCCAATACATATTTGGTTAAAAACTCCAGGGGAGGTAGTAAGGAGAAAGCAATACCGTATTCCTTTATAAGGAAGAATAGGGTTAAAGCCTGTAATTGAAGGACTTATTAAAGATGGGCTGCTCAAACCTTGTATGTCCTCATCCAATACTCCAATTTTACCAGTCAAGTAATCAGACGGGTCATACTGATTAGTGCAAGACCTTAGAGCTATCAATCAGATAGTCTAGACGACTCATCCTGTTGTACCTAATGCTATTTCTAATTGGCTAGAAGGATGGTCCGGTCAATAGAAAGAAACTGTAGCCTCAATTCTTACTTCTATAGCAACTGTAATAGGCATACTCCTTCTTCTTGGGTGTTGTATTATACCATGCATCTGGGAATTAGTAATAAGATTAACAAAAACAACTCTTACTAAAACCCATCTTAACTCTCCTCCACCTTATTCAGAAAAAATTCTCCTTTTAGAAATTCAATCAGAGCAATTAAGCCAAGAAATATTAAAACAGTTTGAAGAGGAAAAACTATAAAAAAATAAGAGGAGGGAATTGTGAAAAGTAAAAAGTTCCTCTTCAAGCTTACCTTTTTTATTAAGGAATAAATCATAAGTGTTAGAACTAATAGTTTATCTTAAAGACTAGCTTTTAACAATAACTCTTCATTAAACCTTACATAGTCATTAAGTGTAAAAGGATAAGCATTTTATATATACATATACTTTAACTACAATATGAGTTTTGGCTTGCTCAGGCATGTCCCAGGTCACAGCTTATATCCCTTCCTTATTTGGAAATGTTATTGCTTCTATAAGCCTTTATGTAAGCAACTTCCTCTTTTCCTTTGTTTAGCACTGTCTTTACCTATTTAGGAAAGTTTTAGATTGTTAGCCAATTGGGCTAAGCTTAGACTGTGAGGTCCAGCTCCAGCCAGTGGAGGTAGGACAAAGCAATAGGGACTTCACCCATAAGGGATAAATATTCCTGTGTCTCTTTGTTCAGTGTGCTCTCGTGGCAGGATTGCTGATGGGCAGCACCCTTTCTGCAGAAAGTAAAATTGTCTTGCTGAGAAAACTTTTTGTCTGAATGCTGATTCTTCTTTGTAGCACCAAGGAATAAGCATTCCTTTCCAACAGAAATGATGTGTCTTTTTGTATGCTTATGAATTGACTGAGGGCTGGCAGCCCCTTGGTCACTTCAGTAGGGGAGTTGGTCACCTGAAAAACCAAGACAAGATTAGAGGGTTGAGACTTTCAGTCCCACTCCAACCCACAGGGTTGGGGAGAGAGGCTGAAGGTTAAGTTGATCACTAATGGCTGATGCTTTAATTAATCATGACTATGTAATGAGGCCTCCATAAAAACCTAAGAGGACAGAGTTCAGAGAGTTTCTGAATAGCAGAACCTCTGGGGTTTCCTTGAGGGTGGTTTGTCAGAGAGGGCATGGAAGCATCATGCCCCTTCCCACACGCCTTGCCCATGCTTCTCTTCTTCTGTATCCTTTGTGATATACTTTATAATAAACTTGTAAGCATTTCCCTGAGTTCTATGTGCAGCTCTAACAAATTAATTGAACCCAAGGAGGAGATTATGGGAGCCCCAATTTATAATTGATTGATCAGAAGCACAGATAAAACAACCTGGGCTTTGGATTGGCATTGGAAGTAGGGGGAAGTCTTCTGAAACTGAACCCTCAACCTGTGGGATCTGACTCTACCTCTAGGTAGATAGTGTCAGAATTGAATTGAATTTGGTAGCAACCAGCTGGTGTTTGCTGCAGAATTGATTGCTTGCATGGTGTTGGGGTGGACAACTAACAAGATCTGAGGTCACAGAAGTATTTTGTATTGTGACAGTATAGGAGGAACTGAATTTGTTTTTCCCATACATTCACAGAACCATATTGTGTTTATTCATTCGTCTGTTAATGGATACTTAAGTTGCTTCTACATTTTGGCTACTGTGAATAATACTGCTATGAACACAGGTAAGCAAATATCTGTTAGAGACCCTGTTTTCAGTTCTTTGAAATATATACCACAAAGTGGAATTGTTGGCTCATTTGGTGATTCTATTTCTAATTTTTTGAGGAACTGCCTTACTGTTTTCCATAGCAGCTGCACCATTTTGTATTCCCACTGACAGTGCACAAGGGTTCCAATTTCTCCACATGTGTCTTCAAAACTTGTTTTGTTTTTGTTTTTTATAGTACCCATCCTAATGGGATGAGTTGTTGTCTCATTGTGCTTTTGATTTGTGTTTTCCAAATGATTAAAGATGTTGAGTATCTTTTTATGTGCTTACTGGCCCTTGTGGGTTTTTGTTTTGTTTTGTTTTTTGACAAATTTAAGTTCTTTGACCAGTTTTTAATTGGATTGTTTGGTTTCTTGTTGTTGAGTTTTAAGTGTTGTTTGTTTATTTTGGATATTAACCGCTTATCAGATGTAGGATTTGAAATATATTCTCCCAATCCATGTGTTGCCTTTTCACTCTATTGATTATGTCCTTTGATGCACAACATGTTTTTATTCCCATGTAGTCCAGTTTATCTATTTTTGCTTTTGTTGTCTTTGCTTTTGTTGTCATATCCAAGAAATCATTGCCAAATCCAATGTCATTAAGTTTTTTTCTTTTTGTTTTCCACGAGGAATTTTATAGTTTTAGGTCTTAAGTTTAGGTCTCTTACCCATTTTTAGATAATTTTTGTATACAATATTAGGCAAGGGTCCACTTTCATTTTTTTGCATGTGGATATTCACTTTTACCAGCACCATTCGTTGAAAAGACTGTCATTTCCACGTTGAATGGTCTTGGCACTCCTGTTGAAAATCATTTGACCGTATACATGAGGGTTTGTTTCTGGACGTTCTAGTCTATTACATTAGTCTATATGTCTATATGCTAGTACTCCACTTTTTAAATTACTGTAGTTTTGTATCAGTTTTGAAATCAGGAAGTGTGAGACCTCCAACTTTGTTCTTTTTCTAGATTGTTTTGGCTATTAGGATATGTTGAGGTTTTATATGAATTTTAGGATGTATCTTTTATTTCTGCAAAAAATGCCACTGAGAACCTCTAGGCCAGTCGTGGTGGTTCAAGCCTGAAATCCCAGCACTTTGGAAGGCTGAGATGGGCAAATTTATTGAACCCAGGAGTTCGAGCCCAGTCTGGGAAACATAATGAAACCTCATCTCTACAAAAAATACAAAAAAATTAGCTGGGCACAGTGGCACATGCCTGTAGTAACAGCTACTTGGGAGGCTGAGGCAGGAGGATCACTTGAACCCAAGAGGTCAAGGCTGTGGTGAGCCATGATTGCACCACTGCACTCCAGCCTAGGTGACAGAGTGAGACCCTGTCTCAAAACAAAACAAAAACCTCTATAGTTTTCATAATGATTTACATTTCCACCAAAAATGCACTAGTGTTCTCTTTTCTTCACACCCTCACCCACATTTGTTGTCTTTCATATTGATAACAGCCATCTTAATGAGTGCTAGGTGATATCTCACAGTGGTTTAAATTTGCATTTCCCTGATTAGTGATGTTGAACACCTTTTCATTTATCTGTTGGTGAGTTTTATGTCTTCAGATAAATGTCTGTTCAGATCCTTTGCCCATATTTTAGTATGGTTACTTATTGCTCTGCTATTGAGTTGTAAGAATTCTTCATAAGTTTTGGACATTAACGTCTTATCAGACACGTGGTTTGCAAACATTTTTTCCCAGTTCCTAAGTTGCCTTTTCATTTTGTTGATTGTTTCCTTTGCTGTGCAGAAGGTTTTCTGTTTGATGTAGTTCCATTTATTTATTTTTGCTTTTGTAGTCTGAGCTTTTGGTGCGATATCCAAAAAATCATTTCCAAGGCCAATATCAAATAGATTTTCCTATGTTCTTTTCTCATAGTTTTATGACTTCAGGTCCTACATTTAGGCCTTCTATCCATTTTGAGTTTATGTTTGTGTATGATATAAGATAAGGGTTCAGTTTCATTCTGTTTCATGTGGAGATACAGTTTTCCCAGCACCATTTATTAAAGAGACTATCTTTTCTATGGTGCCCTTTTGATGCTCTTGTCAAAAACTAGTTGACCATGTATGTCTGGATCAATTTCTGAGCTCTGTATTCTGTTTTATTGCTCTATGCTTCTGGTTTTATGCCACTACCATATTCTTTTCTGATTACTATAGCTTTGTAATATAATTTAAAATCGGGACGTATGAAGGCTCCAAATTCATCTTTCCTTTTTTCTTTCTCAATATTGCTTTGACTATTTGAAGGGTTTTTTTTGTCATTCCATATGAATTTTAGGATTGTTTTTTCTATTTCTGTGAACAATGCCTTTGGAATTTTGATAGAGATTGCATTAAATCTGTATATCACTTTTGGTGGTGTGGACATTTCAACAATATTAATTCTTCTGATCCATGAACATGGTATATATTTGCATTTAATTATGTCCTCTTCAATTTCTTGCATTTAATGTTTTATAGTTTTCAGTATACATATCTTTCACCTCATTGTTTAAATTTATTCCTAATTTTTTATGCCATTGTAAGTTGGATTGTTTTCTTGATTTTTGTTTTTTCACCTGGATTGTTTTTTTGTATGTGGAAATGCTACTGGTTTTTGTGTGTAGATCTTCTATCCTGCAACTTTACCGAATTCATTTTAGTTCTTTTTTTGGTGGAATTCTTGGGATTTTCCACATACAAGATTATGTCATCTGTAAATACGGATAATTTTACTTCTTCCTTTTTTTGTTTGGATGCCTTTTATTTCTTTTTCTTGTCTGATTGCCCTTGCTAGTACCTCCAGTACAATGATGAATATGAAGTGGCAGAAGTGGATTTATTTGCCTACTACTGGATCTTAATGGAAAAACATTTAGTTGTTCCCCATTGATTATGATATTAGCTGTGAGTTTTTCATAAATGGCCTTTATTATGTTGAGGAACTTTTCTTTTATACCCAAGCTGTTAAGAGTTTTTATCAAGAAAGGATGCTGTACCTTGTCAAATGCTTTTTCTATGTCAATTTAGATGTGGTTTCTATCTTTCATTCTGTTAATGTGACATATTACAATGATTTATTTGTATATGCCAAACCAGCCTTGCATGCCAAGGATAAATCCCACTGGTCACATTACGTAATCTTTTGAATGTATTGTTGAATTCAGTCTGCAATACTTTATTGAGAATTGAATTAATATTCATCAGCAATATTGGCCTGTACTTTTTCTTTTCTTGTGGTATCTTTGTCAAGCTTCAGTATCAAGGTGATGCTGGCCTCATAAAAAGTTTTTGGAAGTATTCCCTCTAGCTTTATTATTATTTTTTTTTTTTGGAAGAATTTAAGAAGTATTGGTAATAATTGTTCTTTGAATGTTTGGCAGAATTCAGCTGTGAAGCCATCTGGTCCTGGGGTTTTCTTCGTTGGAACGTTTTTAATTACTTCTTCAATCTCTTTATTTGTTACTGGTCTGTTCAAGCTTTTTATTTCTTCCTGATTCAATATTGAATCTAGGAATTTATCCATTTTCTCTCTGTCATCCAATTTGTTGGCATATAATTGTTCATAATAGTCCCTTATGATCATTTTTATTTCTGAGACATCTGTTACAATGTCCCCACTTTCATTTCTGATTTTATTTGAGTCTTCTTTCCTTATTTTCTTAGTCTATCTAGGGGTTTGTTGATTTTGCTTGTTTTTTTCAAAGAACCAATTCTCAGTTCTATTGACTTTTTTTTTCCTTATGTGGCTTTTCTGTTCTTTATTTTATTTATTTTTGTTCTAATCTTTATTATTTCCTCCCTTGTGCAATGGGTGGTCTTCCTCTTCCTCTTCTACTACTACCACTACTACTACTACTACTTCTTTATCTTCTTCTTCTTCTTTTTCTTCATCTTCTTCTCTTTTGAAACAGGGCCTCACTCTGTCACTCAGGCTAGAGTGCAGTGGATCAATCATAGCTTACCGCAGACTCAAACTCCTAGGCTCAAACAGTCTTTCAGCCTTGGCCTCCCAAAGTACTGGGATTATGGGCATAAGCGCCACACGTGGTTTTGTCCTTTTTCTACTTCTTTGAGGTATATAATGTTATACTATTTATTTGGGATCTTTCTTTTTTAATGAAGGCATTTATTGCTATAAAATTTCCTCTTAGAACTACTTTTTCTGCATCTTATACATTTTGATATATTGTATTTCTATTGTCATTTTTCTCAAGATAATTTTTTAATTTCTGTGATTTTTTTCTTTAACTACTGGTTGTTTTGGGAGCATGTTGTTTCATTATTACATATCTGTTAATTTTACAAAATTCCTCATATTATTGTGTTCTAATTTCACACTGTTGTGGTTGGAAACAATACTAGATATGATTTCAATTTTCCTGAATTTATAAGACTTGTTTTATGGCCCAACATGTGGTCTATCCTGGAAAAAGTTCCATGTGTGCTAGAGAAGAATGCTGCTGTTATATGGAAAGTTCTATATATGCTTTTTAGGTCCATTTGGTCTAAAGCTTAATTCCAGTTCAGTATTTATTAATTTTCTGTCTGGTTGATCTATCACATTGTTGAAAATGAGGTGTTGAAGTCTCCTACTATAATTATACTGCTATCTATTTCTTCTTTTATGTTCATTAATATTTGCTTTTTATATTTAGATACTTTAATGTTTGTACATATGTATTTACAATTGTTGTGTCCTCTTGATAAATCACCCCCTTTATTATTAAATGATCCCCTTCTTTGTCTCTTGTAACCATTTTTGACTTGGAGTCTATTTTATCTCATATAAGTATTGCCATCTCTGCTCTCTTTTGGTTATTATTTGCATGGAATATCTTCTTCCTTCCCTTCACCTTCAGCTTATGTATGCCCTTAAAGCTAAAATGGATTTTTTGTAAGCAAGTACAAAATCTTTATTCAAAGAAAAACTCAAGATATAAAACAAACATACAGGTATACCAAATATAGTGTGTATACCTAGAAGTGAGATATTGGGAAAGTGGCAAATTAGAGTAGAGGTAGAGATGAAGGGAAAAACTAAAATAATGCAGACCAATGTAAAAATGTGTCATTAATTAGGCATATGGTCATCTCACTTCTCTGCACTTAAGAACTAACAGGAAGAGAAACTGTGAGTCATGGAGAAATAGAGGACTTACTTGAGAGAGATGAGTATGGTGACTAAGAAGATGAATAAAAGTGATGAATGCTTGGAACAGCTGATTTGGGTCAAGTACAAGCATTACCAGGGAGCCCTGAGAGGTAGTATGAATTAACTGTGGCCCCAACCTGCATAGTTGTGGACTTTTTCCTGGAGAAGCACTGGGCTGCCTGGTACAGGAATGAGGATGGAAAATGCTTGGGGATATCCAGAATGGGGAGGTCAACTGAGTCTGAAGACAGAGAGCTGGACCTGTTGAGATGCAGATAAGAGAGTGAAGAATTGATCAGGGAGTGTGGAGAGAACCTGTGATGGTGTCTGCTCCTTATTGGGCAAAAGGCTGCCCCAGCGTGAAGAATGGGGAAGTAGCTCATCCTAAGAGCTTTGGTCCAAATAACCTCTCAAGCTAGAAGGGTAGAAATGAAGTCTAGTATAAAATACACTGAAGCTGGTTCAACAAAGTGAATTTGAAATATTCACCAAATCAAGAAAATTAGGGTCTGAGAATTCTGAAAGCAAGGTCACCAAAACCATTAGTCTAGAAACACAAAGATTCTGGTCAGGCACAGGTGATCTTGGTGGGATTTCAATAGGATTCGATCAAGCCCAGAACTGCAGTGACTCCCAAGTGGGTAACAACTCACTAGTGTTTTTGTTTAACCAAACACCAGAGGTAGATGTGTGCTGGGGGATGAGGAGATGGTGTGAAGGGAGAAAGGAAAGTTCTAGGAGGCTAAGGGTACTCATGGGAGATTCTTTTTTGCAAGGGGAAGGCAGGCTGATGTAATAAAATAGGTTGTTCTCTTTCTAGATCTTTATATACTGAAAGCGAAGTGATAGAGCTAAGCAACCTGATTAGCTGAGGAATATGTCACCTCCTGGATCTGGGGCTATACTATAAATTATCTAGTTCTTGAACACACAAATTCAAAATGAGGTCTGGTCAATGGACAAATCAACTCTTTCTCATGATTTTAGAATAATGCATGTCCTCAAAGCATCATTCTATTTATCTTTCCTTGCAGATCTTTTAAATGTTGTAGTAAGAGTAGAGACATCAAAGTAGGGTGAACCTCTAGACTATCTGAAGATTTCTGCTTCTGTCGATAGCAAAAAGAATTACTCAGTCATATGGTTTGGATCTGTGTCCCCACCTAAATCTCATGTTGAATTATAATCCCGAATATTGGAGATGGGGTCTGGTGGGAGGTGATTCGACCATGGGAGCGAATTTCCCCCTTTGGTGCTGTTCTCATGATAGGGTTCTCATGAGATATGGTTGTTCAAAAGAGTGTGTGGCACCTCCCTCACTCTCTTCCTCCTACTCTTGCCATGTGAAGTGCTGACTCCCCATTTGCCTTCTGCCATGTTTTTAAATTTCATGAGGCCTACCCAGAAGCCCACCATACGCCAACATCTTGCTTCCTGCACAGCCTGTGGAACCATGAGGCAATTAAACCTCTTTTCTTTATACATTACCCAGTCCCAGGTATTTCTTTATAGCAATAGAGAACTAACTAATACACTCAGTATACTGGAGACTGCAGAAGTCCTCTGTTTGCCTGTTTATCCATCCATTGATCTATTCATCCATCCATCCATGCACCCATCCATCCATCCATCCATCCATCCATCCATCCATCCATCCATCCATTTAACGAGCACTTTCTATGTACATGGTGCTGTTTTGAGCAGTTTATAAATAATAACTCATTGAATCTTTCTAATAACTGCATGAGGTATGTATTGTCATTATCCACATTTTATAGATGGGAAGCTGAAACAGAGAGAGATTAAGGGCCTTTTCCAAAACACACAGCCAGTAAGCATTGAGTCAGGACCCGAACCCAGGCCGTGAAGCACCAGTGTTCATGCTCTTAACCACCACATCATTGGCCATCCTTGGTGACTCTGAAATCCGTCTAGGAAGTTATTCAACTGCTAGCATCATTGTTCTTCCCAGTAGCTCCTGAGGGCCCTGGGATACTGTGCTTGCCTATAGGCAAGGCAGCTGGTAGGAGAGGCCCTTTTGTGGAATGCAGTTACTCTCTTGTTAGTTCCCACTTTTTCTCTTTTCATCTCCTTTTCTTCCCATCTGCTCCTCTTGTGTGAACAGATGTGAGTTTCCTCCTTGACTTTCCAGGCCATGAGTTGGAACACGTTGTTCTTAGGTGATCATTTTAGAGATGAAAGTGTAGTGTACAGGGGTGATGGAGCCAAGCTATGAGTTCTTCATCACTCTCTTACCTGCTCATCAGCAGCTCCATCTCCCTGTCTGCAGCCTCAGCTGAAACCTCCGCACCTGGATACCCCCAAACATCTGCCATCCTCACTCCTGCACCAGGCAGCCCAGCACTTCTTTGGAAAAGTCCACAACTGTGTAGGCTGGGGCCACAAATAAAAGACTTGCTTTTCTGAAATCTGAATTGTCATCTTTAAAAAAATGTTTCTATCTCTCATGCTAAAGTATATCTGTATATAATCAGGGTACACTTCCATCTGACCAATTTAAGAATTTTTATCCTTGACTGAAACCAACTAGTAACCGAAATGTGTGTGTGTGTGCATGTATGTGTGTTTGTGTGGTATGTGTGTGTGTGTGTGTGTGTGTGTGTGTGTATTTTCCTATCTTTTAATGTAACTATGAGTTTATCCTGTGTTAAATGGTTTCTACTGAATATGAAGTTAAAACAAAGGGCTTTTAAACTTGTAGAGCTCCAGAAGAGTCACTAGTGCATTAACTGAAAATGCAAATTAACAGGCCTGCACCATGGGGACCACAGAGGTCATCTGACCAAAGATGAAACTGATTTCCTATATTTATGCATCCTAATAAATCAGCGGGTGGAAAACATGCCCCCAGAGAAGATTGGCCCTATCAGTTTTTTCAGCTGGCATTTAGGCATTTGCAAAATAGCTCCCTTAGCATCTTCATCAAAAAGCTCCAACGATAAAAATAATAGAAACCGGCCGGGCGCGGTGGCTCAGGCCTGTAATCCCAGCACTTTGGGAGGCCGAGGCAGGTGGATCACGAGGTCAGGAGATCGAGACCATCCTGGCTAACACAGTGAAACCCCGTCTCTACTAAAAATATAAAAAAAATTAGCCTGGCGAGGTGGCGGGCGCCTGTAGTACCAGCTACTCAGGAGGCTGAGACAGGAGAATGGCGTGAACCCGGGAGGCAGATCTTGCAGTGAGGCGAGATGATGCCACTGCACTCCAGCCTGGGTGACAGAGCGAGACTCTGTCTCAAAAAATAAATAAATAAATAAATAAATAAATAGATAGATAGATAAATAATAGAAACCTCCCTAGCTTAGTTATCTGCCTTTCTCCTCCTATCTTCTGGATAAAAAAGCATTTAAAAACTACAAGATTTGTGAAAATTCAGAATATTTTAGAACAGGTGTATTTTGTACTAATGGCAAAAACCACAATTACTTTTGCACCAACCTAGTAGATATGAGAAAGTTTCAGCTATTGAATCTGGTATTCTTGATGGTTATCAGTTGCTCTGTGTTCCTGCCTTTTGCAAGTTTTGCTGGGCAAGTGTAATTCTTTCTTAAAGGAAACATTTATTCTCCCAGATGCCACTGTGGCCTCAAAACAGAGGCAGATAAACTTAATCAAGAACTGTTTAATAATGACTCTGTGTTCCAGCACGTCTCAACTGTGACACAGCTCCTCAAACCATTTATAATTTTGGAACGGTTACAAGCCTATTTCACATCAAACAATTAGAAAAATGTAACCAGGATTATAACCAAATTCTCAGTGATGTGATTCAGACTCAGTGCAGTGTCAGTTACAGAAGGATGAGAAGGGTCAGAGAAGACTGAAATAGTTTGGGAGGAATTTGTAGGTAAGTGAAACTGATGCTGGGTTTTGAGGATGGAGATGGTTTGAAAGGGAGAGAGGAGCATTTCCTCTGAGCCACAGTTAGGAGAAGAGAAGGAGCACTTTGGTGCTTTGGAGACAATCAGAGGACAAAGACGAGCCTGCTTGGAACAGAGGATTTAGGAGGGGAAATAGCAGTATGTTAACCAAAATGATGATACTTTGTTTTCTAAACCAGAAGCCTAGGAATGTGTTGGAATGTGTACAATGGAATGAATAGACTATGGGGAATATTTGAAATTGAGATTGTCAAAGAAAATTTGAGATGTGTGTTTCTGTCACTACAGAGGACCTGAGTCAATCCAACATGGTGGCTAAGCTAGAGAGAATCCTTATGGGAGTGCCAGGTAGGGCTCTTTCAGGATCGTCCATTTTACAAAGATTTTGAGTCAGGGTGCTTTTACCAAGGTTGCAAATATTCTCTGAAGATGTGAATTGCTGGGTGTGGTGGCTCATGCCTATAATCCCAGCACTTTGAAAGGCCAAGGCAGGTGGATTACTTCAGCTCAGGAGTTCGGGACCAGCCTAGCCAACATGGAGAAACCCTGTGTCTCTTAAAAATACAAAACTTAACCGGGTGTGGTGGCATGCACCTGTAGTCCCAGTCACATGGGAGGCTGAAGCATGAGAATCTCTTGAACCGGGGAGGCAGAGGTTGTAGTGAGCCAAGATCACGCCACTGCACTCCAGCCTGGGTGACAGAGGTTGTAGTGAGCTGAGATCATGCCGCTGCACTCCAGCCTGGGTGACAGAGGTTGTAGTGAGCTGAGATCATGCCGCTGCACTCCAGCCTGGGTGACAGAGTGAGACTTTGCCTCAAAAAATAAAAAAAAAAGATGTGAATTGATCTCTCACTAGAGGAGCTTGATAAATATTTCTCTCCTAGGTCTGCAGGTTTGTTCAAGCACAGGGATCTTGTCAGCTCTGTTAACCATTGTATCCCCAACACCTAACAGCGCTTGGCACAGAGTCGGCTTAATGCTGAAAAGCCTGGGAAAGGTATTCAGGATAGACAAGGAGGAAGATCCACTGCAGGTAACACAGGCATATGATAAGTTAAAAACAGAGTGTTCTTATCCACCAAGAAAACTCGAATTGCTTAATGATTTTGACTTTAGTAAGTGGCTAAATAGTAGAGAATAAATGAAGAGAAACTTAGTGTATTTTAGAGCATATTTGAATTGCTTTGAATCATGGAGCCAAATAAGACAATTGGAGATTGAAAGCTGCAGGTCAGAGAGGCAGAGCCGTCTCTGTTTTCCTGTGCTTTTGCAGGAAGTGCATTTTATAGAAAAGTCAGAGAGGAACTGAGGGGAAACAGAGAGCTCTGAGCTGGTGAATTCACAGCAGCCTGGAGAAGCATTCCGGCTGCCTCTGAAGCTGGCTCTTCACACCCAAGGGCTGCCCCTTGGGAACCTGAAGTCACTGTCCCAGCTAGTCACAAGGCCGGGGAGGCCTCACTGATGAGGACAGCACTACGGGCCTGAGTCTAGAATGGTAAGAGGTTCTCAGTCTTTGAGACAATTATTGGTTGTTTGAGTTTAAAACCAGTCTTTTCCTTTCTTCTTTGTAATTGAAAAAACATGTATAGACTGTTTAAAAACTTGTTCTTGCTTTCAGAACATTTATTTGATGCTCTAAAACTTTCCTTTAGATCTTCTCCAGATCATTACTAAACTTACTAGTGTATTTGACCAATCCCAAGAGCCAGCAGTGTGAATGCCTGCTGGGATTTAGAGAGCCAGTCTGAAACTGCATGCTGGCATATGTGGGTTTTCAAAGATTCCGCTCCAGTGGCAGAAAGCTCTCGGCCAAATGTATGTGAACCAAACAAAAGTCAGGGGCAGTGAGAATGAAAATCGGCCTCAATCACACTTTGAATATTGCTGTCATATGAGGATTTTAACAGCCATGGAAAGTGTGAGATTCACTCTCTGCTGCACACTGGGGCCCCGCATCCGTTAAGGATTGTGGGCATTCTGAAAGCTCTCATTCTGAAAGCTTCGGGGGTATTTTTAGATGAGGCTTGTTCCTACGAATGAGGAAGTCTAGCAGATGGCTCTTCCGGCTGGAGTCTTTTTTTCCAGCTTTCCACCAACATAGTATGGAGACCACTCTGGCAAGACCTCTCTCTAAGGACAATGGAGGGAAAAGCTATTCTCAAAACACTGGGCAGCAGCTGCAGGGCTGGGGCTCTGAGGACACCGTGCCACTGGCCTGTACCTTTCACCCTGCCTGCCTGGACTGTATGTAATCAACAGTGGGAGGCCGAAAGGAAGTTTGAGGTTAAGCACAAGATGTCTTTTATCACACTACGTGAGTGAAGACATCTGTGGAGACTGTACTCTCACTGTAGATGATAAGAATGTTATTCACCAAACAGACAGAAAAGACTGGAGTATGAGGTTTTTGTCCATGGAAGTATTTTGCAGATGGTTTGCACCAGTTTTGTGAAAGACAGATCAAATTATTATTAATGAAGGAAAAGTGCCTTTAAAAAAGGCTAAGTAGTCTTGTTATACCGCATTGAGTACACTCATTGTCTTTTGGCCTCACATCTGATAGAACAATCCTTTAGGGCTCAGAAAAGTCATCATTGCAATAGTAAGCCTTTTCCAGGGATTCTTAAGAAGTCTATTTTACACACAGTGTAAAGACCCAAACAACTTGATTGTAAGTCTGTGCTTTGATGGCAAGCTTCCTGTTCATTTTTTAATTTGATGTGGTTTTGCTCATGCCCTAATTAAAGTGGCAATTCTCAAAAAGTACAGATTGCACAGGTTTCCAGGGCGGATGCTTTTTAATGCAGTTCATAAGAAAGAGTCATCAGTCCTAAGGTTTTATTTTATTTTATTTTTGAGACAGAGTCTCGCTCTGTCACCCAGGCTGGAGTGCAGTGGTGCCATCTCAGCTCACTGCAACCTCCGCCTCCCGGGTTTGAGCGATTCTCCTGCCTTAGTCTCCTGAGTAGCTGGGACTACAGGCATACACCACCGTGCTTGGCTAATTTTTTGGTTTGTTTTTAGTGGAGGTGGGGTTTCACCATGTTGGCCAGGGTGGTCTCGAACTCCTGGCCTCAAGTGATCCACCCGCCTCTGCCTCCCAAAGTGCTGGGATTACAAGTGTGAGCCACTGTGCCCAGCCTTAAGATTTTGCTATTAAGCAAAAGGGTCACCTACGTGTGTTTTGGAAGACCTGTTATATCCCCATTTACAACTGAGCATTCCAAATGCCTACTGATTTCTGATTTTCTTTTTCTTTCTTTCTTTCTTTTTTTTTTTTTTTGTAGAGACAGGGTCTCACTATGTTGCTTAGGCTGGTATCAAACTTCCAGGCTCAAGTGATCCTCCCACCTCGGCCTCCTAAAGTGCTGGGATTACAGGCTTGGGCCACGATGCCTGGTCACCTGTTGGGTTTTAGCGACCTGGCAGGAAGCTGGATTTCTCAAGCTTTTCCAATAAAGAAGAAGCAGTTAGATCCCAAAAGCCATGAAAATTCCACTTGTGGCTTAGAAACTAAGATTTACCAAAGTCCACTTTGGGAGGCTCCCTTCCTCCCTAACACACACACACACACACACACACACACACACACACACACACACACCCTGCGGATAATTTATCCTGTAATCACAGGGATAGACTAATTTTGTCTGCATTCACTTGATGAGAGTTTTGACAACAGTGACTTCTGCTATAGTAACTATAGACAGAAGAATTAACTCCCAAGTCTTAAAAGAGTAGTTAGGTCTATGATGCAACTGTTTCCAGCCACAGGGGTGCTCTGTGGTGGAACCAACCCTCGTTGAGACTGCCTGTTCCCACTGAGGGGTCTGATGGAAATCCCACTGTGTTATTTTGTGTGTTGTTTGCCTTCCAGAGGCGCAACAACAGATCAACAGGAGCAGCCACCCCCTGCCTCATTCAGGCCCTGTGATTTGCTTTCTCACTAGAAATTTTCATTTTTAGTGTATCAAATATTCCAAGCATGCAGTGAAGTTCAGATAATAATTTAACTGACCTGCAGGTGTTCCCTAAGATTTTTCAAATATTAACATTTTGCCATTTGCTTTAGATTTTTTAAAAATAAAATGTTACTGCTACTGTGGAAGATCCCTCCCTATCCAATTCCCATTTCAACCTCCCATTGCTACCCAGAGCAATCACTGTCTTGAAGTTGATGAGTATCATTTACATTTTATTATGTGCTCCGTAAAACATGTATATATCCTTATATGTTTTTAATCTCTATACAAATGGCATCACATTTTACTTGAGCCTTTTGTAAATTACTTTTAATACTCAGCATTTTAAAATATTTCTTCATATTGCTACCCTAAAATCCAGTTCATTTTTTTCTACTGCTATAAAGTATCCCACCAAAAGACTATACCACAATGTTTTCATTCCTTTGTGGAAGCACCGTTCAACAGTTTAGAAGGTTATTTGCTATTTGTAACGTTGTGAACACCTTTCTCCACTTATAAGAGTTTCTCCAGCTCTGTACTGCACAGTATGGTAGCCACTAGCTTAAAATGTGGTTAGTCAGAATTGCAATGTGAGTAAATATAAAATGCATGCCACATTTTAAGGACTTAGGATGAAAAAAACATATGGAATATATCATTAATAATTGATATAGGTTATACTGATTACTGCTTAAAGTGACAATATTTTGAATACATTATGTTAAATAAAATGTATTACTATAATTATTTTTTCCCATTTATTTTACATTTTTTAAATGTGGTTACCAGAAAACTTAAAATTACATATATGGCTTGCATTATAATTCTATTGGACAAGGCTGGTCAAGACCAGCCAGTAACTGATTGCCCACATGCAAGACATCTGTTTTTGTAAATAAAGCTTTATTAGAAAACATGCCACTAATTTCTATGGTGGCTTTCCAGCTACAACAGCAGAGTTCTGTAGTTGCAACAGAACCCTTATGGTCCACGAGCCTAAAATATTTACCATCTGGCCCTTTAAGGAAAAGTTTGTTGACTCATATTCTAGAGCAGTAATTTTTAACCTTTTTTAAAAACCATGACCCACAATAAGAAACATTAATATCATGACCCAACAAACACACATCTGAAACAAAAGTTTTACAAAACAAAGTTTCACAAATCCTTTCTATGTATTTTCATATTTTCTGTTCTGTTCTGTTTTGTTAAAATAAACTGCTGGTCAGTAAACTGCTAGTGACCCACTCAAGTGACTTAGCCATTCATTCATTACTAGTTATTTAAGTAACATTGCTCAAGGACATATACCCAAAAATGGAGTGACTGGATTATAGGAATGTGTGTATTTAACTTTACAAGATTCATCACATTGTTGTCCTGTGTGTGAGTTTACCAATCTACAGTCTCACAAACAGTGTGAGAGAGTTCCTATTTCCCTATATCTTTAACAAAATCTGACGTTGTCAGTCTGATCTGATGGGTATGAAATGAAATCTTGTTTTATTTACAATCTGATCATTCATAATTTTAATAATCTTTTCATGTGTTGAGTGGCCTTTCTTGTTTCATTTGTGAGTTGCCTGTTCATTTCCATTTTAAAAATGGGGTCATTTGTCTGTTTCTTAGATTTATAGGCACTCTTTTTTATTCTGCCTACCAGTACTTTATTAGTAATGCGGGTTGCAAAGATGTGAGTTGGCCACTCCAAGGTTTGTTTTTTTTCACTTTTTAATGGTGACTTTTATGTTATGAGGCAGAAGTTTTAAATTTTAAAGTAGTCAGATTTATCTTTTTCTTTATATTGCTATTTTTTAGCCCTTATTTTAAAAATTATTTCCTACCCCAAGTTCATAAAGTTTTCTCGTTATTTTTTCTGATGAATTTAAAATTTAATGGGTGTTTCTTTTCTGTTGAAAATTCGTGTTTCTACACGGTATGAGATATGGCTCTACTTTCTTTTTTTCTTCACATCATAAATAGCTGGTGTAAGTACCATGAATTGACTTGTTAATCCTCCAGTCTGTTTCTTGGGTCTGTGTCCTGGAAATGTTGGTCCTAGATTTATCAGAACCAGATCTTTACTGATCTCATTTATACAGCAACTGGTCCTTGATGGTTTTACAGGGTAGTTTTCGCAATCTTTCAGAGAACACATAATGTTTCTCTTATAAAAATTACCTGAGATAAGGCCGGGCGCGGTGGCTCACTCCTGTAATCCCAGTACTTTGGGAGGCCGAGGCGGGCAGATCACGAGGTCAGGGGGTCGAGACCATCCTGGCTAACACGGTGAAACCCCGTCTCTACTAAAAATACAAAAAAATTAGCGGGGCGTGGTGGTGGGCGCCTCCTGTAGTCCCAGCTACTCGGGAGGCTGAGGCAGGAGAATGGCGTGAACCCGGGAGGCGTAGCTTGCATGAGCCAAGATGGTGCCACTGCACTCCAGCCTGGGCAACAGAGCAAGACTCCATCTCAAAAAAAAAAAAAAAATTACATGAGATAATTGAAAAAGTGAAAGTTACTCAATTCATTTTATAATTCCTTTTCTTTTTTTTGAGACACAGTTTCACTCTGTCACCCAGGCTGGAGTGCAATGGCACCATCTCGGCTCACTGCAACCTCCGCCTCCTTGGTTCAAGCGATTCTACTGCCTCAGTCTCCCAAGTAGCTGGGATTACAGGCGCAGGCCACTATGCCTGGCTAATTTTTGTATGATTAGTAGAGATGGGGTTGGCCTGTTGGCCAGGCCGGTCTCGAACTCCCTACCTCAAGTGATCTGCCCGCCTTGACCTCCCAAAGTGCTGGGATTACAGGAGGGAGCCACCGTATCCGGCCGTCATTTTATAATTCTATTTTAACCTTTATATCCAAATTGGACAAGGACAGGACAAGAAAGAAAAATTATGGGCTAGCCTCTATTTGAATGTAAATGTAAAAATCTTAAACTAAATATGAGTAAAACTGAATCCAGCAATGTGTAGTAAAATAAGTTCATACAACATGTGCAAGGATGGCTTAATTAAGAAAAGCTATTAACATAACTCATCACATTCACAGAGTAAAGGAGAAACATGATATGATTTTTTTCCCATAGATGTAGAAAAGGCATTTAATAAACCCTAATAGCCAAAAATGATTTTGAAATACAAAACCTTAGAAAACTTGAAATAGAAATAAACATCCTTAGCCTGATAAAGTGCGTCTACTGAAATCTGTAGTAAATATACGCTTAGTATTGAAGGATCCCTTGTACTGCCTGTGTGTGGAGTTCCCTCTTTGTATCTGGCACCTGAGAATTGTTCTTTCTTTTAATCTTGGCTGTTACTTTAAGTAAGTATGTGTGTGTGTGTGCATATGTATATGAATATATATATATGCTCATACATACACATGTTTATGTATTTTTTGGTTTTGTCTATTTACATACATTTCATGAAGTTTGTGGAGTGGGAAGCTGTGCCAGCTCTGTAGCCATGGTGCTGTAGTTTCTCCCTTAGTGATTTTCTGGGCCTGAAGACCAAGAAACTCTAGAAACCACTTTGGAAGGGGCAAAGTAGGGGATAGCCACAGAGCTGGCTCTGGCTTCTCTCCTAGACTGAGGAGTTGTTATGCATGACTTCATATCCTGGCTTCCCTTGGAGAAAACTATTAGTGATAGATCTGATGTGGATATAAGAATATTGTATGAAACTGTCTGATTTTATTTTGCCAGGAGATTAGGCAAGGATCAGCTACTGCCATAGCATTTCCTAAGGAATTGATATTTCCAAGGTTCCCACAGCGATACTGAGATACAAAGATGAAGATTAGTCATAATGTTGCCTTCACTGTCACATTTTTTTTTTTGACAGATTTAACACAGTTTAAAAGTACGATTCTAAGGGTTGGGAGTGGGGAGAGGGACGTGTTTTCAAGGAGCACTTTTTGTGGTAGCGAACAAACTTTAAACCCTCCTGTTGATACACAGGGGATTCCCGTGACTATGAAAATTAAAACAGGGCCTGGCAATGTTGAACACAAAGAACAGCCAATAAATTCTTGACCGTAAGGTCATGCGCATTAAATAAGGCAGTTCTGATGCCAAATCAGTACTGTACTGTATATTTCCCATAGCAGATATTGAGATATGGATCTGCCGTAGAAGGAACAGGAATGTCATCAGGAAATATCAGTTCAGACAAATGTGGGTTTCCACCAGCAGGGGAAGAGCTGGACCTGGTGTGGATCTGTCTCCCTTCATGGTGAGAATGTCAGATCAGAAATGAATATTCATGTGGCCCTTGGAAAGTGGGAAGGAGAAATCAATAAGCTAAACACCCAACCTAATAATAGAACTGTTTTCTCCAATGTGAGTGTTTTTCTCTTGAAGTTGGTATTTCTGTCCTTGATCTGTTGGTGATGCTATTTAGAGATGCAACAAAAGATTTCACAGAAAAGCAAAAGGTTGGTTCCATTGTTCTGGAATAAGGGTTATGTCAATTTGTTTCTATCTAAGCATGTCACTGGAAGTCTGGTTCACATTTAAAGTTTTCCTTAATTCCAAGAAACAATCTAGACCCTTTGAAGCTTTGGCAAAAGAGTACCAGGTAAAAAAAGAAATCCCACTTGTAAAGGCCTAGTTTGCAATTCATTTGTCCTGGGATCTTGCAAAAACAACCCAATATCTGTATGTCTCTATACATTGGTGTGTATGATAATATCTTTATTTTTCTTTGTAGAGATTTTACACAGGATATAATAAGTGACACAACTGTTTTGGCAGATGGGGTCAGAATATGAAGGCAATTCCTTCCATGTAAGAATTTTGGTGCTTGTTTAAATTTAATAGACTCGCTTCTCCTAACCACACTCTGGAAGTCTCCTGTCATTCATGCACATAAGAACTCAGAAGAGAACCTCTACTGTCTCCCCAAAATCTTTTTTTTTTCTTTTAATAAACTTGCTGACATTGGCCAGGTTTCAAGAGCATGGTAAGTTCATGATCCATCAGCCTGGTTTCTGAATGGAAATCCAATGAGTTATTTGTATTGTTTGTTCCTACCTTTTCCAGGCACCTTCTAAAAATGAACAAGAGCAGCTCTGATTTGGAAAAAGTGAGCCAGGGCTCTGCAGAAAGCCTCAGCCCATCCTTCAGGGGTGTCCACGTCAGCTTCACCACCGGCTCCACGGACAGCCTGGCCTCAGACTCTAGGACCTGCAGCGATGGAGGTAACAAACTTGACATTGACGGAGAGGCTTAGATTCTCCTGGACCTTCAAGACCAGTCCTGCGTTGCTTGCGGGATTGGAAGGGCTGAGCAAGGACTACTGTCTTGGTCCTGCTTTCTCAATGAAGTAGACTCTTCCAGGGAGCTGTTGAAGTCAATTATCTACTGAATATATGGCAAGCCAGCCCATCCATATTGCCCTCTCCAAATTATAAGAGTGTGGACGTGGCAACATGGTGGGAGGAAGATGAGGTTGAAAGGCTCCTATTTCCTTGGGTAATGAGCCATCTGTGTACAGGCCTGCTTTTTACTTCTGTCCTCAGGATGGGTCCTAAACCACACATTCTCACTATCTCTTTCTCTCTCTCTCTCTCTCTCTCTTTTGCATCTACATGTGCATGTACCCACATGTACACACTTACTGGACACAGCAGATGTTTACATAATGTTTGCTGAATTAAGCATGAAGACTACATTAGGCCACCATCTAGCCTGCTTTTTGGATTAAGCTCTAAGGCCTATGGGTGGGTCTGTCCTCCACTGGGCATGTCCCTAAAAAGGAACTCTTGTTTTTCCATAGTTGTGGCCTGGATGGGTCATATTTAAAACCTCTCACCCTTTCAGCATTCTTTGTGTATGTGTCCTCTCCTGCGTTTCTCTTAGACTTGCGTTAGCATGTTGGATTTAGACTTGTACTCACATGACTTCCTTTTTCAGTCCTATGGAAATATTTCTTCTCAATAGGCAATGACACAGTAGAGGGTTCCATTGCAAATTTACTGTCAGCAACATTATTCTACCTAAACAATAGGTACTGGCTGAGACAAAAGAGTGTGTTATAAGTCAGTCTGTGGTGTGTTCTGATGAGAAACCTCTGACAGTTCTTACTTAAAAACAGGAAATATCTTAGTCTTGATTTGGGAGGAATGTAGCAACAACAGATTTTCTTTTTCTGTAGATTTTTCTAGGCTCTTATCTTCTTCCTTTTCCCAGCCCATTGTATAACAAATTCAACAAGGCAGATTATTCCATAGAGGGCAGTGCATCTCGACCACGAGCCCCTGTGCTGGTTAGCTCTGATCCACTCTCTTGGAGATTGTAACCAGTTCTGGGGAGTGATCTACAATGAACCATCAGTCACCAACCAGCGGGTGTCAGGCGAACTGGACTTCATGGCTTCACCACTTTGTTTCCCAGAACCAGTAAACCATGACGTCCACTCGCAGGGTTCCTAAGAACTGACTAGGAAAGATAAGGTTAAAACACATGGTACATGGGTGGATGGGATATGGTAGGATATTGGGCAGCCCAGAACATGAGTGCTTCTTATAAAGGCTTCCAGAAGAGACAGAAATCAATGAAGGCTGGTGGAGGGTTTAGGGAAGACTTTATGAGAACATGGGACTTAGAGATCAGATCTGAAATGTGGCCAGAACTGGGGAGGTAGGGGGTGAGGAGGAGAGGGCTTTCCAGGTTTAGAGAACAATAAAAGAGAAACAAAGCCACAGGGATGGCAGTGCATGTGGGAGAAGGATGAGACCAGTCTGACATGCTTCAATAGACACCGGCAAGGGGAAATGGGACATGAGCTTGGTGGGAAGCAGGGGCTGAATTGTACACGGCTCTCACAGCAATCTGTGCAGGTGGGAGACAGAGAGCTGCCGGAGGTTTGTGAGTTCAATGCTGGAGGTTTGCGAGTTCAACGGGGAAACCTATTCAGACGTTTTCTCATGTTCGTTTCTGAATAACATGAATTAAAATGAATATATTGTCGTGGTATTCCTTTATCACAAGCTAGTTGTTCAGTAGAAATGCATTTCAAAACTTAGACTCCCAGACCAACAAGAAGATATGTACCTTGTCCCTGGACTCTAGCCCCTGAGAGCCAACCATTCTATCTGCTGCCCCTGGACATGGCTCTCTGTACCCGGAACCATGTTTTGAAACTGGCAAGAGACCAAAGGCATGACATTCTTTCTCTCTCTCTCTCTTTCTCTCTCTCTCTCTCTTCTTTTTGACATCTTTTAAACATTAATCATTAATCTGGAGAATATACAGAACTACTGGTCATGTAATATGAGAAATCCTTCATTCACTTCTCACCGCTTACCAAGGCAGCTTAGATTTGTTATTGCACAATTATCTTCCAGTCCCATGGGTCCTTAACTCACTTTTATCTTGTAACTGAAATATTTATCCATTGCAACTTTAGTTACTGTTTGGCATGCAGTACCAAAGCTGAGAGATTAGATCCAAATAGAAAAAGAACTAGTTCACGCTGAAGTTCTTTGAAACTTGAATGTAGTGTCTGCCTTTCTAATATTATACATTAAGCCAAAAGATACCATTAGACTCTTCTACATTTATTTTGTCAGTAAGAATCTGCTAGTGAAAACTATGCGTTTCATTGACTTTTTCCATCCACAGTATAGGCTGGCCTGAATGAATGGAGGAAAAAGTCATTCCAGGGCATATCATGATAGTAGTTTGTGTAAACTTCTTGGAAATGTATCAGCGTTAATGGCTAAAGTTAGTGATTCATGCTTTATGTCGGAGGTGGGGGGAGGGGGGAAAGGGGTGTGGGGAGGGGAGTGGGGGGAAGGTTTTAGTTGTATAAGGAAAACCCTAATAGAAATCTCTAACTTTGTTACATTTTTAAAACAGGTGTTTATTCTAAATGTTTCAGTGGCAAAATGCCACTTTTGTGTCAATGTTAATTTCACCTTTTTATACTTTTATCAGAGTCAATGGCTGAAGTTAATGATTTGCGTTTTATGGGTGGGGGGAGGTTTTAGTTGTATAAGGAAAACCTAATCGAAATCTCTTACTTTGTTACATTTTTAAAACAGGTGCTTATTCTAAATGTTACAGTGGCAAAATGCCACTTTTGTATCAATGTTAATTTCACCTCTTTATACTTGTATCAGATTACATATTCCTCCAGTGCATCTGTTATCCCATTTGTCCAATTCAATTGAACAGCCAGTCAACTCAGTGCAAGGAAAATTTGTCGAAGCAGTTGTTTGGTTTATGCTTGGTTTAGGAGGTACAGACTGCATGTGTCAGGACAGATCCATGAAGGCTGCCAAGGGGAAGGTTTTTGCAGGGAATGGATGGTTGGACGTGTGAGGGAAATGATGATCAGAAATGGTCATCAAGAGACCTTTTTGCTTTAAGTGGTTACTTGTAAATTTGCAAACCTAATGTCTCATTGAGATCATTTCCCTCTTTGATGTAGGATACCATTAAAATTCAGTTCAGCAGTTCGGCAAACATTTCTGAATGCCTGGAGATTAGAGAAGATTAGAGAGTTCTCTGTTGAACTGAAACCATTGGCACCAGCAATAGATAAGAAGTCTGAAAATACAGTTCATATAGATATTCTCACTTGCATGAATACATGTACCAGGGCAGTGATACCATTCTTATTTTTATAGCTGGCAAACCAGAGATACAGAACACTAATTAAATATATTGACAGTAGTCAGTCAGCTTGTTTTTCTCAACAAGCTGACTACTACTGGCAAATTTTTAAGAAATGCATATTAATGCAGTCATTCATTTGATAGATATTGTTGATTGCAAACTCTGTGCTGGGTACAATTCTAGATGCTGAAGTTTCAGCAATGGAAATAATTCCCAGTCCCTTCAAGGGGCTTACATTCTGGTAGGAGAGATAGACAATAAGAAAGATAAGATGTAAAGTAGCTACTGGTCAGAAGGCAGCGAGTGCCAGGAGAAAAATCAAGCCAGGAACAGGGTGGGGAGGGGTGGAAGTGCTCCAAAGGAAAAAAACATTTATTTTTAAAAATTTTCTGTGGCCTGAGCTATAATATCACTGAAGTGAAGCTTCAACTTCATTTAAACCTTCCCCGTTAAACTGAATTTTAAATAATATATTATTGTTCCAATAAAGTCAATACTTTTTTTTTATAAAAATTCAAACAACAGAGAAAGGAATAAAATGAAAAGTCAGTTTTCTGACACCCCATCCCAGCTCCTACCATCACTTTTAAGATTTTTTTCTGTATCATCCCAAAAATGTGTATCCATATGTGAAATATAAAATTCAGTTCTACAGATTTTTGCACTTTATCTTGGGGCCTTTCAAATGAGAACCCCTAGGACTGCCTCATTTTTTGAAATTGCTGCTTATTTTTCATTATATTATTTGGTTATAAATCCCTCTCTTGCTGATGCATGTCTAGGTTGATTTCATTGCAAGACTTACAGTAAGACTCTGTGCCATACATTGGCATGATTTGGTGAGCAAATCTGTAAGATAAATCCTTAGAAGAAGTGGAACTGACATATCAAACTGTATGTGTATTTTAAATAAATATTACCAAAGTATCCTCTAAAAATGTCTATTTACTTTTCCATCACAGCATCTGAAAAGTGCCTTTTTTTTTTCGAGACAGAGTCTTGCTCTGTTGCCCAGGCTGGAGTGGCACAATCTCTGCTCACTGCAAGCCCCACCTCCAGGGTTCAAACAATTCTCCTGCCTCAGCAGCTAGGACTGCATGCGCGCCACCACGCCTGGCTAATTTTTCTATTTTTAGTAGAGACGAGTTTCGCCATGTTGGCCAGGCTGGTCTCAAACTCCTGACCTCAAGTGATCCGCTCACCTCAGCCTCCCAAAGTGCTAGAATTACAGGCATGAGCGACTGTGCCCGGCATGGAAAGTGCTTTGAATTAACTTTTAATTTTACTAACTCGGAAGAAAACCATTAATGATTATGTTATAACAGGAGATTGAAAGATCATAATTCCAGGACCACATGTGAGCTGTAGGCAGGGCATTCGAGATACTTAGAGCCTGTTTTCCAAAGTGAGACAGAGCTTTCTCTTCTTTCGCATGTAAATCACATTCACATCTTGATTATTGTTTCCTGGGATGATTAAGTGGTCTGGAGAGACTCCTCACAAATGCCACATTTTCCATCCAGTTGTAAAATGCTAATAACCTGCTTCCAGTTTCAGAACACGTTTATCTTCTTGAAAAAAGCAAAGGTTTCTTTTAAAGAAATGCTTTTTTTTTTTTGAGATGGAGTCTCACTCGGTCACCAAGGCTGGAGTGCAGTGGTGCAGTCTCAGCTCATTGCAACCTCCACTTCCAGGCTCAAGTGGTTATTGTGCCTCAGCCTTCTGAGTAGCTGGGATTACAGGCACACACCACTATGCCCAGCTAATTTTTGTATTTTTAGTAGAGACAGGGTTTCACCATGTTGGCCCCTCAAACTCCAGACCTCAGGTGATCCGCCTGCCTCAGCTCACCAAAGTACTGGGATTGCAGGCATGAGTCACTGAGCCCGGCCTGCTTTGCTTTTTGTTTTTGTTTTTTCTTCTACATTTCATGTTGAACCTGCTCTGACTGTGGAACCAAACAAGAGATTGCAAAACTTGCCTTCAGAGGAACAAGTCCGTGTGAAGCCAAAGCATCCCTCTGCCCCACCCTTCATCCTCTCTGATGCAGGAATAGTTAATGGGGGTTGGCAGAAACCTGCATGACAGCCACTTCCTGGGTGATATTGGCAAGGTGCCCGTGCAGATGGCTTTAGTTTTCTCACCTCTCACATGAGAGAATTGCACTAGGGCCCCAGGGCACAGGGTATGGGTGAGGTTTTCTCCATCCATATTCCACTTGCTTTACCTTACTCAAAGTTGGAGAATGGTCAAACACAAAAGCTAAACGTTTGGGGAGACTTAGTTGGGACGCTGCCCTTTGCTTCTGCATTTGTTCTGACCCAGCTGCTATCACACAGCAGAGCTGTGCAAAGAAAGAGCCAAAACAGGACTGACCACTTCCTCTGTCAGCTCAGCTCTCATTTTGGCTGCAGAGAACAATGAAAGTGCCTATTAAAACCCAGCAAGAAGAGAGGACTCTATAATAAGGAAAACCTCAGAGTACCATGTTTGAACTTATGGCCTGCATTTCTGCAGAGAGGTTAAGCTGTTCTTCCCAACCACTGAAATCCTGATTTCTCATCTCTGCTTTCTAAATATAATGACACCAAACTAGTGCACCTTCCCTTGGTCTTTTTAAGATCCCATCCAGTGCAGCATACGTGATATGTAGCTTCTCACTAGAAATGCTTTCTCTTCCCTGAAGCACGTTCGCTAAAGGCATGGAGCGTGTTGTACTCTATAGCCAGGAACTTCCTTTATATGCAGAATTGGAAATTCGAAGGAAAACTTAGGACCTGAGGTTTGGAGCCCTCTGGCCCAATTAGCATGCAAAATTATTAAAAACCAACAAATGAGGCAACTGAGACATAGGCCAAGGTCCCAGAAAAATGTTCTCCCCTCTCACCCCTTTTGCACCCTTAATTGTAAGGCAGAATTTGGAAACAGCAATCCAACACCAGCATCAAACCAGGATGTGTCTGAGTTAGTCTCATGTCCCTTGGGATCCAAGTCTGGAGAATATTGGCTGTTGGCTAAAGTCGTGGAGGATTTTTTAGGCAGACTTTTCTGAACCAGTGGTTTGCCTGTGAACTCGGAAGTATTTTAGGTGTCAGGGTATATTTGTTCCCTGTTATTTCCAGCTTGCCTAATCCAGAGTGTGGCAGCCGTTGCAAACAGTAAGAACATAGATGCTGTGTTGCCTAAGGCCATGTTTATGGAGAGATAGTTCCCCAGGTAAGAGTCAAGAGAATTAGCCAGAGGAGGTCTTTAGGAGTGCCTTTAGATTCCATAGAAGACAGCTACCATTTGCCATGTAGTGGAGAAACCAATTTCATCTACAAGGGCTGCATGTTAGCATCTATTTCAAAGTATCCCCAAGAGTATTAACACCTGAGAAACTATAGGATCCTCGGAGGCCTGGAGTGGCCTGGAGGTGGTGGGGTGGGGGTGGGGGCTCCAAGAGTGAATTCTGACCTCTCACCAGCTGTAATTCCACACCTGGAGAGCTTTAAGGATCCGTAAACTCAGAGGAAGAATGCGTTAGGTTGGAATGCAGTATGCTTGTCATAGAACCAGGCATATCTTTTCTGAATACAAAAATCATAATAGACCGGGCACAGTAGCTCACACCTGGAATCCCAGCACTTTAGGAGTCCGAGGTGGGTGGATCACCTGAAGGTCAGAAGTTCAAGACCAGCCTGGCCAACATGGTGAAACCCCGTCTCTACTAAAAATACAAAAAATTAGCTGGGCGTGATGGTGGGTGCTTGTAATCCCAGCTACTTGGGAGGCTGATGCAGGAGAATCACTTGAACCCAGGAGGCAGAGTTTGCAGTGAGCCGAGATCCCACCATTACACTCCAGCCTGGGCAACAAGAGCAAAACTTCATCAAAAAAAAAAAAAAAAATCGTAATATGTGTAGATAATGCCCAGGTATCCCTGTGAAGTCCACATTTCAGGGGAGCTGTATTTCACCTGATGAGGTTTGTGTAGCTACAGGACTTTACTTCTGCTGGGCAAGGGCGTGGATAGGGAATGTTTGGGTATGCAGTGCTAGCCTCTAATGAGTGTGTGTATAATGCGGCGAGTACTGAGTTTGGTGCCCCAAACTCATAGCATCTAAGAAACAAAGAAAAATTAATCAGTGCATGTGCTAATTCTTGAAGTTAAGCTTCTCTGCTAATACCTAGTACCCCTTGTCAGATTTACCCAAGTAGTGATACGGTGTAGATCTGATCAAAGTCACTGACTAACAGCTCCTACAGGAAAGCAAGAGAAAACAGAGGGAAGGACAAAATCACTTCCTTCCAGCTGCCTGAATACACGAAGGGTTTTTTGTGCTGGGACCTACCATACAGTCTAAAGCAGAACCTCTTGGTTCTCTTTGGTCATCTAGGGAATTAGAAGTGTTACCGATTATGTTGCTAAAAGATCCCTGGTCTCCTCACAGATTGGAAAATGTACCAGTGGTAATTTGTGTGAACTAGACATAGAAGGAAGAACAATTGAACCGAGATAACAATCTGCCTAGAGCTATTTGATTTCAGGGGCAGCTTTGAGACAAAATGCATGTTCAGAGAGGTTGAAAATGGAGAGAGTAGCTGAAATTATAGACTATTAGTGCTGCAAGGGGCCTTCACAATGATGTCATCGGTCATTTTCTAAAGGAGGAAACTCAGGCAGGGCAGGCTGACAGCTGGTGAAGTGTTCACTCCACTGCTCACCCTCAAATTGGAGCAGAAGCAGAAAGGGGCATACTGGTGGCATCAGGATAGCCTTGTAGTAAAGACAAGGAAGACAAAATCAATAAACATGGAGAAATAAGCCTAAGGCTTAAAGAAGAGACTAACCAGGAAACTGATCTGTTATGAACCTCCCTAGCCGACTGGACTTGGGATGGGAAGGAATCCTGACCGTAGGCAGGTTGTCCTTGTCTCTGAGGGCACTGATGAAAGCATTGACCAGGGTTCTGATCACACCCCACTCCCATCTCCCAGCCTCAGCTTCTGTTGTGTTGATGATAAATTGAGAATCAGACGCCTCGCTGGTGACGGTTTCTGCTGCCCAGAATGCAGAAAGGTCAGGAAGTGGATGTGTGCTCACGGCTCCCAGTCCTCCTGCTCATCAGGCTGGGAGTTTGGTGACTGAGGCTTACAGTCCTTTGAGAGCCTCATAAGTAGGTGGTCTTACCCTCCTTTTTTTATCCAGGAGGTGGCAACTGATCCTCCTCCTGCTCTCAGCCTCTTCTGTTAGAGGGAGGAGGGAGAGGAAGTGAATCATCTGCCCTAGCCTCCGTCTGTCCCCATTGCTTTCCTGGGGAGCGTGGGATGGGGAGACCTGTGGACTGCAGGATTTCAGCACCTGCTGAGATCACTGCCATCTAGATCTTCCCTCTTCTGGCTCGCTATTTCTTCTGCGCCCTTCATTCTGACTATTGAGGGGGAAATTCGTGGGCATGTAAAAGTGACTGGTCCAGACTGCACCACCACTGCTTGATTTATTATTAACTTGAGCCCTCCTGGAAGGGGTATAAATCACTCACTCAGCCTTGCTGCCAGGGGCCCCGCCTATCATTAGCAAATGGGAAGGGCAACTCCCTATGATCTTGATAAACCACAGGGAAACAAGGATTGCTTACTACAGATGGGAAAGTGGGCAAGGAGAGCTTAAGAAACACGGTGCTCCCTCTTGAATTTCATTTTCACTTGTGACAGTCTCACTCTATAGCCCAGGTGGGAGTGCGGTGGCACAGTCTCGGCTCACTGCAATTTCTGACTCCTAGGTTCAAGTGATCCTCTCCCCTCAGCCTCCTGAGTAGCTGGGATTATAGGCATGCACCACCACGCCCAGCTAATTTTTGTATCTTTTGTAGAGTTGGGGGTTCGCCATTTTGCCCAGGCTGGTCTTGAACTCCTGAGCTCAAGTGATCCTCCCGCCTTGGCCTCCCAAAGTGCTGAGATTACAGGCATAAGCCACCGTGCCCAGCCCCTGTTGAGTCTTATGATAGATGATAGAGCCAAGGAGGATATTGGTGCAAGGACCCCATAGTCTTGCTCAGCTCCCCAGGGCTTTTCTTTGCATGAATCCATTGGTTCTCAGCTCCTGTGTTCAACAGGTTGCATGCACTGAGTTTGTCCTCCCGTCAGCGTTGCATTCAAGGTTGTGCCCTGCTGTCGCTCACTAATGCTGCCTCGGTCACTGAGGCTGGGGCATGAATGTCAGCCCATGGCCATCCATCTTGCTCCCTAGAGAGACCCTCCTCCCTGTGGAGCAGCAGAAATAAAGAGACCCAGTCTTGATCTATGTGGCTTGCAACTGGTGTTTGAGCCTCAGGGATCTATTCTGTTCCCTCTTGGGTTGGAGAAAGCAGAGAAGGGCTCAGTGTGAGCTAGAAGGTTATTAACTGTTCAGGAGCAGCCCTAGAAATGTCCTGTGCACCTGAGTGAGGTGACACAAGACTCATAATTTGCTTCCTTTGGGGCCTTCTACCCCTTGTCTTCTCCTATGCTTTTGTTCTGCTTTTTTTTGTTGTTTTCTGGTCCTACTGCCAAGGTGTGGAAAGGCATAGAGACACTCCATGCTCTTCCCTTAGGGTGATGTGGCATGGAGAACTCAATGAGGGGCACACATCCTAAGTACACATTTCCTTAGGGCTGCAACCCATTATTATTATTATTATTAGATGAAGTTTCACTCTGCCACCCAGGCTGAGTGTAGTGGCGCAATCTTGGCTCACTACAACCTCCATCTCCCGGGCTCAAGCGATTCTCCTGCCTCAGACTCCTTAGTCGCTGGGATTATAGGCACGCACCACCACCCCCAGCTAATTTTTGTATTTTTAGTAGATACGGGATTTCACCATGTTGGCCAGGCTGGTCTCAAACTCCTGAGCTCAAGTGATCCGTCCACCTCAGCCTCCCAAAGTGCTGGGATTACAAGCATGAGCCGCCGCACCCAGCCAAAAGGGAGAATTTTACCATTGGCCAGTTACACCCTCTATAAACCTGACTTTTAAAAAATTCCACGGAAACCACACATGTTCGAGTTTGTTATTGCTGTTGCAGCATTGTTTGCAAAATATTGGAAACAATTTAAGTGTCCATCAAAAAGGGATGGTTAAATTATGATACTTGCATATGGTGATATATTATGGTGAGACTGTTTAAAATAATTAAATAGATCTGCATATTTGATTTAAAAATCTCTCCAAGATGTGAAAGAAAAGCATTATTCCAAACAGTAGCCACCGTTTGCTCTTTTCTATGTAATTTGTGTGTGTGTGTGTGTGTGTGTGCGCACGCGTGCAGGCACGCATTTGTTTGGATTGTTGGAGGGATGCATGAAACACTACTGACAGTGGTTTCCTCTGATGAGAGAGCTGAGTATGAGGGACAGGGTAGGAGGAAGACTTAGTTGTCAATCTATACCTTTTCTGCATTTTGATTTTTTCCATTGTGCATATATTGTCTATTAGAGAAATAGAAAAGAAGTAACATAAAATTAATTGCTCTGACCAAATAAATAAATAAATAAAGGGAAACAAGTCTGCAGGACCCTGGAATTGAGTGGCACTGGCCTTGGTCTTATGGTTTCTGTCTCTCCTCTTCAGGTCCCTCGTCTGAGCTGGCTCACTCGCCCACCAACAGCGGGAAGAAGCTCTTTGCTCCCGTTCCGTTTCCTTCAGGCTCCACTGAGGACGTGTCCCCCAGTGGCCCCCAGCAGCCCCCTCCACTCCCCCAGAAAAAGATAGTGAGCCGGGCAGCCTCTTCACCGGATGGCTTCTTCTGGACCCAAGGCTCCCCCAAGCCCGGAACAGCAAGCCCCAAGCTGAACCTAAGCCACTCGGAAACCAACGTCCACGACGAATCTCACTTTAGCTATTCGTTGAGCCCCGGGAACCGCCACCATCCTGTCTTCTCCTCTTCCGATCCTCTGGAGAAAGCTTTCAAAGGCAGTGGCCACTGGCTTCCGGCAGCAGGGCTGGCGGGCAACAGAGGCGGCTGCGGGAGCCCTGGCCTCCAGTGCAAAGGGGCCCCCTCCGCCTCATCCTCCCAGCTGAGCGTGTCCAGTCAAGCCTCCACCGGGAGCACCCAGCTTCAGCTGCACGGTCTCCTGAGCAACATCAGCAGCAAGGAGGGCACCTATGCCAAGCTGGGGGGACTCTACACCCAGTCCCTGGCCCGCCTTGTAGCCAAATGTGAGGACCTCTTCATGGGCGGCCAGAAAAAGGAGCTCCACTTCAATGAGAATAACTGGTCGCTCTTCAAGCTGACTTGTAACAAGCCCTGCTGTGACTCGGGGGATGCCATTTATTACTGTGCCACCTGCTCTGAGGACCCCGGCAGCACCTATGCTGTGAAAGTAGGTACCACTCCCTCCTTGCATTCTGCTGTGCCACTGGCTGGTGCTGGCTTGGGCAGAACTGTGGCCTGAGCAAGTCATTTCACCTGTCTGGGCATTAGGAGGGGAGTTGATTCCTAAGCATTCTTTTTTTTCTTGTAAGATAAGAGTCTCACTTTGTTGCCCAGGCTGGAGTGCAGTGGCACAATCTTGGCTCACTACAGCCTCCGCCTCCCATTTTAAAGCGATTCTCCTGCCTCATCCTCCTGAGTAGCTGGGATTATCTGTGTGCACCACGGTACCCAGCTAATTTTTGTATTTTTAGTAGAAATGGGGTTTTGCCATATTGGCCCGGCTGGTCTTGAACTCCTGACCTCAGATGATCCACCCACCTCGGCCTCCCAAAATGCTGGGATTACAGGTGTGAGCCACCACCCCTGACCCCTAAGCATTCTTTTAACACTTAGTGCTCAGCAGCTTCACTCTCTCTCTGCCCCAGGACATGGTGCAATGAGATTTGTAGTATGAATATAAGACACATTCTGTGCTTTAGCTGAGTTAAGAAAACAGTTGCCTTTTAGTGCAACGGAGAGTTTATTCATTTATTGACCAGGTTTTTATTGAGTGTCTACTATAGGCCAGGTACTTTGCCACAATCTGAGTATGTAGGTGTGAATATAAGCTTCCTTATAGAGCTATGATGTAGTGAGGGAGATGGATAATGAGGTCATTCTTCTAATGTTAGATCCAGAAGGAGCATTCGACCTAGGAATCATCTTGAACAATAATAGTAATAATATCATTTGTGTGAGCATTCACTCTACAACTAGACTCTTACCTCTAATCCTAACAGTAATCCTACAGGTTAGGTAGGTTTTACAGATGGAGGATCTGAGGCTCAAAGTGGTTAAGTAATTTGCCCATAGCTAGTTGGTGGCTGGAATGGATTTGAGCTCTTCTGTGTCTGTCTCCAAAGCCTAAGTTATGTCCCTACCATTTAAGATAAATGAAGTTCAGAGACATTAAGTGACTAGCTCAAGGCAGCACAGCTCTTTAACCTTTGATGCTGGATCAGGCCTCTTGCTACCCACACTGTATTGCACTGTCAGAGTGCAGCTCTGTGTGAGCTAGTTGAGCCATCTGCACCCATTTGGGCCACTGGAGTCTCTACCATGAACTCCAGTCCTTCCTGTGGCCCTATTTGTCATCTTCTTTTGCTGTTCCTTGATTACCTATTGAGACCCTGGCCCTTCTATAAATGTGGGCTTTTATTGGGAGTCAGGAGGGAGACCCTGAGCTATCTTCTCTCATCACCTGCCCTAAGACATCGCTTTTTTTTCCAGTTAGAAAAGTGCAAAGAATAAGCTAATTTGAAATGGCCTTGGTGGGGTAGCTTGCTTACCAACAATTTTTTAAAATAATATTGCTAACATTTTAAAAATAATATTAAACAATATTTAAGTAATATTATTATTACTATTAATATTCAGTATATATAAATAATATATAGTAGTTGTAATTAATAGTAGTAATAATACTAATATTCAATATATATTATTTATAATTATTTATTATTTATATATACTGAATATTATTAATAGTAGTAGTAATAGTATTATTATAAATAATATATACTGAATAATATTATTCAGTATCAAGAGACAGCTGACCTTTCTGTTTTGAGGAGGAAAAAGCCTGGTGGAAGACACTGAATTCCTCTTGTCCATGGTATAGAAAGTGAGGTGACCCTTCTGCAAGAAGTAAGGGGCCCTTGGGACAAACTTTTTTTTTTTTTAATTATTATTAATGTATTTATTTAGAGACAGAGTCTCGCTCTGTTGCCCAGGCTGGAGTACGTGGTGTGATCTCGGCTGACTGCAACCTCCATCTCCTGGGTTCAAGCGATTCTCCTGCCTCAGTCTCCTGAGTAACTGGGACTACAGGCGCCGCCCCCTCACCACGCCTGGCTAATTTTTGTATTTTTAGCAGAGATGGGGTTTCCCCATATTGGCCAGGCTGGTCTCGAACTCCTGACCTTGTGATCCACCTGCCTCGGCCTCCGAAAGTGCTGGGATTACAGACATGAGCCACCGTGCCCCGCCACAGTTTTGTTTTTCACAAACATAAATAATTGTGCTGTGCAGCTTGGATTCTAGGGCCCCATATATTACTGCAGAATTAGCCGTATTCTCTAATAAACAACACAAAAGAAATTTAACTTTCCTTAAGAATGTTAAAAACAAGTGTTGCTCCTTATTTCATTAGAAACAGAAGCCACACAGAAACCAAAAGATAAGCCTTAGCCCTCTAAACAGGAGCCGCAGGGGTTTCCTAGTTGACTTTCCTGGAGACGTGGTAGCTCAAGGACCGTCTCTGTGCCACGTGAAAAAGGAAAGTTGGAGACTAGCATCCAATATGCAGAGGATGGTAATTCTTGGAACAACGTTACCAGGAACAATATTAATTTGCAAATGTGCCTGGCCTGGTCATTGGGGGGGCGGGCCGTGGGGGCCCTGGAGCATCATTTCGCACGGGCAGCTGTTCCACTTCATTAGCTCTCCAGTCTAGACGAAATACAGTCATCTGGGGATCCGCAGGAGGGGGAGTGGGTCTCCCTTCCCAGCCAGCGAGCTGCCTGTCTGAGGCTGAGCGCATTTTATCTGCACATGTTAAACAGGGAGCCGGCACTGAAGGCAGACGGAGCCTCGTTTGCGGTCGCGGAGTCCTAGTTAACAATAGCAGGCTCACACCTGCTCCTTGCTGATGCTGGAACCTACTACTTTGGGCTCAGCGCCCTGCAGCAGTGAGGAGATAAAGCTGGTTCTTGTAGCTCCACCGCATGAATAGGTGACAGGAAAAAAAAAATCATTAGTTGTGTGTGCGTCTTCGAAGCAGTTTCATTTCTCAGCCATCTAGACAGAATTCTAGTTTGGTAATTAGGGCCCCGTTTTAAGCTGCTGGGCCTTTTTTATTTAACAGACATGATTTAGCCCAGACTTTCGCCCGTGAATGAGGCCCTGACTCCAAAGTTTAAATGAGTCCTGGCTCAGCAAAACGTTAGAAACTTGAGCTGAACCAAGAGTCTATGTAAAGTTCTAGAGCTAAAAATCCGAGTGCAGGGCCCCCTGAAAATGAAATGAGGTTGGTTGGGGGCAGGGAGTAGGGAGATGGAGATGGAGAAAAAGCCACTCCCTCCCCCACCGCCCCTTCCCCCACCCAGTGCTGTGGAATGATCTCCGGCGCGGGCCTACAGCTCACTCACAGGGCTAGTTAGCATGCGCCCAACGCAGCCTTCTCCGTTGCTGGCCTTTGAGGAAGCTGCGGGTCTTGCCAAAGGCCCAGTGCACTGATTTTGAAATGCATCCAGCCCAGTTGCCATTTACTCTGCTCCTTCATTTACATCTCTGTGCAAAATGTCAGCAGCCTGACTGGAGCTCCAGGCCTCAAGTGTTTGCTGGGCCCAGGCTTTTCATACCCCTGAGAAAAAGGAGCCTTGGAAACTCTTCCCAGGCCCCTGGGCAGCTGTGCTCTTCGGGTTTGCACAATACCTGCAGGCCAGCTCTGGATGCCTCCGCATCACCAGAGGGCTACAGCCGAGATGGCAAGAGCAGTCACCATAGCAACCTTCCCCATTGTGCTTGCCCTGGGCTGGGCCTGGCGCTGAGAGCCATGCCTGCATCATTTCATCTGATCCTCACAATGGCCCTACGAGGAAGGACTATCCCTGCCCCTGTCATTCAGAGGAGAAAACATGCTTTGAGATAAATACCGTCCATCTTCATTATTTATGGATTCTGTATTTGCAAAATCATCTACCCGCTCAAATTTATGTGTAATTCCAAAATCAATACTCGAAGCGCTTTCCAGTGATTTCTGGATACGTGTAAGGGAAGGAAAAATTTGAGTCACCTGATGTTTAGTTCTCACGATGCTAATAAAGACATACCTGAGACTGGGTAATTTACAAGGGAAAGAGATTTAATTGACTCACAGTTCAGCATGGCTGGGGAAGCCTCAGGAAACTTACAATCATGGTGAAAGGGGAAGCAAACACGTCCTTCTTCACATGGTGGCAGCAAGGAGAAGCCAAGCAAAAGGGGCAAAAGCAGCCAGGTGCAGTGGCTCATGCCTGTAATTCCAGCACTTTGGGAGGCCAAGGCAGGTAGATCACGAGGTCAGGAGTTCAAGACCAGCCTGGCCAACATGGTGAAACTTCATCTCTACTAAAAAATGAACAATACAAAAATTAGTCAGGTGTGGTGGTAGGCACCTGTAATCCCAGCCACTTGGGAGGCTGAGGCAGGAGAATCACTTGAAGCCAGGAGGTGGAGATTGCAGTGAGCCAAGATGCGCCACTGCACTCCAGCCTGGGCAACAGAGCAAGACTCTATCTCAAAAAAAAAAAAAAAGGGAGGGAAAAGAAAACCCCTTATAAAGCCATCAGATCTCATGAGAACTCACTCACTATCATGAGAACATCACCAGGTTCCTCCCACCACACGTGGGGATTATGAGAACTACAAGATGAGATTCGTTTGGGGACACAGCCAAACCATATCACCCAATGTGCATGTTTCCAGCTGAAGGGGAATGAGGCGACAGTCTCCCATCTTGTTTCAGCCCTCATCCTGGAAGCCAGGGTCATTTTTTGCAGTCTATTTAGTGTCTTGTTTTTCACATTTGTGTGCTTTTTGTTTGTTAATGAAAAGAGTCCAACTCTGTAAAATATTAGATTTATTCTGAGCCAAATATAAGTCACCTATGGCCCATGACACAGCCCTCAGGAGATCCTGAGACCATGTTCCCAAAGTGGTCAGGCCACAACTTGGTTTTGTACATTTTAGGGAGACACAGTTATCAATCAATACATGTATGATGTACATTGAAGTTGAGGGGGCCGGGGGAGCTTCCAAGTCGTCGGTGGATTCAAAGATTTTCTGATTGGCACTTGGTTGAGAGAGTTATTATCAATAGAAAGGAATGTCTGGATTATGAGAAGGGGTTATGGAGACCAAGACTTTATCATGCAGACGAAGCCTCCAGGTAGCAGGCTTGAGTGAGAACACATTGTAAATATTTTTATCAGACTTGAAGAGACTGCCCTATCAGTAATCCCAACAGGGAGGAGGGTAGCATGAGGCATGTCCAGCGCCCCCTTCCCATCATGGCCTGAACTCATTTTTTTATGTTCACTTTGGAATGCCCTTGACTGAGAGGAGGGGTCCATTTCAGATGGTTGGAGGGCCTTAGAATTTTATTTTTGGGTTTACATGTTGGTGATTTTGCTGTTTAAAATGGCCCAAGCTGGATCACCTGAGGTCAGGAGTTCGAGACCAGCCTGGGCAACATGGTGAAACCCTGTCTCTACTAAAAATACAAAAATTTAGTCGAGTGTGGTGGCAGGCACCTGTAATCCCAGCTACTCAGGAGGCTGAGGCAGAAGAATCGCTTGAACCCGGGAGGCAGACATTGCAGTGAGCCGAGATCGTGCCACTGCACTCCAGCCTGGGCGACAGAGAGACTCCATCTCAAAAACAAAACAAAACAAAACAAAACAAAACTATATATATAAAATAAAATGGCCGAAGCATAGGGCTGAAGTGCTGTCTAGTGTTCCTAACCACCACAAGGCTGGGATGTGCCTCATGGGTAAAAACATATGTGTTAGATAAGCATTTTTCAGGGATGAGCTCTAGTGCTGTTGCCCGTGAGTTCCTCTTAATGACTCAACAAGGTATGTTAAACAAGGTATCTCTAAACAGAAGCATACATGAAACAAGGTTGAATACTGGTGGGTTAATGAAAATATTGTGACCAGAGGTTCCCAGGAAACTTACCTTGTATTTCCCCTAGGAAAAACGGTTCACTATTCACTAATTCAGTGTTTATGGCTTCTTCACAGAACATAACTCCTGCAAATAATGAAAATCCCCTGTAACTTGACAAAGGTTACAGAGCTAATACTTAAACCCAGGCCTTTTTTCACTCCAGAGCCCATGCTTTTGACCTCTGCAACACTTCTCGGTTGTATAGTCCTGAGCAAATAATTTAACTTCTGGAAGCCCCAGTTTCCTCCTCTGTAATAGCATCTTCCTCCTTGGATTTAATGAGATTGAATGAGATGCTGCATGGAACCCTCACAGTTGGCACAGTACTTGCACATGCAAGAGCCCAGTCTGTAATCTGTTAGGGGTGAGACAATAACAGTGATGTCCTCCCACATCTCCACTGACAACACAGCGTATATGCAAGATGCTTTCTTTGAGGACTTCCCCCACCACCATTGCTGCAAATTTCCTTTAGTTTAATAGTGCTCCAGAAGCCTGCCATTTAAAAACCAAGTGCAGGCCAGGCACCGTGGTTCACGCGAGTAATCCCAGCACTTTGGGAGGCCGAGGTGGGAGGATCACTTGAGCCCAGGAGTTCAAGACCAGCCTGGGCAACATGGCAAAACCTTGTCTGTACAAAAATTCCAAAAATTAGTTGGACATGGTGGTGCACACCTCTAGTCCCAGCTACTCGGGAGGCTGAGGTGGGAGGATCGCTTAAACCTGGGAGGTCAAAACCGCAGTGAGCTGTGATTGCACCACTGCACTCCAGCCTGTCTCAAAAAGTAAAAAATAAAAACCGAGTAGAGTTGGGTAGTCCGGAATAAGAAAGAGCCTGAACAATGCCTTTTAGGCATGTATTTCAAAATCATTTTTGTTAGTGTAATAGGAAGCAATGTCTGGGGTAAATGTCTTTCCTTTTTATTACCATTCTGCTTTTATAATAGACAGATTACTAAATTAATGTGTTACCCACCATTCCCGACAATTAGCTTTAAAAACATCTCTTGGAGGCCAAGCTCTTGTATGCCAGGTTTCATGCTGAGAAGCTTTGCATAGCTGCAATATAAATAAATCTCCGTGAAAAGGTGCTTGCAGTAGAACTTCTAAAAGTATCGCCTGTAAGCATTGAGGTACTTCAAAAACACTGCTTCATCATCATTCCAACACTGCAGCCTGAAGGCAGGGTTATTTTAGGAGTGTTTGCAGGATAATATTTTATAGGTAGATGTGAGATGCCTTTCTTCTCACATCTGATCTTTGTCTTTCTACATTACACATTGATCTTTGTCTTTCTACAAAGCCTGGGTGAGGTTGCATAATATTCATTTGAGAGAGGGGACTTCAGTCCCTTTCAGGGTAATGACAGGGAGATTGAGGCCTGACAGAGGGCCATTACGGCTGGTTCAAGACTCTCTAGTTGAGTGGCAGCCAGATGAGGACTAGGATTGCTAGAGATCCCCAGGTGGCTGGCACTGCCATTTGTACAAGAAGAAATGGAGGAGGCGAGAAAGACAGAGTTGTGTGGATCCCCAGCTATGCTTCCCACAGAGAAGCCTGAGACCTTCCATCTTGTTTTTCCTACCTTCATCTCAGATGGTGCCCTGGGGTTCCTCTGAGGGTTCCTTCTGGTTCCTTCTTCCTTGGAGAGCTTTCTGGTTTCTTTCAGCTGCTGTGACTCACCTTGAAGGAAAAGTATGTGGGAAGTGAGGCTGCTTTCTTATAAACACTATTTGCCTTCTTGAGAATTTGTCCATACTGTGCACAGAGGGATGTCTTCCTACCAATACCTCCCGACCACACTGTGTGTTGCTCGGCAGGGACCCCACTCACTGGGTCATATGGTCATTTTATGTTTAACTTTTTAAGAAACTAACAAACTGCTCCAAGGGGTCTGCCCCATTTTACATTCCCATCAGCAATGTCTGAGGTTTCCCATTTCTGCTCATCCTCATAGACACTTGGAATTGTCTTTTATTAGAACCCATTCTAGTGGGCGTGAACTGATATCTCACTGTGGTTTTGATTTGCACTTGCCTGATGAATAATGATGTCCAGCATCTTTTCACATGCTTGTGGCCATTTACAAATTTTTTTGGTGAATTACCTATTCATATCTCTTGCCCACGTTTTTTTGTTTGTTTGTTTGTTTTTTCCTCCATGCCATGATTCTGTATCCTTTTTTAATTGGGCTGTTTGTCTTACTGAGTTGTAAAAGAGTGTTTTTTAATACAAATTCCAGAAACAAGTCCTTTATTACATACATTTTGGCAGATATTTTCTCCCAGTCTATTACTTGTCTTTCCACTTTCTTAATGGTGTCTTTTGAAGCACAAAAGTTTAGAACTTTGAGGTTAAGTTTGTGATTTTTCTTTTCTTTTGTGAACTATGCTATTGGTGTGATATTTAAGAAATCTTTGCCCAACCCAAGGCCTCAAAGATTCTGTCCCATGTTTTCTTCTAGCATGTGTATGGATTGCTCTTACCCTTAAGCCTATGTGGATAGGCTTATTGCACGTAGATACTCAAATGTTTCCACACTCTTTGCTGGGCGGAACCATGGGCCCCACTCTTGATTTCACTTCTTCTTCTCTCCACAGATCTGCAAAGCCCCTGAGCCCAAAACAGTCTCCTACTGCAGCCCGTCCGTGCCCGTGCACTTTAACATCCAGCAGGACTGCGGCCACTTCGTCGCCTCGGTGCCGTCCAGCATGCTCAGCTCCCCCGACGCGCCCAAGGACCCTGTGCCTGCCCTGCCCACACACCCCCCTGCCCAGGAGCAGGACTGCGTGGTGGTCATCACCCGAGAGGTGCCACATCAGACCGCCTCCGACTTCGTGCGGGACTCGGCGGCCAGCCACCAGGCGGAGCCCGAGGCGTACGAGCGGCGCGTGTGCTTCCTGCTTCTGCAACTCTGCAACGGGCTGGAGCACCTGAAGGAGCACGGGATCATCCACCGGGACCTGTGCCTGGAGAACCTGCTGCTGGTGCACTGCACCCTCCAGGCCGGCCCCGGGCCCGCCCCCGCCCCCGCCCCGGCTCCCGCCCCCGCCGCCGCCGCGCCTCCCTGCTCCTCTGCCGCCCCGCCTGCTGGTGGCACTCTCAGCCCCGCAGCCGGCCCCGCCTCCCCGGAAGGGCCCCGGGAGAAGCAGCTGCCCCGGCTCATCATCAGCAACTTTTTGAAGGCCAAGCAGAAGCCGGGCGGCACCCCAAACCTGCAGCAGAAGAAGAGCCAGGCCCGGCTGGCCCCCGAGATCGTGTCTGCTTCCCAGTACCGCAAGTTCGATGAGTTCCAGACAGGCATCCTCATCTACGAGCTGCTGCACCAACCCAACCCGTTCGAGGTGCGCGCCCAGCTGCGGGAGAGAGACTACCGGCAGGAGGACCTGCCGCCGCTGCCCGCGCTGTCCCTCTACTCACCCGGCCTGCAGCAGCTGGCACATCTGCTACTGGAGGCCGACCCCATCAAGCGTATCCGCATCGGCGAGGCCAAGCGCGTGCTGCAGTGCCTGCTGTGGGGGCCTCGGCGCGAGCTGGTGCAGCAGCCGGGCACCTCGGAGGAGGCGCTGTGCGGCACGCTGCACAACTGGATCGACATGAAGCGGGCCCTGATGATGATGAAGTTTGCGGAGAAGGCGGTGGATCGCAGGCGGGGCGTGGAGCTGGAGGACTGGCTTTGCTGCCAGTACCTGGCGTCTGCGGAGCCCGGGGCCCTCTTACAGTCGCTGAAGCTCCTGCAGCTTCTGTGAGCCAAGCCCCAGCCTGCACCGTCGCTGCCCCTTCCCTGCCTAACCCTTTCCTGTCTCGCCTTGGAAGCACCCATGTCTCCCTGGGAAATGGTACAGATGACTGGGATACCTGGATGTAAAATATATAAATATATATATAGAAAATACATATACCATATATAAATATGAAAGACTAAGGATGCTGTTGCCCGTCCACACTCGTCTCCTCTCTGCACTAAGTCCTCCCTGTTTTCTTCTGTAATTATACACATTTCCAGTTCCATGCAACGTCCTGAGGACAGTTCTGTGAACTGAATGCAGCCTGGACACTGGCCTCAATACCTTGTTTAGGATTTCTTCACCCTTTTGTCAAATTGTTATTTAAAGAAAAAAAAAAAAGAAGAAAATTCCATTAAAATTTTTTTTGGTTGAGTCATGAGCAAAGCTCTTTATCCTTAAGTGCCTGAGTGTATTAATATGTTTGGTGGGTAAAACGGAGCTGTCTTTGGTCTTAACGCTTTTCAGGAGATAGAGCAGCAGTCTGCAAAGGACCAGGCAAGTGGGTACCAATTCATCTTCCCTGTTTCTCTTCCCACCTGGCAGCCTTCTGGAAAGAATCCAGACACAGCCGCTGTGATCCCAGTGGTTTGGAATTCAAACCCATTTCCAGTTTGCTAAAGCTGGTTGCCATTTGTAAAATTCAGAGACGTGCCTGAAAACAGAGTCCACCCCAGATGGCTCAGATGAAAAGAACTTAAGGGGACCACTTAGCTAGGTGTGATCAGGGTTATGAGAACAAAGGGTGACAAGGCCAAAAGCAAGGGCCAGAACAGCAGGACAGGGGAACATACAGGAGGTATTCGCGCTGAGATCTCTACAGCCGGAGATGGGAGTCTCTGTTTCCCATCTGTCATCTCCAACCTAATAGGATGCCAGACAGCAAGGGACCTTGGGTGATGCAGTCTGGAGGATCAGCCTCCTGGGGCAGGGAGGAGGGAGAGAATGCATGGGACGCCAGGTGGCAAACGGCCCACTGTTCCTACCGTACTAGATACTGGCAGGGCAAGCATAGAATTCAGGTGTTTCAACTCCCAGGCCAGTACTCCCTCTGCTGTTCGGGCCTCCTTCAAGTCTCCTTTTCTAAAACCTCATTTAACGCACCCATTGGCACCTACAGCTTACTGGAGTCAATGTTTGTTACTATGCCTTTAAAAACACACAAGGAAAATTAGGAGGCATCAGATCTTTCCTCCTCAAAACTAGACACAGGCACGAAAGTCAAAAATTACCTATTTGAAGAGAAATAGCCCCAAGACTCTTGTATTTCTACCTAATGGGTAATCTTCCAACTACAGAACTAATTGATTTCTAAAACCTTGTGAATAACTCTGGACAAATTAAAACAAATACAAAGATCTGAATGGATGTTTTAGAAACCTGGGGATGCACTTAGCAGGAAGGATAGGGAACTCTCCCAGGTCCTCTTCTGCATATTAATTTCAATCCTTTTGTGAGTTCCACCTTCCAGCCCCTGACTACATGTAAACACATTCATCTTTCCATGCATCGTTGGTGAAGACAGCACCTGGGGCGCATTTGTAATTTCAATTGTTTCCTGAGCATTGAGGAAAGAACTGAACCAAAACCAGCTCCCAACCCGTTTGTACAAGAGAAGGAGTCTGCAAACGTGGAAATCATATTTCTCCCCAGGACCTATCTGTTTCGGGGGGGCATTATTTGCCAGTTCTTTCTTTGTCCCTCGGAATTTTCCAGGCAAACCTTCTGCCATCAATTTGCTGTCTTTTGCTTTTTTGTCCTTTTTCACTTCAAGTAAATAAACAATGGAGAGGGAGGAGCAAATATTCTGACAGGGGAATGCAGTGCCATTAGAAAATAAGGCCCAGCGTGGTGGCTCATGCCTGTAATCCCAGCAATTTGGGAGGCCAAGACATGTCAATCACCTAAGGTCAGGAGCTTGAGACCAGCCTGGCCAACATGGAGAAACCCTGTCTCTACTAAAAATACAAAAATTAGGTGGGTGTGCATGCCTGTAATCCCAGCTACTCAGGAGGCTGAAGCAGGAGAATCACTTGAACCCAGGAGGTGGAGGTTACGGTGAGCCAAGATCATACCACTGCATTCCAGCTTGGGTAACAAGAGTGAGACTCTATCAAAAAAAAGAAGAAAGAGAAGAAAAGAAAAGAAAGAAAAAGAAAGAAATAAAGGAAAAAAGAGAAAGAAAGAGAAAAAAAGAAAGGGAAAGAAAGAAAGAAGGAGAGAGAAAGAAAGAAAGAAAGAAATGTCTTAGGAGCCACATTTTTAATTCCTGAATTAATTGCAACTTTTTTATACCACCCACTTCAGAAAAAAAAAATGAGGTTGTAAAAACTGTTCTAAGAACCAACATGAACCAAAAAATAAAGGATAAAGAAGAAACAATAGCAATAAATTCTGAATGAGAGGAATAAGAGCAATTAAACATAAAACTTACTTCTGAGCTGTCCACCAACCTATAAAAAGAAAACTGGTTGCAGAATTCTTTTTTGTGTGCAATTTTAGGAAACAGTTCGTCAGAAGGAAGAAATTTTTGCCCAGTGCTTGGTTCTGAAGGAAATTTGTCAAGGATTCTTTGTTTGAAGACATTGAATAATGCCCCAATAGCAGTTTTAAAAAGAAAAAAAAAAAAAAAGAATTTTTTGAACATAGGTGTCATGAGCGATGCCAGGTTAAAAATAACCAGGTCCACACATGCTTGTGTCTTTCCAGAATGTCAGGCTTTTATTGATGCTAATTCAGTCACAAAAGCCAGAGGCTACATGGAGTTCCCAAGGAAGCAATTCTCTTTAGTACCTCCTGTTCTCTTGGTAGTCAGAGCCGCAGGCACACAGGCTTGAGCCACTCCACAAGTCAGTCAATATGGGAAACCATACATAATAGTATGCTTAATCAATATACATATATTACAGATTAAACATTCCACAATAAACAAAGTAGCATTGAACATGAAGAGGAGAAAGAGATAGGAGAAAGGTTAAGGAACCAGTCCAGTGGGAGCAGGTCAGTCTTGCAAGGAAAAGTGTTTGAGGTGGCAGAAGCAGATGCCAAGTTCTTATCATGAGTGACTGCAAGACAGTATCAGTTAAGACAGCCCCATTTCGAGCTGCTGAAGGCCTGACATTTTAAAGTCACAGAGGCCTCTGGTGAGAACTGATCTTGGACGAGTGTCCTTGTTTGTGTCTTTATCTGATTGGATGCAATCTTTATCTTTTTTATTTATTAAACAAAACATCTTATCCTTGTTGGCAAAGTGCCCTCTGAAACATAAAATGAAGTCTTATTCTAAGATGGAGTTTGTTATATCAAGGGTACTCTATACAATAGGGCATTTTTTTATCGCTACCATTGGTGAAGTTTAAATATGGAGTGTTAAAATCTAGTTTCCTCAAGTTCTCTGGAAATGCTTGCCTACTCACTCCTCTCCGTGGATTGGCCTTTTCCATAAATGATTAGTCATGTGGCTGTAAATATTAGGTTTAGCAAACAACTTCATTCGCACTAAATTCAGAGGTTCAATATAACTGGTTTTTTGTTACTTCAAAATACACCTAGGCTGCATGGCTTTGTCTCACAGAAGACTCTAGCATGATATCCATTATGCCCAGAAACGATAGTTTGTTCTGCAGGACTGAGGTTCAGAAATAATCAGGGACTTTTGTACGAGGACAGTTGCAGGATCTGGCAATTTAATACTCCTGTTATCAGTGAGTTCATCTCCCATTTTTCTTGGCTCTAAACCCAACTACTGGTATTTAAATCTCCAGTTTTTCTTCTCTCCCACTGAGTCAAGTCACCCCCATTATGTTTTCCACATACGTAATTTTTGTTGTTTGTAAGCCATTCTCATTTTCATGCCAAGATGTGGAATCGTTTTTCTTCTAATTTTTTTAATGTAGGCGTTATAAAGCCTCATATCTAAATAGTTATATCCTTGCCAGAAGCCAGATAAGCGCTTTAGGGATTATTTATTTATCATAACATATGGCTCAGATCTGAAAAGACTGGTTTTGGGGAGCTGTAGTTACCACTTTATATAACACTTCATGGTTTCCAAGAGCTTAGAGCTGAAAAAACTCTTTTGAGATGTACGCGTGTACATAAAATAATTATAAAGATTTTCTAAAAAGAAGACACATGTTACTTTAGTGAGTTCTAAATTTGCGCTTAAAATACAGTCAACAAATGAAGCAGCCCTTTTCTGCTCTGTTGAATATCTGAAAACCTTTGGAGATCTAAAGATTAGCTTACCAAATCCCACTAAAAATAGTAGATTTGTAACATAAAACCAACTTGCCATTTTTAAGAGATGGTGATGTGAATGGAATTTATTTATTAGAAATCAAAGTTTAACCCAGCTGATGTCATTGTTGAAAAAAAAAAAAAAAGCAAGAATAAAATGGTTGGAACAAGTACCATGGGATGATTGTCTTGACAATTACCCTTTCTTTCTTTTTTCCAGTGCTAATTAATGCAGGCAATGGGGCAACCTCCCTGTAAAAGATATCCTAGGAGGAGGAACTGCACCCCGGGAAAGTGGTCAGGAGGTAACCCGATGGACTCTAGGGTTCCAGAAAAAGAGTCCAAATTCACTCAAAAGTGATATTGTTGGTTTAGGGGACTCTGGGGTTGGGCCAGAACATCTGTGACCAATGTGGATCCTTACCAGATCCAGGATACTCAGTCTTGTCTGATCTGGATCTTTTCTCCCAGAAGTTGACTACATCCATGCCAAGCTTATGGAACTGGGGAAGGAAGGTCAAGTTCACTCGAGATTTTTCTGCGTGTCAACAGGCTGACTTTGTATTGCATTATCCCTGGGGAGTTTGAACATAGACATTGATCACATATTCTAAATGTTAGACTCAAATATTTCCAGCTCCTATGCCAGAGGTGATTACAGCTATTTCCTAAAAAAATACTGCCCTAGACACCAGATGGGCTGAGATTGTGAAGATGTTTGTGCACTGTAACAAACTTAAAGGTTACTCTGCAGACTTCTGCTTTACTGCCTTATTAGGGCAAAGCAGACATGGAGACAGGTTGAGGGAATTGAATGTGGAGGTCTAAGGAGAGAAGACAAGGCGGGAATTGAGAACACAAGATTCGAAGACAAACTACCTGCTCTATTCGGTTGGTGCAAAAGTTATTGTGGCCTTTGCCATTACTTTTTAATTACTTTTAATGCAAAAACAGCAATAGCCTTTGCACCAATTTAATATCATATGCATGGATCCAGCCCCGGTGACTTTCCACAATCCTGAAAAGGTAATCAGGCCTTCACTCCTTTACTAGGATTACACAGACATTTGTATGTCCATTATTTTCTCAAAGATTTCCAGGAATGAGGAAGCTGTAACCATTTCCTCTTTTCTAGATTGTGTAGAGTTCAATTTCAGAACTTACAGCAGATTCTGTAAAAAGTCAGAAAGACTTTAACAACTGAGCCTCTTATTTAAACCCTTTATTTACTGGCCATTCCCACCACCACAATGACATAAGCAAGTTCTGGTTTTCCTAAAAGAGAAGCGGATTTTCTTTTTCCTACCCCTCAGCTTTGTTGGTTTTATTTATTTGAGTAGGCAAGCCCTAACATGGCACTCAAAGATAAAACTATCCAACAGGTGTACTCAGGGCTGGGCACAGTGGCTCACGCCTGTAACAGCATTTTGGAAGGCCAAAGCTATAATCCCAACACTTTGGGAGGCCAAGAATTGCTTGACGTTGGAGACCAGCCCTGGGCAATTTTGGGAGACTCTGTCTCTACAAAAAAATAAAAAACAAAAAAATTAGCCAGGCATGGTGGCACACACCTGTAGTCCTAGCTACTCACCTCCAGTGAGGTGAGAGGATCCCTGGATCCCGAACGATCAAAGCTGCAGTGAGCTAGGATGGTGCTACTGTACTCCAGCTTGGGCAACAGAGAGACAGAGAAAGGCTGTCTAAAAAAAAAGAAAAAAAAGGATGCTCAGAGCACTCAGAGCAGGTATCAATCCTCCATGCTTTCTCCTCCATGCCATTTTCCCCTCCTTTCCCCTGTGAGCACCCACCCGCTGTGGTCACCAAAGTCACCAGTTTCTGCTTGATCCTTCCTGTGTTTGTTCACAAATGAGCAGATACAAGTATATCTTTCTTTCTTACACGGAAGTTACCATGCCTGAGATGCCAGAGCGCTTTGCTTTCCTCACTTAGCAGTATGTCAACAAGAACTTTCTTTCTTTTCTTTTCTTTTTTTTTTTTTTTTTTATTTTTTTGACACAGAGTTTTGCTCTTCTTGCCCAGGCTGGAGTGCAATGGTGCAATCTCTGCTCACTGCAACCCCCTTCTCTGGGGTTCAAGCAATTGTCCTACCTCAGCCTCAGGGGTTCAAGCAATTATCCTGCCTCAGCCTCCCGAGTAGCTGGGATTACAGGCATGTGCCACCACACCCGGCTTATTTTGTATTTTTAGTAGAGATGGGGTTTCTCCATGTTGGTCAGGCTGGTCTCGAGCTCCCAACCTCGGGTGATCTGCCCGCCTCAGCCTCCCAAAGTGCTGGGATTACAGGTGTGAGCCACCGTGCCCAGCCGGAACTTTCTTAAAGAGAAGTGACTTGATTTCTCCCCTGAGTTAGGGAATTGACAGGTTTCATCACCTTTTCCCCAGGCATTAAAACGTCATTTGCACTGCTTGGAGAGCATTAACTCATCAAAAATTTAATGATCTCTTATTGGTATTGCTCCTTGTTTTTGGTCTTAGGACAACTCATTTAATTTCCATTGGGAGATACAGACTCTTTTTCTTCCCAGATGGAAGTCCTGAGGCTTGCTCTAAAATGCAGTTAACATTGGCAGCAGAGCCCTGAGTTAATGATAAAATTCACCCTCAGGCCCTTACTAGTCCCTGGAGTGACTCTGCTAGTCTTTGCACTTGCAACTCAACACTTCTTTGACAAGGTCTGCATTGGTCCCTTGTGGCAAACCCAACCTGGTGCCTATGGCCGGTTCTCCAAGGAAAATGCTTCAGGATGATCTTTCAGAGATAGTGTTTAAGGAAGAGCAAGGTTGTGCTACTCTGTGCCTTGGCTTTTCTGTGCCTCCAGTGTGGTCATTTCTTTCCATGACTTTAGAGAGCTGCAATGTAAGCAACAAGGACTCCACTCATTGAAATAGTTCATGGAACTTGGAGTCAGCTCTTGAACAATAGAAGCCTGATGCTGTTAGTCTTGGCTGAGTACAACATGAGTCATGTGCTGTTTCAAGTACCCAACTGAACATGGGTAGAAAGAAGGGGCTCCCTGGGTGACAGCCAGTGGAACAATTCCATGTGGAGATAGGGTTGGGGGAATGAGGTGGGGTGGGGGCTGCGCTCCCAGCACAGGAAGCAGACAAGGGTGCAGATCAGCCTGCCTTCCCGGTCAGTGCCGACTGTGCCCTGCAGCCGGGGTTGGCAGACACCTCCCAACTATGAGTCACACATTTGATCACAGCGTTCATCCTGCAGACAGGCCTCACTGGAACCAGCTGCTGGGCCCTGGCCTATTACCCAACTACCCCCTTTGTTTCATCTCTGAAAAGGCAACAGTTCATTGGAGAAAGAGTCAAAATGAAGAAAACCAAGGGCAATGTTAAATGGCTATGGCAGTCATTCATTCTTTTGGTAGGATATTCACTTCTATTTTTTTTTTTCTGAGATAGAGCCTTGCTCCATTGCCCAGATGGAGTGCAGTGGTATGATCATAGCTCACTGCAGCCTTGACTTCCTGGGCTCAAGTGATCCTCCGACTTCAGCCTTCCAAGTAGCTGGGGCTGCATGTTCATGCCACCATACCAGACTAATTTTTTGTAGACATGGGGGTCTCACTAAGTTGCCCAGGCTGGTCCAGAACTCCTGGTTTCAAGCCATCCTCCCACCTCCATCACCCAAAGTGCTGGGATTGGAGGTGTGAGCCACCACATCCAGCCCAAGATAACCATTTCTAAACAACACCTGTCACAGGTGCTCTCATAAAACGGCTTTTCACTGGGGCACAGGCCTCTGGTAGCAGTTTGATGGAGGGTTGGAATCATGACCTTCAGTTGGACAGGCCTGGTGAGGTCTGGAGTGTTTCCCTTGTGGTAACTCTAAAGTTATTGGGAAGGAAAGGAAATAATGCAGGAGACAGACAGTGAATATTCCTGCAGAGATGTTAAGAGCATAATACAAGCCCTGATAATGGCCACAGCTGGGCTCTGCGGGGTATCTGTGTTTCTGTAAATGGACACTACTCAGTTTAGCAAACGGAAAGTGGCATTACATCCGGGTCCTCTGTCTCATTTTCATTCACAGATCCCTGTGGGCTGAGCACTGAGGAAGGAATTCATTAATGCCGCTGACCTGTCATTCAAAGACTCCCTGGGTTGCTTGAACAGAAGATTTTAGTTTGGTGTCTGATGACAATGTTGGAAAACTATGAATGACAGAATAAGAGTGTCTTTGTTTACTTGACTTCTCTGCTCCAAGATTTAAAGTCTTGTTATTTGAAATATTATTTTACCTTCTTAAAACATTCCTCTGATATATGGAGAAATCTAGAAAGATAATCTCTATTTTAAGAGAAAATTAAGGTGTGGAAAAGTGAAATGATAAGTGAAGTGTAAATTCAGGACTAGAGTCTAGGCTGCATGCCTTCCATTCTCTACTAAGTACACTGTACCTCCATGTGTATACCCCAGTGTTTACTGGCTACCCATCAGCATCTTGCCCGTCCTTCAGTTTTTTTTTTTTTTTTTTTTGGGATGGAGTCTCACTCTGCTGCCCAGGCTGGAGTGCAGTGGCATGAACTCAACTCACTGCAGCGGCATGATCTCAACTCACTGCAGCCTCCGTCTCCCGGCTTCAAGCAATTCTCCTGCTTCAGCCTCCCGAGTAGCTGGAATTATAGGTACCCACCACCACGACCGGTTAATTTTTGTATTTTTAGTAGAGATGGGGTTTTGCCATGTTAGCCAGGCTGGTCTCGAACTCCTGACCTCAGGTGATCCGCCCACCTTGGCCTCCCAAAGTGCTGAGATTACAGGCATGACCCGCCACACCCAGCCAGTCCTTCAATGTTTGGCTCAAGGCACACCTAATTCAAGAACATAGAGAGTAGAAGGATGGTTACCAGAGGCTGGGAAGGGTGGCAAGGGGCTCAATGCAGGGAGGTGACGATGGCTAACGGGTGCAAAGAAATAGCCAGAAAGAATAAAATCTACTATTTGATAGTATAACAGGTGACTATAGTCAATAATAACTTCATTGTACATTTGAAAATAGGGAGTGTCACTGGATTGTTTGTAACTTTAAGGATAAATGCTTGAGGGGATGGATACCTCATTTTCCATGATGTGCTTATTTCACATTGCACATAATATTTATCTCATGTACCCAATAAATATATACACTTACTATGTAGTCCCCAAAATTAAAAGCAATAAAAAAGAATAACTAATAAAAATAAAAATAAAAAAGTCCTCCCCTGCTTATGAAAGCTAGTGTCCCTTTCTCCTCTGCAATTATCCACTACTGCATCTCTCCGAACCTGGGAGGCAGGCAGTTTTTTAAAAATCTGAACATAAGTATATTCTTTGTCACTGAGTAGACTGTAGGACCATTGAGAGCAGTGACAATGTCCTACACGGCTTGCTCCCTCATTCCCTTGCCCCCTGCGTTGTATGCAGTAGGTGTTTAATAAATGTGTTGAGAACATTTATGATGATGCCTGGTTTTTAGTTAATGACTGTGTCAACCGCTTAAGAAGAATGATGTTCCACAAATGACACAGAGCTTTACAGTTGGCAAAACACTTTCATGTTCCTTATCGCCCAACAACCCTCTAAAGTCATACAACATCCTCACCTGTAGAGCATGACAGGGAGCCTCTGAGAGACAAAGCAACTTGCCAGAGAGTCCTTATGACTGGCTGGTGACAGGACTCAGATTGCAACCAAGGTCTTCTGTATTCAAACCCAATGTTCTGTCCACCCCAGCACAGCCTCGCCTCTGTTTCTGATGAATGGTGCCCCGGCCGTCACCCCAGGATCCACATAGCCTCTGTCTTTTCCACTAAAGCTGGTATTTACTTTTCCTGTATTGAGTGGCTTCCACTGCAAGAGTGACTATGTAGTGAGTGCTCTATTGGTGACATCCAAACTTGGGTTCACGGAGACATTTTCTATTTTCTTGGGCAGGTCATCCAAACACTATCTACCTCTCTGCAATGTGTAGCAATGAGGGGTGTCACAGATGCACACAAACTTTGTTACAACCATTTTCAGTTGCAATACCCTAAAGGCACTCCCAGGGTGATGAAGCCCCTCCAGCATCCTGGAGGGAGAATATTCTTTCTTGGTTTGTCTGCTCCATTCAACCCTGGACTATGCCAAGCTGCCCCACTGCTTAGAGGCCTTCTGGGGCTAGTCAGGTGGGCATGTGGGGGATTTCAAGGTGCTTGCCCAGTTTAGCCCCTGCCAGGACCTGCTGCAGGCTCTGCTCCTGCCCACCTGCCGCACCCCCAATCCTCCTAGGCAGCAAACCTGCAGGCAAGTGGCTGTGCCTCCACAATCACCTTCCCAAGTGACCCCCACCTCAGGCTTGTCAGTTTGGTGTCCAATTTCTAGCAGGACAGGTGGACAAAAGACGTAGTACCGTTCTGCTGCCAGACTGCTACAAAACATCACATTCCATTTTCTACACCAAACTACCAGGACAGAAAGGGAGCAAGAGTCCTCAAACCTCCCAAGCTGCTTATTTTTCCCTCTGTATTGTAAGATTTTTCTCCTTAAAACTGAGGCTGGGCTGAGTGCAGTTGCTCACGCCTGTAATCCCAGCTTTGGGAGGCTGAGGTGGATAGATCTCCTGAGTCAGGAGTTCGAGAGCAGCCTAGCCAACATGGCAAAAACCATCTCTACTAAAAATACAAAAATTAGCAAGGCATGGTGGCACATGCCTGTAGTTCCAGCTACTCCAGAGGCTGAAGCAGGGGAATTGCTTGAACCTAGGAGGCGGAGGTTGCAGAGAGCTGAGATTGCACCATTGCACTCTAGCCTAGGCAACAAAGTGAGACTCCGTCTCAAAAAAAAAAAAACAAAAAACAAAAACTGAGGCTGAGTGTTAATGAAACGCCAGCCTGATGAGCCACCTCAGGTTTACTCTGAGGCTGTCCCTGCACTACCAGGAACTGAACCTCTATCACGGGTCTCAGGTCAGCAAGATTTGGTGCTGAAAAGCATTGATACGGTTAGGCTTTGTGTCCCCACCCGAATCTCTTCTTGACTTGTAATCTGCAGGTGTTGAGGGAGAGACCTGGTGGGAGGAGATTGGATCATGGGGGCGGTTCCCCCCATACTGTTCTCATGATAGTGAGTGAATGCTCATGAAATCTGATGAAGCATCTGGCATTTCCCCTCCTTTCACTTCTCTCTCCTGCCGCCATGTGAAGAAGGTCCTTGCTTCCCCTTCACCTTCCGCCATGATTGTTAAGTTTCCTGTGGCTTCCCCAGCCATGTCGAACTGTGAGATAATTAAACCTCTTTCCATTATCAATTATCCAGTTTCAGGAAGTATCTTTATAGCAGCGTGAAAATGAACTAACATAGGCATGCTAGACACATAAGATAACTTAAAAGTTTGTCAGTGATTCTTAGGGAATATTGACAAAATTCCATGAGCAAAATATTCCATGTATGTAGGGTTAAATGCTCTCTAGGTTTCCCCAAATTTGGATCAGCTTTAAAAGATACACTTCTATTTCTTGGCTATGGATCATAGATTCCTTCTTTTTGGGATGTTTCCTAATGGTATGTTTTTATAGCAGGAATTTGGTTTTCCAAAATAATTCCTGAGAACTTATGGAACCTACTCCGGGGTCCCTGACAGCTACAGTTGGCAGGGTCCAGACCTTGGCCTAGTTTCTTTCCTATTTCTGGTCAGAAGGGTCTGTCAAAGTGAACTAAATCCTGGGCTGATTATTTCATCAGCCCCAGTAAAGGCATGTCTGAGTTCTGCCAGGAAGAATCTGGTTTCTGAAGCAACTTTCCTTTTAAAGTGCCAGGGTAAACGCTTCTGCCCAGACTCATGAAGCTTGCATTGCAGGAAGTAAAAATATGATAGCACAGCATCTTGGCAGAGAAGCTTTTCCCTGTCTCCTTAGCCTCCAAACAAATAGCTCTCTGGGGGAGTGATGTCTACATCAAAAGCTACTTGTCGCTCAGTGGGCCTCCCAGAGGGAGAACTGTTTATTTTGGCTGTGACTGAAAATATTTTCTATGTCCAGAGCTGGGGGCTGCCTGCAATGGGCTCTTTCTGGCAGCAACAGGGCAGATTTGTGGTTGCCATGCCTTTTCCCTGGCTCCCATTATCCAGAAAGATCAGAGAAAGTTAAGACAAGAAATCCAACCATCTCTCCAAGGGCCATCAACATGAACTGAAAATCTCCGAAAAAGGGCTGAGGCTACTGGGTATGGCAAAAGGCCATAGAACCTCTTCTTAGTCCTCTGGCAAAGTTGGTAATATCTGCTTCTGGGTAAAATCTAGGATCTCGAGGTCGGCTAAAATTCAATTTTTTAAAAATAGCACATAAAAGGTAGAAATATGTAAGTCTTACTATTTGACTTGTTCTCATATCCACAGTCCTCCTCAGGAAATTTGTCTGCGCTCAAAAGTAAATGAAACATGACAAGCCAGAATCCTGGAGTGAGAAGTCATGCTTTCTCTTTGTCAATTACTGAGCTATAATGTGATCACTGTTTAATGTCCCCAACTGTAAACAATGTCCTCAGTCACTGCTTTTTTCACTGATAGAAATCTGTAACCTTGTGCAGTTATTAAGAGCTATGATAACCTCAGAAAGTTTTCCCAAATCACTTTTTACAGCCAGGTAAGACTCTCACTCTCAGTTTGTGTACCACCTGTCCAGCCTCCTTAGTAAGGAACAGGGTAGCCTGTTGGACCATTCATCAGTTGATGCACCTCTGGGTTGTCCACTCTTTGGCTGTCATGAATAAAATTGCTTTGAACATTCACATACAAGTGTTTGTATGAACATGTATTTTCGGCCGGGCACAGTGGCTTACACCTGTAATTCCAGCACTTTGGGAGGCCAAAATAGTCAGATCATTTAAGGCTGGGAGTTTGAGACCAACCTGGCCAAAATGGTGAAACCCCTTGTCTACTAAAAATACTAAAATTAGCCAGACGTGGTGGTAGTTGCCTATAGTCCCAGCTACTCAGGAGGCTGAGGCACAAGAATCGCTTGAACCTGGGAGGTGGAGTTTGCAGTGAGCCGAGATCACACCACTGCGCTCCAGCCTGGGTGACGGAGTGAAACTCTGTCTCAAAAACACAACAAAAAAAATCTATTTTCATCTCTTTTTGGTATATACCTTGAAGAGGAATTACTGGGGCATGTCTTAGGTTTTTAAAGCATTTTCATCTTGTAATCCAGACAGCAAGTTCTGCTGTCCACATTTAAAAGGTGAGGAAACTGAAATTCAAGGGGTTGACTTACCTGTGTAAGGGATGATTGTCTAGTCCTGTCTTTTGACTTTCAGTTCATTAGACTGGTAGATGGAATAACTGAAAGAGAATAAGTTGGTTGGTCTTTCCAAGATCACCCAAAAGATTTAGTTTAATGAAGAAAAAGAATGATCTTGAGTTTACAATATTCTTTCTCCCAGTCCTAGAGTATAACTGGGAGCCTCATAGAGTTCTTTGGCTTGTAGACTGAACTTAAGTCAGAAAATGAAGTGTTTTATGACTGTCAATTTTCAATCAAAGTTTGAAGTATACAAGACAGTCTGAAGGGGAGCCACTTTTAAAGACAATCACACACACACACACACACACACACACACAAAAAAAAAAAGAAAAAAAAAAAAACCAAGAACAAGACAAGGTCTCTTTATTCCCTTTGCTGTTTTGCTAATTAAACTGCATGGTTACCTCTGCTTTCTGCCAGGCATTACAAGTTGATGTCTTGAGGGTTGCCTTTGGTAAAACATTAACTTTAAGCATTTCTTTAGGACTTATTTATGAGATTTCTGTTGTACCTTTCTGCTTAGGAGCTCAAGGTGCTTGTCATATAATCTTTAGGATGTTATTTTTATCATAAACTTTTCTAAGCATCTTAATGCTGATGGGAACATCAACAGGAATGGTTCTAGTGTAACTAAAAAGAAAAGGCAACAAAAAATTATTAGTGACTTAAATATGAGCTATAATGGAAAAATGATCTAAGGTGCAAGGAGAGTACACAGGAAGAAAAAGCTAATTTTGGCTCATGAGGTGGATAAGAAGAGGAACTGGAAAGGTCATAGAGGGAGTTATAATGAAGGTGAATTTTGTTGTTGGTTGGTGTTGCTGCTTTTGAGACAAGGCCTGGCTCTATTGCCCGGGCTGGAGTGCAGTGGCACAATCTCTGCTCACTGTAACCTCTACCTCCTGGGCTCAAGCCATCCTCACGCCTCAGCCTCCCTCATGAGTAACTGGGACTACAGGCACTCACCATCATGCTGGCTAATTTTTTATTTTCTTTTTTTGTAGAGACAGAGTTTTGTCATATTGCCCAGGCTGGTCTCAAACTCATGAGCTCAAGCAATCCTCCCACCTTGGCCTCCCGGAGTGCTGAGATTACAGCCATGAGCTACCTCACCCAGCCTTGAAGGTGAATTTTGAAGGATAATTCGAAGTCTACAAGATGGACAAGATTGGGAGGGACTTTTTATTTTTAACAGCTAGTTTGAGGTACAGTTGATTTCCATAATGAACTGCATATGTGTAAGTGTAAATAAACTTGATAAATAAAAAGTTGATAAATTTGGACATACATATACACCCATAAAATCTTTGCCATAATCAAGATGATGAACATTTTCTTCTTCTTCTTCTTCTTCTTCTTCTTCTTCTTTTTTTTTGAGATGGAGTCTCATTCTTGACGCCCAGACTGGAGTGCAATGGCGCAATCTCAGCTCACTGCAACCTCCACCTCCCCACCTCCCGATTCAAGCGATTCTCCTACCTCAGTCTCCCAAATAGCTGGGATTACAGGCACCAGCCAGCACACCTGGCTAATTTTCATAAATGATGAACATTTTCATCACCCACAAAGATTTCCTGTGGTTCTCTATAATTCCTCCCTCCTGCCTTGCTACCTATCCATCCCCAGGAAGCCACTGATATGTTTCCTTTCCCTATACATTAAGTTGTATTTCTCTAGAATTTGTTATAATTAAAATCATAGAATATATATCCTTTTTTGTCTGACTTCTTTCATTTGGCATTAAACATTTTGAGACTGACCTGTGTTGTTACGTATATCAGGAGTATATTCCTTTTTATTGTTGAATGGTATTCTGCTGTATGGCTATACCATAGTTTGATGTATTCATCACTTTTTGGAGGATATTTCAATGCTGTCAGTTTGGGGCTACTATAAATAAAACCACTAGGGACACTTACATACAAGTCTCTGTATAGGCATGCCTTCTTTTAATGCACTCTGCTTTATTGCTCTTCACATATTTTATCATTTTTACCAATTGAAGATTTGTGGCAACCTTGCATTGAGCAAGTCTGTTGACGCCATTCTTCCAACAGCACATGCTGACCTCATGTCTCGGTGTCACATTTTGGTAGTTCTCGCAATATTTCAAACTTTTTCATTATTATTATGTCTGCATTGAAGTCAAAATAAAAATGTAGAGACAAATCTCTAAATTTAAAGTTTTATTGGGGACAAAATTGCAATTTGGGGCCTACACACAGACTAGGTGGTCTCCAGGATGTCCAAAAAACAAAAAGAAGGTTAGAAGATTTATAAAAAAAGAAGAAATGTTACATATTGCTTTTTCACAAAGTTTATTGGTGCTAGTAACTGTTTGGGGAGATTGCAAACTCTGATCTGTGACCGATGGCAGTGGGCATAATTAGTCCTAGAGTTGCAGCAAGTTATCACCAAAGGTATAAATAATACTGGTTTCAGGTTACCACAAGCAGTTACAGCAGTCAGGCTTGCAGATAATTGTGTTCTTTAAACAGTCTTTTGTACCCTGAGTGTCTTTTCCTCTCTGGCTTCTGGTCTCTGTTTTAGTTGGGTATGACAAGTATGACCCAATTCTTATGACCAACTTTCACATCTGTTACGTGATCTGTAATCGGTGTGATCTTTGATGCTTTTGGTTGTAATTGTTTTGCAGCATAACAAATCATGCTCACATTAGATTATTAATGGATAAATGTTGTGTGTGTTCTGAGAACTCCACTGACCACCTGTTCCCCCATCCCTCTGCCTCTTCTTGGCCCTCCCTATTCTCAAAGGTGCAACAATATTAAAATTAAGCCAATTAACAATCCCACAATGACCTCTAAGTGTTCAAGTGAAAGGAAGAGTCACATGTCTCTCACTTTAAACCAAAAGCTAGAAATGATGAAGCTTAGTTTCATAATAAGAAATTTCAAGTCTTTTTATTTAAGAAATACAATTAATAAGGCTATACTGCCATAGATAGAAGAAGGTATGCTGAAAGCCAAGATAGGCCAAAACTGGGCCTCTTGCACCAAACATCCAAACTGTGAATGCAAAGAAAAAGTTCCTGAAGAAAATTAAAAGTGCCATTCCTGGGAACACACAAATGATAAGAAGTGAAACAACCTTATTGCTGAGATGGAGAAAGTTTAGTGGTCTGGATGGAAGATCAAACCAGCCACAACATTTCCTTAAGCCAAAGCCTAATACAAAGGAAGGTGCTACCTCTCTTCAGTTCTATGGAGGCTGAAACAGATGAGCAATCTGCAGAAGAAAAGTTGAAAGCAGAGGTTGGTTCATAAGGCTTAAGGAACTAAAACATCTCCATAACATACAAGTCCAAAATGAAAGCAACAAGGGCTGATATAGAAGCTATAGCAAGTTATCCAGGAGATCTAGCTAAGATCACTGATGAAGGTGGCTATACTAACAACAGATTTTTGATGTAGATGAAACAGCCTTCTCTTGGAAGAAGATGCCTTCCAGGACTTTTATAGCTAGAGAGAAAAAGCTGTTGCTTGCCTTTAAAACTTCAAAGGACAGGCTAGCTCTCTTGTTAGGGGCTAATGTAGCTGGAGACTTCAAGTCGAAACCAATGCTTATTTACCATTGCAAAAATCCTAGGATCCTGAGAAATTATGCTAAATCTTCTCTGCCTGCGCTCTATAAATGGAACAGCAAAGCCTGGTGACAACACATCTGTTTACAGCATGGTATATTGAATATTTTAAGCTCACTGTTGATATCTACTGCTCAGAAAAATATTCCTCTCAAAATATTACTGTTCACTGACAATGCACCTGGTTACCCAAGAGCTCTGATGGAGATGTCCAAGGAGATAAATGTTGTTTTCATGCCTTCTAACCCAACATCCATCTGCAGCCCACAGCTCAAGAAGTAATTTTGACTTTGAAGTCTTATTATTTAAGAAACACATTTCATAAGGCTGTAACTGCCATGGATAGTGATTCCTCTGATGGATCTAGGCAAAATCAATTGAAAACCTTATGAAAAGGATTTACTATTCTAAATGCCATTAAGAACATTCTTATTCATGGAACAGGTCAAAATATCAACATTAACAGGGGTTTGGAAGAAGTTGATTCTAACCCTCATAGATGACTTTGAGGGGCTTACGTCTTCAGTGAGGAAGTAGCTGCAGAGTTGGTGGAGATAATAAGAGAACCAGAATAAGAAATGAGCCTGAAGATGTGACTGAATTGCTGCAATCTCAAAATAAAGTTTGAACAGATGAGAAGTTGCTTCTCATGGATGAGCAAAGAAAGTGGTTTCTTGAGATGGAATCTACCGCTAGTGAAGACACTACGAACATTGTTGAAATGACAACAAAATATTTCAAATATTACATAAATTTGGTTGATACAGCAGGGGCAGGATTTGAGAGAGTTGACTACAATTTTGAAAGTGCTATTACAGATAAAATGCTATGCAACATTCTTACACGCTACAGAGAAATCTTTTATGAAAAGAAGAGTCAATCAATGGTGCAAACTGCGCTGTTCTTATTTAAAGAAACTGCCATAGCCACCCTCACTTTCAGCAACCACCATCCTGATCAGTCAGCAGCCATCAACATCAAAGCAAGACCCTCCACCAGAAAAAGATTACAACTCCCTGAAAACTCAGATGATCATTAGCTTTTTTAGCAATAAACTATTTTAAAATTAAGATGTGTATATTTTTTCAGACATAATGCTATTACATCCTTAAGGGAGTAGAGCATAGTGTGAACATAACTTTTATATGCACTGGGAAACCAAAAAAACCTTATGACTTGCTTTATTGAGGTATTTGCTTTATTGAAGTGGTCTGGAACTGAACCCACAATATCTCTGCGGTATCTCTGTGTAGATATGCTTTCTTTTCTCTTGGGTAAATACACAGCAGTAGAATGACTGGGTCATAAAGTAGGTGTTAGCTTAACTTTTTAGAACCTGCCAAATAGTTTTCCAAAGTGGTTATGCCATTATATATAATTGCCTGCTGTCTATGAGAGTTCCAGTTCTTCTGTGTGACTTGGCATGACCAGTCTTTATCATTTTAATTTTACACATTTGTGTGTGTTTCGTGTGTGGGGTTGGGGGAAGGATTTCTTGTGATTCCTTTGGGAGAGAGTCATTGAGGTGATAGGAACATTTTAAATCTTTTGATTCATATTGTAAATTGTTTTTCATAAAATTCTGCTTTCTGTTTACCTTCCCACCAAAGATTTCATCTTATTGGCCTTTGCATCTAAAATCCCCTTCATTTCCCTCCAAATTCCTATACTGCAAGTCCCCATGTACCATCCTTCAGTAGGGGTAGTGTGTGTGGAGAAGAAAGGTTTTGGGGGGTTTCTTGATATTATTGTTGGCCTCCACTATGGCCCCCTGCTCTTCCTCGAATCTTTTCAGGGGTAAAGATTTCAAAGCATGAGGTAGGATGGAGTTGATGAGGTAGAGATCGAGGAAACGCAGGCTGTGGTGGGAATGGGAAGGTATTGTTAATGAGCATCCAAGGCTGATTTCCAGACCATGAGCTGGCTTTTGCCCAAGAGTAGGATTTAACTGGAGTTCCTAAAAGCCTGAGCAGCTTTTATTTTTCTGTCTCTCGAGCACCACTTCACTATTTGTAATCACTTATGGATACTTTTTTTTATAATTGCTCCATCTATAATATCTTTTTGGAAAAATTCAGCCCAGGGGTTACATTAGAAGGCCATCTTTCATGTCGTTTCCAGTTTTATGGTTCTCCTGAGGCTGTTTTCCCTTAAAAAAAAATCAATGACTACTGCATGTGTCTCTTTCGCAGTGAAGGTTTCTGCCCTTGCACAGATGTTAGAGAACTTTATCATGGGTGCAGCCCCATCATCTTACCTGAGCAGTGAGCTTGGGGATCCACAAATTTATTTTTCCTGTCAAGTTTTAGCCCATTAGCATTCCTCGTATGGGGAGTTTGGCAGAATATGGAGGTTTATCTGCTTGGACAACTGGCTCAGCCCAACCTCTAAGGGACTGGATGGGATTACTCTTTTGAAACCCCAGCCAGACCCAGCCGAGGGCCTGCACGAAGGCTGATCCCTTTCCAGCCTGGCTAGCTCACACTGGGGTCTAGGCAGGGGAGTCTGACGTGCCGCCTTGTTTTGATGGTCACAGGGTGGCATGTGAGTTGGCTTTTTCTGTGCTTTGTAGGAGATGTGAGGGCCTTGACTTGGGGGAATATGGGAAGATACAGGATGAACTATTAATGACTGGATGCAACAGTTCTTTTAACTTACAATTAAAGTTATTTATTTGTTTATTTATTTATTTATTTATTTATTTTTAGAAGTGGGCGTCTCCCTCTATTGCCCAGGCTGGAATGCAGTGGCGCGATCATGGCTCACTGCAGCCTCAGACCCCTGTGCTCAAGTGATCCTCCCACCTCAACCTCCGGAATAACTGAGACTACAGGCACATGCCACTACACCCGGCTAATTTTTAAAATTTTTTGTAGGGATGGGGGTCTCACTATGTTGCCTGGGGTGGTCTTGAACTTCTGGCCTCAAGAGACCCTACGGCCAAATAGATGAATGAGTAAGATCTTCAATAACCACTATCAGCAATCAAGATTACTGAAGAGTCTCTGTCATGTTCTTCTTACCACCATCCTTCTGAAATATATATCGGGTTATCTCAGTCTATTTAGTATTGCTCTGAAGGGAGGCCTGAGACTGGGTAATTTAGATAGAGAAACATGTTTATTTGGCTTACAATGCTGGTGTCTGAAAAAGTCCAAGTTTGGGCATCTGCATCGGTGAGGGTCTCAGGTTGCTTCCACTCTTGGTGGAAGTTGGAGGGGAGCCAGCGGGTGCAGAAATCACATGGAGAGGGAAGAAAAGAGAGAGAGGAAGCGCCAGGCTCTTTTAAACAACCAGTTCTTGCAGGAACTAATAGAGAACTCACTCACAACCCCCTACAGGGAGGTTATGAATCTGTTCATGAGGGATCTGCCCCAGGACTCAGCACCTCCCGTTAGACCCCACGTCCAACATTGGAGATCAAATTTCAACTTGAGGCTTGGACAAACATCCAGACTATATCAAGTCTTTGTATTTAGCTAACACTTTGCTTCCAGAGGCTAAGCCTTTCTCAAGATCGCCAAACAGCTTACTTTAGGAGAGGTTTTCTTGAATTTTAGCATGAGTTTTCCCCTGAGAATGAACCCTCTGCTGTAGCTAGCGGTCCTTTCTTCTTTCCTCTTCTCACATTATCTTTCTCTCTCGCCCTCTTTGGCCTTCTCTTGATTTCCAGCTGCTCTTTGTCTCAACCCATTATTCCATGAGTGGGGAGACATTTCCGCTTATTAAAATCCCTCCCCCAGAGTTCCCCTAATCCAGAGGAATTATCCAGCTGAGCCAGCCGCCCTGTCTGGGTGCTCAGCCCTCAAAGGGGTCTGTGCATTTTCTGAGCCTGCTCACCTTCCTAAGTAAAGCTATGAACTGGAAATCCTAACCCCAACAGCTAAAGTCTGGAGAGGAATTTATTTCCCACAGTTGGTCTTTCCTGGCCATTTATCAGGTCATTCCAAGTCTTGCTTTAGCAAACTGAACCCTCGTGATTTTTTTTTTACTAAGATGCCACCACCACGTCAATGTTTATATTTCCTCTGTGTCCTTCTGGGAGGTGGCAGGAGATAGCATTAGCTCCATTTCAAATCAGAAAGAAACTGGAGGACATCAAAGTCCCCACATCATGTGGTTTATACAACTCAGAGGCTAAGGAAAGACCTAAATTTTAAGTGTTCTATTCAAAGCATCATCTTAAATCAGTAGGCTTCACTGTGTTATTTGAACCAATCTAAGCTTTTCCATTGCCCATAAGAGGGCTCTTTCCTCATATCTGTACTGGGATTTTCAGCATAGACCCATAAACATGGAGAAGGTCCCCACCACCACCTTTTGCTTTCCTGGTGTTCTTCCAAGCCTGGCTGAAGGCAGAGGCTCCTTTGGCGGCCCGTTTTCAGCACACAGGGGCCTGGGAATAAGAAAATGTCCTGTTGCTCTACAGAGGACGCAAACAGTGGATCAGGATCCCCATAGCCTTGCTCCGGTGACTCACCCTTCCTGGTCTGTGGGCGCCTCTGAGTAAGCTTTGTCTTGCTGCTCTGCAGAAGTCTCTGAGAAGGTATGACTTGCTGAGTTCCTAGGAAAACTGCCTACCCTTAGAAAGTGGATGTGAGAAGGAAAGCAGCAAGCCGGGAGCAGTCACGCACTGGTGTCCCCAGTGCCCCTGCGGCCCAGGGCGGAGGTGACTGCTGAAGTCAGCCTCCTGGAATGCCTCCAGGTAACCCTCCCTCCCTATCAAGGTCAATGAGTCAGAGGATAGGAGAGAAGCCGTGAGTAAAACTGCACACCAGGTGAAAGAAAGGGAGGAAAGCCGCATGGACCCTCCACTCCCAGCAGAGAACAGGGGGTGAGTCACTCAGCTCCGCTCCAGGGCACAGGGCAGGACTCTCGGCTCAAGGCTTCATCCAGCGAGTCCAGCATATTCTCCTCTTCAAACAAATGGAAACTTTCTGCTGCTCCATGATGGGATCACTCTTTCTGGGCTCCTTGGGAGCAAGTGAGAGGAAGCCCTTACCTGCACCAGCAGCCTCCATAAGGAAGGGAGCATCCGATCAGAGGTGAACAACGGGAGGCAGTGTCTCGCCCCGGCACATGGGGTCAATCTACAAATATTGATTCAGAGACATGAAAAATGGGAGTTTTGCACGGGAAGCACTTTCCAGAGATCTCACTCTCCAGTCTTTGCAGAGTCACATTTTCTCAACAGAATGGGTTAGAACTAAAAAAAAAAGGTGCTTGCTCAGAAATGGCACTGATGGCTCAGCACTTCCATTTATTTTATTTTATTCCATTTTGTTTTCTTTGATCTCACCTTTCCTTTGAGGTACGTCCAAAGAGAAGACTGGCAGCTGAGAGAAGATGATGGTGACCCTGATGGTGGAATATGGTTTGTGACCCAAAAACCAGTAGTTTCCACACAGGTGGCACAGCCCTTCCTAAGTGGGCTCCAGGGCCATGGACCTGAGGCCACAGGCCAAGGTGAGGCTGTGGGGGTCCCACACTGCAGCTGAACAGTGAGGCTGCCTGGAGCCCTGGCATGGTGCCCAGGGTTCTAAAGCCACTGCTGTGAACAGGGTAGATCATCCAGGAGAGCGCCCAGAGGTGGGGAAACAGGCCTGCAGCAGGCGGGGACATCAGCTGGCCTTGCTGTCCTTTGATTCTCACAGTTACTGCTTTTTGTTCAAATGTTACCTTATTTTTAATTTTATTTTTTTAGGGACAGGATCTCTCCTTGTCGCCCAGGCTGGAGTGTAGTGGCACAATCTTGGTTCACTGCAGCCTTGAACTCCCAGGCTCAAGAGATCCCTCCATCTTGGCCTCCCAAGTGGCTACAACTACAGGCATGTGCCACCACAAGTGGTTAAGTTTTTTTTTATTATTATGAATTTTGGTAGAGTTAAGGTCTCGCTATGTTGCCCAGGCTGGTCTCAAACTCCTGCGCTTGAGCAATCCTCCTGCCTTGGCCTCCCAAAGTGCTGGGATAACAGGCATGATCTACTGTGCCAGGCGTGTTTTTACATACTTGGGTCCACACTATACTCAGCACTCCTCATTCTACTGGGAGATGCCAATTGCACAGTCAGGAAGGGGTGAGTAGAGAGTGGTGGACTTGGCCTCAGCCATGGTCAAGCCGTGGGGGGTTAGGTGGAGGAGGGCGCCAGCCAGGCAGAAATAGGTTCTCAGTGTAAGGCCCAGTCAAGTGTCTCATTCACAGGAGGAAAGCCATTGAATTCCGCCTTCCCATTGCCTCCTCCCACTGTCGCCTCTTAACAACGTGGAGCGATCTCACTACGCTGGACTTCACCGGCATCCCATTGCCCTTTCTTTTCACATTGGCAATCTCTCCTCTTGCCAAGTATCTCTTTATCTTTCTTCTTCTTTCATTGAATCCAGCATGTAATTACCGCTGAGCAAGTACCATGTGCCAAACCCTTTATTAGGACAGGGGTGCGAAGTCCCAGCCTGCATGGGCTCCCAATGGCATTAGGGAAATGTCACCGCATCATCAGAAGAGTCCAAGGTAAGTTCCGGGCTCGTGATGAGAGGGGAGCACAGAAGGCCAAGGAATAGGGACTAGACGGGGACACGGGGAATGAGGGGATACTTCTTAGGGGATGGTTAAGCCCATGCTTTGAGCTGAGTCCTGAAAGGTGGAGTATGGTTTCCAAAAGAGACAAGTGACGCTCAATCCAAGAAGAAGAAACAACCGCACAAAGGCTCAGAATTTGAGAAGCACGCGGCGTTTGGAGAGCCATGGCAGCTGAGGGTGCCCAGAGCACGCTGAAGCCCAGTCTGCAGGGTGAGCTCGGGGCAGAGCTGTCCTTCCCTTTCTGGACCCTCCACGGGGTCGTGCAAGCCTCATGCAGTCCGTGAATCTGGAGGAGGCTGTGGGGAGCATCGAGAACTCTCTTCTCAGCCCCCTCCTCTTCTTCTTTCCCAGGATCATTTATTTCTACATCCTCTCACCTGGATCCTGACTCACTCCTGCTTGTCCTTGATTTGACCCTGAAGCACCACCCACCCTCCCATTTTCCCAGAGAAGGGAGGAAAAACCGAATGAGATCAGCAGCTACGCGAACGGAGAAACCAACCATGTCAGGAATCCTAGCAAAAGTGCTCAACAAAAGCAGGAAGGATGCAAAAAAAAAAAAAAAAAAAAAAAAAAAAAAAAAGAAAAGAAAAAAAGAAAAAAAAAATCCTCACACAGGAAGTAGGGAGGCAAAAAGTAGAAAGAGAAAAACAAATTTAGGTCACCTGTGGAAACTACTAAGTTGTCTAATGAAACCCAGGATATGAGAGCATGAGTTAGAAAAAGCCGGGAAAATAATAATAGCTAATAGTTACGTAGTAGTCACTATATAAATATATTTCTAAGCATAAAACATTTGTTAACTCATTTAAGCCTCACAGAAGTCCTATGAGTTGAATACTATTATTATCCCCGCTTTCCAGATGGGGAGACTGAGACACAGAGGAGAGAACCTATAGCTATATGCAATGGGTTAGAATCAGTAATCTGGCTGGGCGTGGTGGTTTACGCCTGTAATCCCAGCACTTTGGGAGGTCAAGGCCAGAGGATCACCTGAGCCCAAGAGTTGGAGACCAGCCTAGGTAACAGGCAGATCCTGTCTATACAAAAAATAATTTTAAAAAGCTGGGCACAGTGGCTCGTGCCTGTAATTCCAGCACTTTGGGAGGCCAAGGCAGGCGGATCACTTAAGGTCGAGAGTTCGAGATCAGCGTGACCAACATGGAGAAATCCCGTCTCTACTAAAAACACAAAATTAGCTGGGCCCGGTGGCACATGCCTGGAATCCCAGCTTCTCGGGAGGCTGAGGCAGGAGAATCGCTTGAAACCGGAAGGCAGATGTTGCGGTGAGCCAAGATCGTGCCATTACACTCCAGCCTGGACAATAAGAGCGAGACTCTGCCTCCAAAATAATAATAAAATAAAATTTAAAAGTTAAAAAATTTAAAGAAATTAGTTGGTTGTGATGGTGCATGCCTTTAGTCTCAGCTACTTGGGAGGCTGAGGAGGGAGTATGACTTGAGTCTGGGAGATGGAGGCTGCAGTAAGCCATGATTATGCCACTGCACTACAGCTTAGGTAAAAGAGCAAGACTCCGTCTCAAAAATAACAATAAAAATAAAAAAGAATTAGTAATCTGCATCTAACACCAATTTACAATGAATAAGTATGTAAGGGGTTTGGGAATCTTCCCTCTCATTCTCTTCCTATATAACTTTCCTGCTCTTCTCACCAGCCAGCGTTGCATTAGCTAGAGTATGTTGACAGTGCTGTCTGAATACATCAACTCTGGGACCCAGACGTGGCTTTGGCAAACAGCAGTCTATTTCCACGAAAACCCAAGTGACTCCCGGGGAAGAAAAATACACACATAAGTAAAACTTGTCCCAAGGGGAAAGAGGAGCAGGCCGGCCCATGTCTTCCAAGACTGAAGAGTCAGTTATCCGGGAGAAGAATGGCTGTGTTTGTCTTTCAGATCTTTCCCTGGTCCAGCCTAGTGGACTCATGCCTGAATCTTATTTTAAATAGAGTAGGGGCTGGGTGCGGTGGTTCACACCTGTAATCCCAGCACTTTGGGAGGCTGAGGCAGGTGGATCACTTAACGTGAGGAGTTCGAGACCAGCCTGGGGAACATGGTGAAACCCCATCTCTACTAAAAATACAAAAATTAGCCAGGTGTGGTGGTGGGAGCCTATAATCCCAGCTACTCAGGAGGCTGAGGTGGCAGAATGAATCGCTTGAACCTGGGAGGTGGAAGTTGCAGTGAGCCGAGATCGTACCACCATACTCCAGCCTGGGCGATAGAGGGAGACTCTGTCTCAAAAAAAAAAAAAAAAAAAAAAAAAAAGAGTAGAGGTAATCATATAATTAAAAGTGAAAATGCCTGTTTCTCAAAACCTTTGGGTATAAGCTTTATACCCAAACTTCTGGACCAGTTTAATGGAGTACAGCCCTCAAAGGGAGGCAAGAATTCTCTCCCACTTTTCCAAGGAATATTATGCAGTTCAGCATCTCCTCCCCAACCCTGAGGTTCCAGTACCTCAGCATCTGCTGTATGGGCTCTAGGGTGTCTGCAGTGAAAGCAGCTAATTGGAGGCAGTGATGTCAAGCAGGGCCAGAGAGGGTGGCAGGGGCTGCAGCACCAGCAGCCAGGCGATGCTCAGCCTGAGCATGGCCAATGCACCCTGTGTAGCATCCAGGAGAGGCAGCACATCCCTACCAGAGCCATGGTACAAAATACAAGCCACCTGGGTATCTGGAAGCGAGGGTGGGGCTTGGTAATAATTACTAAAGCATGCAGCACAGCAACAGCCAAAGAGAAGAAAGGGAAAAAAGTGAAATATGTAATCTTATTCACAAATAAATATAAGAACAAATTCCACTGAATCCCTGAAAACAAAATGTGGGGCGAGGGCAGTAAACGCAACTGACTACTGTAAATGCAACCTCACCTTAAAAGATTACCAACTAGCTAAGCATGGTGGCCCACGCCTGTAATTCAAGCACTTGGAGGCTGAGGTGGGTGGATCATTTGAGGTCAGGAGTACGAGACCAGCCTGGTCAACATGGTGAAACCCCTGTCTCTACTAAAAATACAAAAGTTAGCCAGGTGTGCTGGTGTACATCTGTAATCCCAGCTACTCAGGAGGCTGAGACAGATGAATCGCCGGAATCCGGGAGGCAGAGTTTGCAGTGAGCTGAGATTTGACTATTGCACTCCAGTCTGGGTGACAGAGTGAGATCCCATTTCAAAAAAAAAAAAACAAAAATTACCAACTACTAGCCTTATGGAGCAATATTTAAGTTGTTTTTATTTTGACTTAGACTTTAGGGCTAAATCTATGTTTTAATGAAGAAAAAATGTGTTCATAAATAATTATTTTCCTCAGAAGAAAAACATATTTTCTTTTATCACGTTGCCAGCCCAAAGGAGAGCTCATGTTTAAAAAATCACAGTGTTAGTTTATGACCAGCCTGGGCAACACAGCAAGATCCTGGCTCTACCAGAAAAAAAATTTTTTTTTAATTAGCCAAATGCAGTGGCACATGCCTGTAGCCCCCACTACTCCTCAGGAAGCTGAGGTGGAAGGATCACTTGAACCCAGGAGTCCAAGGCTGCAGTGAGCTATGATCATGCTACTGCACTCCAGCCTGGAAGACAAAGCGAAAACAACAATAACAACGACAACAGCAACAAAAAGCAAAAATCACAGCGTGTCTTAGGACTCATGTTCACTTTCATTTTTTTAAAGCTTTGCTAATTACTGATTAATCTTTTCTATTCCCTGTTGCTTAAACAATATTAGAATGTTTCTGTGCACAAAATCCAAGACTCAAAAACACAAAATAAAATTTGATGGCTTTTAAGTAAAAATTTGTTACTCAACTTATTTTTACCGCGATTTAGATTCATTGTGATGTTGGAGGTATGACCTTATCTATTCATCTGAATGACATTTTGTTTCAACAAAAGGGCAGTGCTCTCAATGTCAAATAATAAGATAGAAATCTTTAATCCCTTTAGTCCTTCTGTATACCTAGGTCATTTTATTTTAGAGTGTATGTGTACAGAGAGTATACTCAACTAACCCTCATAGTGATTACACTGGTTGTACCTAATGCAACAAATACTATTCAACTTTAACAAAATAAGAATTTTATACTGTCTGGCTTATTCTTAATTCTTCCCTAAGGGCCTATTTGGTTTAGCATCAAATACAAGATTAAGAGACTCTAAACGTTAGCTGAACAGCCACTCAAGGGATTTAGACATGATCTCTTTACACAAAAGAGTTAGCATACATCTGATATCCCCTGCACAGAGAACACATGTTTATACATATAATAAATCTCCTTTTCCTACCGATGATTATTTATTTGAAAGCAAAATGAAAAACAACCTTATCGTATCCTCAAAAAAAATCTACGCCGGTAGTGAAAAATTTGGGGCAAGGTAAATGTCTATTAATTTACACTGAACAAAGCAAAAAAAGTAGATGAAGATTGTAGGAACTATATACTCTATTAAAATATGTGTGTATATCTACATGTGTTTATGTGTGTATTTATGAGCGTATTTGCATGTACCTTAAATTTGGATGACGCAAATGAAATGGGTAAGCATGGAAGAAATCCTTAGGAGGCTAACTGACTTGTCAAACCTAGCAATAGCCTCAATAGGAATTCAAACGTTGATCTTCTAAGACCAATTCCAGTGCCTATTGCGTTACCCTGTGCTGTAACCCAAACTGCAATAGAAACTTGTAGGGCAGAGAAGAAAAAAATGCAGGGTAATATTTCTCAGTCCTACCAGGTGGCTAATGATTCAGTCTTTTTGCACGTGTAGTGAACCACAATATGCATTGTCTTCATATATTTACATTTAATAAAGTCATTTTAACGGTCTTAAAGAGATAGCAAGGGCAGACAAACAGGAAACGAGAGTCAGATGCTAACAGAGATAAAGGGAACCTCTCTCTCTCTCTGTCTCTTTCTGTGGAGTAGCTTTTCTCCAAAGAGTTCCAAAATTCCAAAATCTTACCCTATGAAGATAAAAACTGGAGAATCAGGCTTAGAAATAGGCAAGGGAAAGGAGGAATGCAACGGGGAAGGTCCAGGAAGGCAGAGAATGTGAGGCAACAGCGTGCAACTTAGCCAGACCTGGCTGAGTTGGAAAGTGTTCAAGTCACTGTGACCGTGCCCTAGCAGAGCAAGCTCACTCTCCTAGTTTATTTGCATATGAGAGGAAATGTATTTTTTAAACATTTAACTATTGTTTTTGCTGGGTAAATGCAACTATTTGTATACATAAACACATTTAAACCATGCTGGTGTGATAGTTATGTTTTCTAGAATTCATTATTTCCATGTGTATAGTGCTTGGGTGCACATCGAATTGTCTGGTGGAGGGAGAGCACAGGAGTAGTATACCAATCCTTCATTTCCAGAGGAGGGAATGGATGTGGATAACACACACGGTTTGCATATCTATAGCTTACGTAAAGTTATATTCTTAAATGTGAGGGAGTTATTAAGCATTCAAAAATTATTTAGACTTTCTTGGCTTTCTTTGCTTCTTCAGAGCTCTAAGTTTTCTACAAATGGAATTAATGTAGTAGGCTTTGTTGCAACTTCATTTCCTCACCAATGCATCAGCTCTTCCTCTCAGCTGGCCTCTGGCCCTGGTAGGAAATGCTAATCCTATGGCAACAGCAACCAAATAAAAGATGAGGTGATGTGGGGGAATGAGTATTAGTCACGACTTGGTATACATCCTGTCAATGATCCCTCCTGATAAATAGTGTGTGACCGGAAACAGGGACATGATAAAACACCTGGACAATCCCACCTCCGTCGAGAAGGCAGGGCAGTTGAGTGATTGCATACCGGGCACCTTGCCACATGCATGCCACACAGGAGGGGCTGGTTCATTCATCAAAGACCCTGCCGCACACAGCCTCTGCTCCGTGAGAAAGTGCAGGTCTAAGAGGCTTTGATATTCAGGTCTGGGTCAATGAGCCAAGAGTATAAAGAGCCCAAAAGGAATGTCTTGTCGCAAGCCAAAGTATTAGCTAAGAGAGCAAGATGACAATTATGCAAGCAGAGAATACAGCATTGCTTACACTCGGGGTCAGGAGTTCGAGACCAGCCTGGCCAACATGGCAAAACCCCAACTCTACTAAAAATAAAAAAATTCACTGGACATGGTGGCGTGCACCTGTAGTCCTAGCTACTGGGGAGGCTGAGGCAGGAGAACCACTTGAACCCAGGAGGTGGAGGTTGCAGTGAGCCAAGATCGCACCACTGCACTCCAGCCTGGGTGACAGAGTGAGACTCCATCTCAAGAAACAAAAAAAAAAAAAAAGAAGAAGAAAAATAGTCCTTTGTTCATTCTCATTTTCCAGTTTATAAATATCATGATCTAATCAATATACAATGAGTCTATTTTTCCATATCTCCAAATTTGTTAATGGAGAGTAAATAACTTAATTTTAGAATTCTGGCCAACCCAGAATTACAGGTATCCTGGTGGACCTCACATCTAGGTTCTCACCCAATGAAGGGACACCCACTCTAATTCCCTGGATCCAGTTACTCCCAGACTATCACCACTATTGTGGGCAAACCATGACCTAACCAGCATGTAATTCTACTTTCAAACAGCTCTAATGATTAAAAAGGACTTCTGTGATAGGATAGGCTGATTTTGAGTATTTCTAAAAGGTTGCATCTCCTTTGTCAGGTATCTATGTGCATGAAGTGATACGATTGGAAGGTTTGTTCTGATCAAAATGAGGAAGAGAAACGGGAGACAGAGAACAGAGGCTACATGGTTTCCTATCTAGCCCATTGGCGTGGTTGGAACCCCAGTGCAAATAAGGATTAAGGGCCAGAAAATGAAGGACTCTGAGCGCAGGCACAGGCAGGCTGCCGTGGGACTCAGTAACAAACTGGCCAAGAGGGAGTCTTTCCCTGCAGCTGTTCCTGGAGCCCAGCTCTGCCCAACTCCGTTGAGGAAGGGCGGCTTTGGGAGAACTGGGTGAAAGCACCTTTCCACAGACATTGGGCCTTATTTGGGATTCTATCAGCTACAGCAAGAATGTGGCTCCTTCAAGTAGGCAGCTGACATGGAAAGAGGAGAGAGTGGGAAGTGAAGCATGTAGCTGATGTCTTGCGGGGAGAGACCGGGAAATGAAGCATGTAGCTGATGTCTTGGGGTTACTGATGTAGTCAAGCTTGTTTGGTAGCAAAGAGAACGTCTGGAAATTCCCAGAAATATTTTGGTCGGGAAGGAGAGCGACAGGAGCACTTTATGCAGGGAACTGCCTGTGTGGAGCAATGTGGGTAGAACAGGCTCCCTGAGTCACTGATGTTAAAGTATATCCAGGCTGGGGAAGAAGAGAAGCATTTGGGCTACTTCCTTTGCAACACAGGCTAATTAAATTATTCCTCACGTCTCCGGATGATGGGGATCAAATGTGTTACTAACTCCCCGAAAAGTTTTTCTTCCAAGCCACAAATTGTTTTTGTTAATAGAAATAAATTGTGACTTCTATTTTTTTCTATAAGACACTGTCTAGTCTTCAGCCAGATAAGCAGAGAGAGGCACTGCAGTAAAGGCAAAAGCTGTCACTTAAAGGAAGAGTGACCATAACATCCATCATCCAAACCAGGACAAGACTGAGAGTGAAAGAGGATGTTATTACTCATTATGCTGGGACAAGAGGCAATAATAGGGACTGTTCTGGGTAAATGAGAACATCCAATTACGTCACCTGAAGATTATGGGTGACAAGTAAAACTGAAATCAACTGGCCATACTTGTATTTATCCAACAACGCGGAATGCAGCCTGAATAGAGAGGGGCTGACCTGAAGCCAACCTCTGCCTGCTACAGGCAACCTTCCTAGCCAACAAGAATAACAAAGAAAGAAGAAAAAAATGCAGACTATTCCAGAAACCTCCAAGAGTAATGTAGATGTTTCTTTGAGGTTTTCTTGAAAGAGATTTAAATGAGTGCATTACACATACAGCCAAACACCCCAAAATTCTTCTTTTCTGCTCCCGCTTCCCAAAGTGTCCATTGCAACAGCCTGCCCTGTCCTCCCCACGCCTAAAGGCTTCCTTTTTCCCCACAGTTGTCTCTCTCGTTATTGTCCCCTCAGATCTGTCCTCTCCCCTTCTGCCAGCCTCTCCCCGCCATGTAAATATGTGTGATAGGGGAAAGATGGAGATTGTGAATATCATTGTGATAATGAATATGAATGCATTAACTTGTGCTGTGTGTTTGTCAAATTTTTTAGATTCTGGTTACAATAAAAATTAAAAGCTATGTTAGAGAGCTTGGCGATCCCAATTTGAGACACAGGGAGTGGGGGCTGAAATTCAGACGGAGGTACGAGAAGCAAGAAAGCTGGTAGCTATGAAACACAGTCCTGTGATGAGTGCTTTACTCACACAGTGTGAAAATGGCACTTCCTGTCTGGGTTTGACTGAGGTGTGAAGACAATAGATGCCATGTTTCTCTCCCATGGAAACATTTTTATTTGATTTTATTATTTTTTAGAGACAAGGTCTCACTCTCTCACCCAGGTTGGAGTGCAGTGGCACAATCATAGCTCACTGCAGCCTTGAACTCCTGGACTCAAACAATCCTTCTGCCTTAGCCTGCTGGCTGGGACTACAGGCATGCACCATCATGCCTAGTTATTTATTTATTTATTTATTTATTTATTTATTTATTTATTTATTTATTGTTTTGTAGAGATGGGGCCTCCCTATGTTGCCCAGGCTGGTCACAAACTCCTGGTCGCAGATGATCTTCCTGCCCTGGCCTCTCAAAGTGCTGGGATTACAGGCATGAGCCACCACACCCGGCCACCTGGAAATTTGAAGCAAGTCAGAGATTCACCTACACCAAGGGTGAGAGGGATCGGGTTGTTGGAGACCGAAGAGGTTTGTGGAGATGATCTGGCAAAGGCTGCTGGAGTATAATGAGACCCACCATGCCTGCTCCTTACTTCGAGCAGAGAGAGGGGCCTTCAAAGGACCCCTCGGGAAATTCATGTCCCTGAATCTAGATGGACGCAGCTGACCTGGATTTGACTAATGCCTGTGGATCTGAGATTCCAAACTGGCCAGCTAACTTGATGGCAAACTAAAGTGAATTCCCAGGAGAAGGATCAGCCAGATGCCCAGAGTCTTTGGTCGGGGGGTCAAATAATTCATGACAGTTTCTTGTAGACCTGATGTAACGAGCCCATGATGAAGAGAAGGAATGGGGATGCATTCCAGAACTTGTTCAAGTAGCTGTTAGAAAAACACCAGGCTCCAGCGGGGGAGAAGCTGGAGCTGCTCTTTCTTTCCCAAAGGGGTAAGGGGAATTCAGCAACCACGAACTAGATTCCACATGCCCGAGCCAACGGACCTGGAATTCCGAGACTGGATGGATCAGGGGTTGGCAAACTGTGGCCCCTGGGCTGGGTGTTACTGTAACTGCAGATTTGTTGGAACCCAGCCACACCCATTCATTGGCGTTACAAGGGCAGAGTTGAGTAGCTGCAACAGAAGATGTGTGACCTGCAAAGCCTAAAATATTCAATATCTGACCTTTTACAGAGGACATTTGCTGACCCTCAGGATAGGTTCTCGGAAAACCCCTCAAAAGTACTGGGGCAGCTGTGACAGATTTGGCCTTAAAATAGTTTTCACACTCGGAGTGCATGAAACCATCTTAAAACATTACCATTCAAGTAGAAACTTTCCATCTCCTCCTACTTCTTGCTTTCCCTACATCAGCCAAATACGGTCAGAAACTTCTGTGGGAGGAGGAGCAAAGAGAGAAATGACCAGCCTTCTTTACCCACTGGAAGATTCCAGACCTCAGCAGACCCCAGTGCTGGGTGGATGAATGGGAGGAAGGACAGTGTGAGATTTTACTCTAAGTCTAATTTGAAACTTTGCTTATTCTATAGGCCTTGCCACTAATTACCACACTGAGAAGCATCTGATTTAAAGTAAATATATTTTTCATTCAGAGATCAGGAAACGACTTCCACCCCAGGAAAACATACAGGAATGGCGGAAGATGAAAAATAAACTTCGCTTTAAGATAACATCCCAAGACTCCTGCATGTTTTTTTGTTGTTGTTCTTGTTTTTGTTTTTGTTTTTTTGTTTTTGTTTTTGTAATGGAGTTTCACTCTTGTCTCCCAGGCTAGAGTGAAGTGGCACAATCTCGGCTCACTGCAACCTCCGCCCCCAGGTTCAAGCGATTCTCCTGCCTCCGCCTCTTAAGTAGCTGGGATTACAGACGCCTGCCACCACGCCCGGCTAATTTTTTTTTTTTTTTTTTTTTTTTTTTTAGTAAAGATGGGGTTTCACCATGTTGGCCAGGCTGGTTTTTAACTCCTGACCTCATGTGATCCACCCGCCTCGGCTTCCCAAAGTGCTAATATTACAGGTGTCAGCCACCGCGCCCGGCCAAAGATCATCTCTTCTGGAGCTCGATTTTCTCATCTGCAATGTGAGTGTTGGGCCAGCACTAAATGATTCCTATCAGCGCTGATATTCTGTGATTCTGAAGCTCAGCGTCTGTCCTTCAAGATGGTTCATGTGTCTGTGACTCTTGCAGTTCTGCATGCCATTACTGCTGTAGCCTGTGTGTAGCTTGTACCCAAACATTGGAGAAATGATCCACCTAGGGGCCCCCACTGTCACCTTCAAGATAGTCCTTCAGTGCTTAGTTAGGAAGCTGCTCTCATTTGCATAGAGCACAAACAGCTGAGACAGGCCTTGAGCGGGAGCTTCTATGTTGATTTGGCCAGGAGTTAGGCTGTGTTTACTGTTTGCTATAGCTGTGGTGTCAGCGGCTAACATTCCCTCAGTGTCCTTGTTTTTGTCTCCCCTGTGGTCTTCTAGTTTGTCTAGAGACTCCTTAAATGGGGTCTGAGGCTTGCAATTCTTTCAGCTATATTCCCCTGCTATTATATAAAACCTCTATTGATGTGGTGGTGAGGTGTTGAGGGGAGAAGAGGCATTTATACTCCTAAGATTAGGTCTCAGTCCTTTAGTGAGCTTCACTTAGGTATTTTCCTTCTCCTTGATTGGTTAGACTCTGGTAAAATGTTTCTCTTGAGGGAAGGCCTTTTTAAAAAGAACAGAAGGAGCCAGGTGCAGTGGTTCACACCTGTAATCCCAGCACTTTGGGAGGCTGAGGCGGATGGATCACCTGAGTCAGGAGTTCGAGACCAGCCTGGCCAACATGGCGAACCCCTGTCTCTACTAAAAATACAAAAATTAGCTGGGCGTGGTGACGGGTGCCTGTAGTCCCAGCTACTCGGGAGGCTGAGGCAGGAGAATCTCTTGAACTTGGGAGGTGGAGGATCTGGGTATATTTCAAATGGTTTATATGCTTGTCCCGGCTGCAAGAAGCACAAGGGGATTTTTTCTTGATCTTCACATGACAACCTGTTAGGGGTCCTGGAGGTAAAACTCTTGAAAGTGTGCCCCTCCCAAGACTGGGCCCCCAGAAATATAACTCAGGCTGGTCCACTGAGCCTCCCAACAATTCATCGGTTACCAGTGCCAGCGTTCGGACGGATACTGGCTCCAGCCACAGGCTTCTTCTGCTCCTGGGCTTCTGTTCCAGGAAGCTGTGATTCTTTGTCTGCCTTTGTCTCCAGTTGTAGGGGTTGCAGTTGACCCTGTGACCTCAGTTCTCTGATGGAACTAAGAAAAGTTGATTTTCCCTTCGTTCAGTTTTTTTCCTTGTTGTAAAGACAGGATTAATAACTTTCTTTCTTTCCTTTTTTTTTTTTTTTTTTTTTTTTTGAGACAGGGTCTCAATCTGTTGCCTAAGCTGGAGTGCAGATGGAGTACAATCTCAGCTCACTGCAACTTCTGCATCCCAGGCTCAAATGATCCCCCTGCCTCAGTCTCCCGAGTAGGTGTAACTACAGGTGCGTGTCACCACACCCAGCTAAGAAGCAATAACTTTCAAGCTCTTTACATGTCAGACCAGAAGCCAGAAATCCTCTCATGTATACAGAAATTGTCTTGTATATGAAATTGTATATAGTGTACAATATGTTTCAAACAAACTGGCAATTTCATCTATTCAGGCAAATAAGAATAATTCATAGAGTGCAGGGAAGTGGTGAAATTTGAGATTCAGAGCACATTTTCCAGGATACTCTGGAATTATTTTAAAAATGTAATATAAAATTCTATCTTGGAAATTCAGTTATGTAAAACCCTAAAGCAATTTTTAACTATGACAACCCAGCACTGTTTCGTACAGATTCTTCCTGCAAGTCCTTTAAATAATACGCGACACATATTTTATTTAAAAATAATAATTACTTCTAGCGCTTTATACTTTGCACAGATTTTCACATATATTTCCTCAAAGATGGGTAGAAATCTGTGTGCTTTGCAGGTATCTTTGTCTCAAGACCTTCGCAACTTCCTATGACAATAGGGACAGTATGGTGTGTGGACAACCTGGGAATGGGTGTTGCTATTCTCTGACAGGTATTTGTACAGAATATGCATTTGCAAACCAAAATTCATGTATAGAAGAAATGCAATGATTCCTATATTTTAACTTAAAGTAATTGTGATTTAGGATTCCTATTCTGTAAGGGACCAGCAGAAAATTCCATTTCTATCATCACAAAGGCCGCTGTCCTCTCTGAGATACAGAGAGCCCAGGAAGTCTATAGGGTACTCAAAAGGGAGAAGGATCCCCATGCGTTCTTCAACCCGGTAGAGCTGCCATGATTATGCAATTCTCTGAGCCTGTGGTCCCTGGAAGTGAGCTGTTCCTCATTCTCAGCCCAAGCAGAGTTACCTTTCTCCTTTGCCAAGGAGCCCAGGTGTCTAGCTATACATGGCAAAGTCCCCCTTAGAAGTGCTATGAAAGATTGGGGTATGGATCTCCAGTGCACCTAGACTGCATGATCTCCCTACAGAAAAAAAGAAAGAAAGAGAGAGAGAGAGAAACAGTAACAACAAAAAGTCTTTCCTTCCTTCCTCCCTTCCTCCCTCCCTCCCTTTCTTCCTTCGTTCCTTCCTTCCTCCCTCCCTCCCTCCCTCCCTCCCTCTCTCTCTCTTTCTTTCTTTTTTTCCTTTCCTTTTCTTTTCTTTTTCTTTTTTCTCCCTATGGGCACAGAGCGTATTGTCCTCAGTGAGCTCCAATTTTTGAAAAAGAGAGGTAGCAATATTGTCCATTATTTTATGCTTTCTGCACTGCTAAAAGTGCCAGAGGCAAGGGATCGGCATCCATTATTGCTGAAAGCTCGGGGAGAAAGAGAAAGAAGAAATACATTTTAATGTTTCAGTGAATTATCCTGGCACACATTCAACACATCAGTTAAGAAATCAAAACTTGGCCAGAATAATTACATAATTTGATTTAATTCCTGAACAGTCTTTCCCTAATTTCCTAGATTTGAATATTAATTATAGAAGGCATGTGATGAAATGATGGAATGCAAATAAATCTGCAGAATAATATTCAATAAAACTTGAAGAAAAATTATAAATTTCTTCTGAATAAAGTCATCCAAAGACAAACACATTAGAACATGTGATTCAAGAAAGTGGAGAAAAGATAACAAATATTTCCTTGAAATTAAGACAGAGCAGTACACATAGAATTATATTTTTAAAAACAGATGGCACCATTAGCTTGATAAAAAGAAGACTCTGTTGTAGCTTTAGACAGAAAGTGACTGAAAATTAGAACATTGTGAAGAAACAGTAAGAAAATTCAGAGTAAGGAACAAAGCCTTAAATGTAAGTCAATTACATTATTAAAGAAATTGTCGCTATTTTGCTTTAATTGCCATTGAGTGTGGGTCTATAGGAATTGAGAGACGTTTCTTGAATCCAATATGTAGCACACCTAGACAGAAGATTCTTTTCATTACTTAAAGTGCACATCAAATGATCTTACATTGAGTGAAATTTTAGTTATCTAATACCTATCACAATCAATCATCAATGATCAATAACCAAGTACACTACAAGACTTAAAGATTTCTATGTTTTAGTTTACTGACATGTACTTATGTTTTCTTTCATGCCTTTATTTCTGTGTTTTGCACCATTCATTAGTTAATATTATAAAATTTTTCTGTACTCCAGAAATGCACTGAAGCATGTTATTCTAATTTTACATGCCTGCTGGAGAACAGTCTCTGAATTCTTATTGCAAGATATGAGAAAAATCAATCTATCTTAGAAAACTTTCAGGGTATCAGAATAAGACAGAGGAGGATGAGGCAGCCCAGCTAAGGCAGTGAGATGACTCACATGTTAATTAAGGTAAGGCACTGTAAAGGGCTATGAATATTTCCTTGAGCAAATCAACAAGTTTTGTGCACGTACGTACACACACACACACACGACCAGTTCAATTTCTAGTAATATGGCAGATAAGATATTCAAATAAACTTTTGAAAGTATATCTCAGTTAAAAATGATAAATGTATATTTACATGAATATATGTGGTGGATAGATAGATGGATAGATGGATAGATAGATAGATAGATAGATGGATGTATATTACATGACTTGGCATGTGAGAAGTAAGGGATTTAGTGTTCAGAAATGACAAGAAATATTGAATCCAAGAGGCAACACTTGTGCTGGAATTTTCCCTGGAGATATCTGGGTGGCCTGGTAACCTAGAGCCTTAGTCACAACAAGCCACACATGGGGACCAAGAGATGAAGCCTTAAGTCTGAACATCATGAGAGGTCACCTATGAGACCCACTGCATAAAGCTGTACCTCCGTAGGTGACATTCACAGTTTGAACTAAGAAAGAACTTGCCTTGAAGAGGAAAACAATGATCATACATGCTTGTGTTGGTTTTGGTTGTGGTGAGACTAGAAGAAGGTAGGAGAAAACTCTCCTGTGAAAATTTCTAACCACAAGATCATACTAACAAGTCTGCAAGGCCAGAACTTCTACTGTCTGTATGTTCTGGAAGACAATAAGTTTAAACTTCTAGTAGTCCTGAACTGGTAGTGCCCATAAGGTGATAGTGTTCCCAGACCAATGGAAGAAGACTCACCATTTAAACCAGATCTCCTGCCCACAAATGAGGAAGGAGCACATCAGCGTTAAGCATGAGACTCAGCAGAAACAAGAAACTGCAGATTCAGATAGACAAAAACAATAGGTGTTGGAATCGCTAAAAATACAAAATAAACAAGTGTAGTATATTTAAAGGAAAAAGACAAAGTGAAAGAATGACCAACTAATAAGAGATTATGAAAATTGGCCAGATCAACTTGAAAAAGAACCGAGTGAATATCTAAAGATGAAAAACTGGAAATTGGAAACTCAGTAATAACTGGATACATCACAAATTACTGAAAAACAGAGCTGGTGAAATTACTCAGACCATTGCACAGACAAATGTGGAAATGGAAAATCTGAGCAGTTAAGCTACATGGAGAGGAGAGTAAAATCAGTCAACATTAAAGCACGTCTAATGCTTCCTAAAGAAGAGAACAGAGAAAAAGGAGAAAAGGTAGGCGTTTGAAAGATAATGATGATCGAGCACTTTCTTGGACGGCTGGAAAAACCATATCTTAGATTCCGGAAGCCCAAGCAATCCAAAGTAGAGTAAATTAAAAGAAATTCAACACCAAGACATATAATAAAACTGCAGAACGCCAAAGGTTATTAAAAAAAAAAAAACCTTAAAGGTATCCAGAGGGAAAGGATAAATTGCTTAACACTTGGTTAACTATATAATTTATTGGCCAAATTTATTGACCAAACCAGGATACAAGGTTACTCTTTTTTTTTTTTTTTTTTTTTTTTTTTTACGGAGTCTGTCGCCCAGGCTGGAGTGCAGTGGCGCAATCTCTGCTCACTGCAACCTCCGCATCCCAGGTCCAAGTGATTCTCTTGTCTCAGCCTCCCTAATAGCTGGCACTACAGGCATGTGCCACCATGCCCAGCTAGTTTTTTTGTATTTGTAGTGGAGACAGGGTTTCACCATGTTGGCCAGAATGGTCTGGAACCCCTGACCTCGCATGATCTGCCCACATTGGCCTCCCAAAGTGCTAGGATTACAGGCATGAACCACCTCACCCGGCCAAACCAGGATACTCTTGAGAATGAAAGGGGTGCTAACCAAACAGGTGAAGAGTATCACAGAAATAAATAGGAATTATGGAAGGCAAATTAGGGCATATGTCAAAATCTATAAAAAAAATAACAATTCCATTGACAGGAAGGACAATGAAGGTCAGGAAGACAATGCATAACATCTTCAAAGCACTGAAAATATATTCAGCTAGAACTGCATGTAACCAAACTCTCTTTTAGTAACAAGGGACAAAGAAAAACACATTTAGATAAGCAAAAACTGAGAAGTCGTGACGAACAGACTCCCTCCAAAGTAATTTCTTTATAAGAGAACAAAAGAATCTCAGAAAGAGTCTAAGAGGCATGAATGTGAATAAACAAAATTTATATGACTGATAAGGTTATGATAAAAATGTTCAATGTATAAGACCACAAAAATTAAGATATGTACATAAATTTCTATACAAAAAATAGCATAAATGTCAGGAGGAGAAGAAAATGGGAGAAAGGCCAACTGAGGCTCTTAGATTTTGGGGAGGAGGGTAAAGCTGTTGATTAACTTTACATCTTGTTAAATTAAACATGCATGTTATATTTTCTGGGTCATTACTAAAAACAGAAATAATTTATCATTTAGAAAATACTAAGGAATGGAACAAAAACTTAATCCAAAGGAGAGAAAGAAAGGAGTAAAAGGGGAGATAAACTTGGGAGAAAATTAGAAAATACAAAATAATAATAATCACATTAAGTATAAATGGACTAATATCTGCAGTTCAAAGATAAAGACTGTCAGACTAGATTTTTTTTTTGAAATCTAGTTATATTCTGTTTAGAAGAAGTAAACTTAACACTTTAGAACACAGTAAGGTTTAATTGGAAAAGATATATTTACATAGATGAAAGTAGGAGAATTATTTTAATAATAGAAAAAATAAACATCAGAAATAAAAACATTAATGACAATGAAGAAGATTATTACATGTTCATAAAAGTTTCACCTCAACAGAAAGATGTATCCATTCTAAATTTATACAAATTCAATAAAATAGCTTCAAAATATATAAAGGTTAATTTGGAAGAATATAGGAAGAATTTTACATACCAATCGTGATAGTGGGGGATTCCAATGTACCTCTTTAGCAATTGATAGATCAAGCAGGCAAGACAACATAAGCTGGATTTAAAGGTCATTACATATAAATATTACATTTTGGGCCACAAAGCAAATGTCAATGAATATTTGAAAAACCTTTTTCTTATAGACAACAATCTCTGGCCATAGCACAATTAAATTAGACACCAATAGCAAAATGTTCATTCTACACACTCAAAAATTGAAGTTTTAAAAATTAAAAATAAGCTGAATCATCCATGGGTCAAAAGAAGTTCTAACTTCTCTTTTTTTTTTTTTTTTTTTTTTTTGAGACAGAGTCTCACTTATCACCGATGCTGGAGTGTAGTGGCACGATCTCGGCCCACTGCAACCTCTGCCTCCTTGATTCAAGCGATTCTGCTGCCTCAGCCTTCCAAGTAGCTGAGATTACAGGCATGCGCCACCATCCCCGGCTAATTTTTGTATTTTTAGTAGAGATGGGGTTTCACTGTGTTGGCCAGTCTGGTCTCGATCTCCTGACCTCAGGTGATCTGCCTGCCTCAGCCTCCCAAAGTGCTAGGATTACAGGCGTGAGCCGCGTGCCCGGCCTAGAAGTTCTAACTTCTTAGAAAATATTTGGAATTACAAAGTAAGGAAAATGCTGTACCTGAATGCTTGGGTATTGCAATAAAAGCTGTACTTAGCTAAACAACAAAAACAACAAACAAACAAACGACTCATAGCCTTAAATTTTAAATCTGTTTGGGTTTAAAATGTACCCAAATAATACAGAAGAAAGAAAACGTTAAATAAATATACCTCTCTTATTACTTTATGGCTGCTATTTAACATTGTTATTCCTCTGTTTCCCTTCTTATTTTTTTCGGTCTTCTTGTGTTGCTATATATTTTATCTTTATCTTGTTAATTTAGGAGTTCTATCATAATATTCCATTCAATTAATGACCTGGCTTTCTCCTGCTCTCTAGATCAGACCAAATGACGCTATTGTCCTATTATTTCGATGGTATCACTCCCTCTGAGCTCTACTTTCTCCTCTACTGATTTCTTCTTGATTCCTTCATATTTTGCTCACCATCTAATGGAATGAAATCTTTAGAATTCTTCATTTTCCCCTTTTCTGCCTTCTCTCATATCCCTCAGT